>NC_000015.10:42670813-42973843 GCF_000001405.40 Homo sapiens | reverse complement strand
GGAGATGACTTTTTAGATACAAAACCAAAGGCATAATCTGTGAGAGAAATAATTGATAGGCTGGACTTCATTATAATAAAATTAAAAACTTATGCACTGAAAGACACTGTCAAGAGAATGAGAGACAAGCCACATTCTGGGAAAAAGTATTGCAAAAAGTACTTCTGATAAAGGACTGTTATCCAAAGTATACAAAGAACTCTTAACACTCAACAATAAGAAAACAACCCAATTTAAAAATGAGCGATGAGGCCGGGTGCTGTGGTTTATGCCTGTAATCCCAGCCCTTTGGGAGGCCAAGGTGGGCAGATCACTTCAGCCGGGAGTTTGAGACCACCCTGACCAACATGAGGAAAACCTGTCTGTACTAAATGTACAAAAATTAGCCTGGCATGGTGTGCACACCCGTAGTCCCAGCTACTTGAGAAGCTGAGAGATAAGAATCAGTTGAACCCAGGAGGCATAGATTGCAGTGAACTGATAGCATGCCACTGCACTCCATCCTGGCAACGGAACAAGACTTGGTCTCAAAAAAACGGGGCAATGAGCCAGGTGCAATAGCTCATGCCTGTAATCCCAACACTATAGGAGGCTAAGGCAGGAAGATTGCTTGAGCCCAGGAGTTTGAGACTACCCTGGGCAACATAGCAAGATCCCGTCTCTAAAAAATAAAGTGGGCAAAGCACTTGAAAAGACACCTCACCACAGAAGATATACAGATGGTAAGTGATCATAATGTTCAACATCTATATGCCATTAGGGAATTGCAAGTTAAAACAATGAGATACCACTATACACCTATTAGAATTGCCAAAATCTAAAACACTGACACCACCAAATGCTGGCAAGTATGTGGAGCAACAGGAACTCTCATTTGTTGTTGATGGGGATGCAAAAGGTACAGTCACTTTGGAAGACAGTTTGACAGTTTATCACAAAACTAAATATACTCTTACCATATGATCCAGCAGTCATGCTTCTTGTATTTACCCAAATGAATTAAAAACTGAACTTCACACAAAACTGTGCACAAGGATGTTTATAGCAGCTTTATTCATAATTGCCAAAACTTGGAAGCAACCAAGACATCCTTCAATAGGTGGGTGGATAAATAAATTACAGTATATCCAGAGAGTGGAAATATTATTCAGTGCTAAAAAGAAATGAGTTATCGGCCGGGCACGGTGACTCACACCTGTAATCTCAGCACTTTGGGAGGACAAGACGGGTGGATCACCTGAGGTCAGGAGTTCAAGACTAGCCTGGCCAGCATGGTGAAATCCCATCTCCACTAAATAAATACAAAAATTAGCCAGGCATGGTGGTGCACACCTGTAATCCCAGCTACTCAGGAGGCTGAGGCAGGAGAATCGCTGGAACCCAGGAGGCGGGGGTTGCAGTGAGCCAGGACTGCACCACTACACTCCAGTCTGTGTGACAGAGCAAGACTCCATCTCAAAAAAATAAAAAAAATAAAAAGAAGAAATGAGTTACCGAGTGATGAAAAGATGGACAAAACCTAAATGCCTATTACTAGCTAAAATAAGTCAATTTGAAAAGGTTGTATACTATACAAATCCAACTATATGACACGCTAGAGAAGACAAAACTATAGGGTCAGTGAAAGGATTAGTGATTGCCAGGGGTAAGGGTGTTGGGGGAGGGCTGAATAGGCACAGCATAGAGGATTTTTAAGGCAGTGAAACTGTTATGAAAAATACTACAATGGTGCATGCATGTCATTATTACACATTTGTCCAAACTCATAGAATGTAAACACCAAGAATGAACCCTAATGTAAACTGTGGACTTTGGGTGATAATGGTGTGGCAATGTAGGCTCATTGATTATAACAAGCGTACAACACTGGTGCCAAATGTTGATAGGTGGGGGATGTTGTGTGTGCATAGAGACAGAGGGAATCCTCTGTACTTTCTGCTCAATTTTGCTGTGAATCTAAAACTTCTCTTAAAAAATAAAGTGTATTAATTAAAAAATAAAAATCTTATTTTGTGGGTGTATGCATTTGTCAAACTCATCATCAGATAGAGCACTTGATATTTGTGCACTTAATTGCATGTAAAATTTACCTCAAATTTATAAAGAATCCCTTAGAATTATTGAACTCTCTTACATTTGAATTGAAAAAATCAGTATGAATTCATGATGCATTTTTTAAAAGTATAGGAATAAAGAGATGTTATTTGGAAAATGAAAAGGACTAGCAGTATTCATTCAAGATATGATAAAATTACTGAGGGCAACTTGAATCTTGACCTTCCAGATGAATTAATACATAAACAAAAGCATTTTTAAAACAACAGAGCACTACTCAAATGTGCTATAACTATACCTCACAGCAAACTACAAGGTAGACATTTGTATATCAAGTTTAATACAATATTTCTGAAGTTCAGAGAACTTATGTAGCTTATCCAGAGCCTTAATGTAAGTGAGAGAGTTGGCAGTTGCTGGAAGGGTTTAGGATGGTCCTCCTTAAAGATAGGTTGATGGAGGAAAATAACCTCACAAAGTTCTCTTTATGGGACCCTTTGCTTGAGCATGAAGGCAGGACAGACACCTACTTCCCTTTCTAGAGGTTGAATTTCTATCTGCTGGCTTAGATTCCTAGGAACCCAAAGCAGGTTGATAACAATTTATTTCCATGGTCATATTATGATGAAGTAAGTATTTACATGTTTAGCAAGTAAATATTAAACATCCATGTTTAGTGATTCTGCCCTATTTGTTTCTCCAGCTAATATATAGATAAAGTTTACCTAACAACTTTAAAATTCAGCATCAACTACTTAGATTAAAAACAGGTGGGGCTGGGCATGGTGGCTTATGTCTGTAATTCCAGCACTTTGGAAGGCCAAGGCAGGTGGATCACTTGAGGTCAGGATTTCAAGACCAGCCTGACTAACATGGTGAAACACACTAAAAATACAAAATTAGCTGGGCATGGTGGCATACGCCTGTAATCCCAGCTAGTTGGGAAGCTGAGGCAGGAGAATTGCTTGAATCCGGGAGGTGGAGGTTGCAGCAAGCCAAGATCGCACCATTGCTCTCCAGCCTGGGCAACAAGAGCGAAACTCTGTCTCAAAAAAAAAAAAAGGAAAGAACCTCAGTTGAATGAATCTACGTTGTTTATTGTCTTGGAACAATGAAATTAAAGTCTAATTTGTAAACTGAATAGCAAATACATAATTCATCTTGCAGAATTTCTTTTTCAGGCCTACCCCTTGCTCAGGTTCAAGAAGACAGTGAAGAGGCTCATTCCGCATCTTCTTTCTTTGCAGAAATTTCTCAATATACAAGTGGGTGAGTAACAATCCATTAGTTCAGTCTATTGTAATAATTCCATTTCTTGTTCAGTTGTTTGGCAACGTAACATTTGAATCATTTAAATTCCAGTTAAAAATAATCAGTTATTGCCTAGGTTTTCTTGTAGGGTTTTTATGGTTTAGGTCTTACATTTAAATCTTTAATCCATCTTGAGTTAATTTTTATGTAAGGTGTAAGGAAGGGGTGTAGTTTCAGTTTTCTGCATATGGCTAGACAGTTTTCCCAACACCATTTATTAAATAGGGAGTCCTTTCCCCATTGCTTGTTTTTGTCAGGTTTGTCAAAGATCACATGGTTGTAGATGTGTGGTGTTATTTCTGAGGCCTCTGTTCTGTTCCATTGGTCTATATATCTGTTTTGGTACCAGTACCATGCTGTTTTGGTTATTGTGGCCTTGTAGTATAGTCTGAAGTCAGGTAGCGTGATACCTCCAGCTTTGTTCTTTTTGCTTAGGATTGTCTTGGCTATACGGGCTCTTTTTTGGTTCCATGTGAAATTTAAAGTAGTTTTTTCTAATTCTGTGAAGAAAGTCAGTGGTAGCTTGATGGGGATAGCATTGAATCTATAAATTACTTTGAGCAGTACGACCATTTTCACGACATTGATTCTTCCTGTCTGTGAACATGGAATGTTTTTCCATTTGTTTGTGTACTCTCTTATTTCCTTGAGCAGTGGTTTGTAGTTCTCCTTGAAGAAGTCCTTCACATCCCTTTTAAGTTGTATTCCTAGGTATTCTCTTTGTAGCAATTGTGAATGAGAGTTTGCTCATGATTTGGCTCCCTGTTTGTCTATTATTGGTGTATAGGGATGCTTGTGATTTTTGCACATTGATTTTGTATCCTGAGACTTTGCTGAAGTTGCCTGTCAGCTTAAGGAGTTTTTGGGCCATTCAGGACATAGGCATGGGCAAAGACTTCATGACTAAAACACCAAAAGCAATTGCAACAAAAGCCAAAATTGACAAATGGGATATAATTAAACAAAAGAGCCTCTGCACAGCAAAAGAAACTATCATCAGAGTGAACAGGCAACCTACAGAACAGGAAAAAATTTTTGCAATCTATCCATCTGACAAAGGGCTAATATCCAGAATCTACAAAGAACTTAAACAAATTTACAAGAAAAAAGCAAACAACTCTATCAGAAAGTGGGCGAAGGATATGAACAGACACTTTTCAAAAGAAGACATTTATGCGGCCAACAAACATGTAAAAAAGCTCATCATCACTGGTCATTAGAGAAATGCAACTCAAAAGCACAATGGGATACCATTTCATGCCAGTTAGAATGGCAATCATTAAAAAGTCAGGAAACAACAGGTGCTGGAGAGGATGTGGAGAAATAGGAACACTTTTACACTGTTGGTGGGAGTGTAAATTAGTTCAACAATTGTGGAAGACAGTGTGGCGATTCCTCAAGGATCTAGAACTAGAAATACCCTTTGACCCAGCAATCCCATTACTAGATATATACCCAAAGGATTATAAATCATTCTACTATAAAGACACATGCACACATATGTTTATTGCAGCACCATTCACAGTAGCAAAGACTTGGAACCAACCCAAATGCCTATCAGTGTTAAACTGGATAAAGCAAATGTGGCACATACACACCATGGAATATCATACAGCCATAAAAAAGAATGAGTTCATGTCTTTTGCAGGGATATGGATGAAGCTGGAAACCATCATTCTCAGCAAACTAACACAGGAACAGAAAGCCAAATGCCGCATGTTCTCACAAGTAGGAGTTGAACAATGAGAACATATGGGCACAGGGAGGGGAACATCACACACCAGGGCCTGTCAGGGGCTGGGGGAAAAGGGGAGGGATAGCATTAGGAAAAATACCTAATGTAGATGACGGGTTGCTGGGTGCAGCAAACCTCCACCATGACACATGTATACCTATATAACAAACCTGCACGTTCTGCACGTGCATAATAATAATAATAATAATCAGTTATGAAGCTAGGTGCAATGGTTCATGCCTGTAATCCGAACACTTTTAGAGGCCAAGGCAGGAGGATTGCTTGAGCCCAGGAGTTTGAGACCACCCTGGGCAACATTACAAGACCCTGTCTCTCTATTTAAAAAAAAAAAAAAAAATCTGTTAAGGGCTTTTAGCATGACTTTGTTTGCTACAGGATAGGTTTACAGTGAAGAAAATTTATTTTGATGATTTTACTTTGAAGTAAAAGATAGTAGGTTGGAATAACAGCTACCCACTTGTTTCTGAGACTGAAACAAGTTCAACACATCTTTACTTTTGTAAACTGTTCTGGAAGCATAGACAAAAGATGATTGGATTTTAAAAAAAGGAGTATTTAGAATTAAAATAAATGTAGAAAATAGAAAATAGGTTGTCCTTTTACAGTGATCCATACAATTGATGCACTCAGTGCATGCATGTAGTTACAGGTTAAGGCCCTTATTGAGTAATATGGAAAATACATTGGCATTTGTATTTTAACATGCATGTAATATATACATAACATACAATATGTACATATATTGTATAACAGTACATACTACATATATAATTTTTATATATATTCATAATATATATTTAAAATCTTATATATATTTAACCCTTGTGTAGAGGTTATAGTAGGAGTACGATAGGCATGCTCTGCTGAACTACATCTGCTGCCAAGTTCCCCTCATCAGTCACCTTTACCAGTCTTTCTTTTTTTTTAAGTTAATAGATTTTGTTTTTTAGAGACATTTTAGGTTTACAGAAAAATTGAGCAGAAAGTATAAAGAGTCGCCATTTGCTCCCTCCCCCTACCAGTTCCCGTATTATTAATACCTTGCATTAGGGAGGTACCATTTGTTACAATTGACTAACCAATATTAATACATTATGATTAACTCAAGTTCATAGTTTACATAAGATTCGCTTTACAGTATCATACAGAATAATTTAACTGCCACACACATCATTAGTCAATCTTAATATAGAAACCAGGAAATTATTAATTTTGTTTTAGCTAACAAGTTGCTTTGGTTAGTTATTGATAAATTTTTTTTCTCCACATTTCTTTACAAGGTTTTAATCTAAACAAAAAAAAAAAAAAGGAAGCTTTAGTAACCTTTAACTTTTATGTTGAAGAATATACTTTATTTTAGGCCAGTCACGGTGGCTCATACCTATAATCCCAGCACTTTGGGAAACTGAGGTAGGAGGATTGCTTGAGCCCAGGAGTTCAAGATCAGCCTGAGCAAGATAGTGAGACCTTGTCTCTATTTAAAAAAAAAAAAAAAAAAAAAACTAGTTGAGCATGGTCACTCAGACCTATAATCCCAGCACTTTGGGAGGCTGAGGCGGGCGGATCACCCGAGGTCAGGAGTTCGAAACCATCCTGGCCAACATGGTGAGACCCCTGTCTCCACTAAAAATACAAAAAATTAGGCATGGTGGCGTGTGCCTTTAGTCCCAGATACTCGGGAGGCTGAGGCAGGATAATCACTTGAACCTGGGAAGCAGAGGTTGCAGTGAGCCCAGATCGCAGCACTGCACTCCAGCCTGGGTGACAGAGCAAGACTCTATCTCAAAAAATAATAATAATAAAAATTTGAAAATAAAGAGTATACTTTATTTAAGAGTCAAGTTCCTTTAAAGTAGATTTTTTGGTTGCCTCTTTGTTTTTGTTTTGCTTTTGTTTTTTATCACCACCTAGGAAAAAGAAGAGTAGTTCCTTGCCTTAAAAATCCACATGGTAAAATATGTAAGATTTGTGATTTTCTTGAGGAAATTATTAGGAGATTTAAACACTGAAACTATTTGCTACTCAAATTTTTTTTTTTTTTTTTGAGTCAGCGTCTCGCTCTGTTGCCCAGGCTAAAGTACAGTGGCACAGTTTCAGCTCACTGCAGCCTCCACCTCCTGGGTTCAAGCAGTTCTCCCACCTCAGCCTCCCGAGTAGCTGGGATCACAGGTGCCCACCACCATGCCCGGCTAATTCAGTAGAGACTGGGGTTTTGCCATGTTGGCCAGGCTGGTCTTGAACTCCTGACCTCAGGTGATCCACCTGCCTTGGCCTCCCAGAGTGCTGGGATTATATTTTGTTTTAAATGTTTAAAAATTGCATGGATAATAAATTACCTAAATGTTTAACTTTGTATTTGAAAAGGGGGATATGTTTAAATCTAGGGCTTTAGTCTGATATGTATTCTGTTCTCTTCTGGAATTATTGTCTCCTAGCTCCATTGGGTGTGATATTCCTGGCTGGTATTTGTGGGTCTCACTGAAGAATGGCATCACCCCTTATCTTCGCTGTGCTGCATTGTTTTTCCACTATTTACTTGGGGTAACTCCGCCTGAGGAACTGCATACCAGTAAGTAGAAAAATGAAATCATGGAGTGGAAAATGGGAGATTTTCTTTGTTCTTACCTTCAAGCTCATGAATACAAGGTTAAAGCAGATAAAACCACTTCTCCTCTCCCCATTTCTTTCATGTGTGTTCCCTTCAAACATGAGCCCTGGTGTAGGTTAAAGGTGAGGCCAAAAAGTATATTAGCTTTATAATCTGCAAGACCTACTCTTCGCTCCTATCTATGTATAGGTTATGTGCTTGAGCTTATAAAATACCTGCATGCAGAATATAACTGATATGCTATACAAGAAATTAGAAACATTGGTTGTCTTTAGAGAAGAGAATTGTTTGGCTAGATAGGAGGAAGACTTTACTGTATACTCTGTTATTTAAATTTTGGACATGTAGGCCGGGTGTGGTGGCTCACGCCTATAATCCCAACATTTTGGGAGGCCGAGGCGGGTGGATCACTTGAGGTCAGGAGTTCGAGACCAGCAAGGCCAACATGGTGAAACCCCGTCTCTACTAAAAATACAAAAAAATTAGCTGGGCATGGTGGCATATTGCCTGTAATCCCAGCTACTCAGGAGGCTGAGGTGGGAGAATCACTTGAACCCAGGAGGCAGAGGTTGCAGTGAGCCGAGATTGCGCCACTGCACTCCAGCCTGGGTGACAGAGCAAGGCTCTGTCTCAAAAAAAAAAAAAAAAAGTACATATGACTACATTAAAGAATGAAAGTGCTGCTAGGAAAGGCCTACTAGAACCAACCTAGGCCATGCATATTTAAGCAATAGGATCACCTTCTCATTTACTTGCCTCTAAATCTAGACCAAAGTAGGGAAGCCTTCCTGTGGCTTTGTATGGGTAAAAATCAGAATATTTATATGATTTTGGAAGAGTCATCAAAATTGCTGAGATTCTTCCTTTTGTCCTTTGAGAATAAGCTGACCAGGTTACCGTTACTGGCTATCAGCTTCTTTATCTTGAACTCAGTTCAGTAGGGTTTATCTGATCTAGGTTTTTCATGGTCTTGTATAAAATAGGAGTCCACTTTCCAAGTAATTGCCAGCACAGATCTGTTGTTTGCTCACATACAAAAAAGTCATGTATTTATCTCATAGGTGCTACAGTACAGTTGTGAGTGAAATAAAGTCCTTTTTATTGGGAGGAATCCAATTATAAACAAATAGAGAAATACATATAATGTAATGTCAAATGCTGATAAATGTTGCAAGGCAGAATGAAGCAGTTCAGGAATAGAGGGTATTGGGGCCAGAGTGGGGAACTCTCTGAGATAGTTTTCATAGAATGCTTCTCTGTGAGGAGACATTGAGCAAACAGCTACATAGAGGGGGTTGAGTTGAACAGACAGTTGAAGGAAGAATATTCCTAAATAGAAGAAGTTATAAATGTCAAGGCTTCGTTTGACGTAGTCACAGAATTGCAAAGAGATGAGTATGGCTGAAGCCTAAGGGGGAGGGTAACAGGAGATGACAGGAGATGAGGTCTAAGAGGCAACCAGGGGCAGCTCACACAGGACCTTTGGGCCACGATAGGGACCTTGTATTTTATACTAAGTGTGGTTACACATTAGAGCCATCCGATCAGGAGAGTGACTCGATACAATTTATGTTTTAAAAAAATCACTGTGACTTATTTGCCACCCATGGGTTTTGTTTGTTTGTTTGTTTTTTGTTTTTTTTTGAGACGGAGTTTCGCTCTTGTTGCCCAGGCTGGAGTGCAATAGCGCGATCTCAGCTCACTGCAACCTCCACCTCCCGGGTTCAAGCAATTCTCCTGCCTCAGCCTCCCTAGTAGCTGGGATTACAGGCATGTGCCACCACGCCTGGCTAATTTTGTATTTTTAGTAGAGATGGGGTTTCTCCATGTTGGTCAGGCTGGTCTTGAACTCCCGACCTCAGGTGATCCGCCCGCCTCGGCCTCCCAAAGTGCTGGGATTACAGGCATGAGCCACCGTGCCCGGACTGCCACCCATGGTTTTATAGAATAAGCAATATACCCTCTACAAGGAGAGTGTAGAAATAAGCATAAACAGTGAAGAAACTCTAATGCACAGATTGACCAGGTAAGAATAATGTGCTTATTAAATGTATTTTTATTCTCTTGCAGATTCTGCAGAAGGAGAGTACAGTGCACTCTGTAGCTATCTATCTTTACCTACAAATTTGTTCCTGCTCTTCCAGGAATATTGGGATACTGTAAGGCCCTTGCTCCAGAGGTACTATGGGGATAAAATATTGTTGTTGGGTTATTATACAATTTGAAATTTTAAAATTACAATTACTTGCTAAGCTTTTAGTTCAATCAGCACTGATTAAAGGGGTGGCAAAAGTATAGGAGATTCCTAAGTTACACACTTAAGAAGTGGGGATAAGATCAACAGCCATAGGCAGTTGGAATTTCTGCTTGCTCCACTATAACTATCATTCATTTTATTTACTTTCCCCACAGCTGGTGTCTCATCTGTTTTAAATTGGGGGTGGGGGGTGGGGATTTTGCTAGCAGGCATAAAGTCACAGTTAGTATCAAAAGAACCCAAATTGGAACTGTATCCAAAATAGGAGCATATCTCACATGGTAGCGCATGTATCAGGAGAGTGACTGAGAAAAGAAGGAAGGTCATTTGGTAGATCAAAAAAAATACTTCAGTTAAATTTCCAAGAGAGAAATGTGTCCTTCTTTCAGAAAAACTTTTTACCCTATTGGTTACTGGCCCTCTTGTGCACTGTCAATGCTGCTAACCTCCAGTCTTCTTACCCTATCTTTGCCTGCACCATTTTCTATCATTTTTATAATCAGCTCTCACTGTATTGCTTTCCTTGCCCATCATTTCCTTTATTCTCCTTGCTTTCTACCTTTTTCTTTAATTGTCTTTTTTTTAAATACCCAGGTCAGTATTTGTGTGAACGTTGGCTTCTGTCTCCTACCACCCTTCTTGTGCAGTGGGTTCTCTGTGTTGGGTTCTTTTCTTTGCTTCCTCATTTCTCTCGAAATATTCTGATCTCTAGCGTGATCAAAATGAATTGTTTAAGAAAATCAGTATCATGCTTTGTGTTGAGTACAATCACAGTAGGTTAACTAATTTTACTTTTATATTCTTGGAGTAGAAAAGTCTTAATTGCTGTTCTAGTTCAGTCAAGTATTAAAAATTCACACTTTGAAACAGAAAGTCCTTGCCCTCTGTATCTTTCCAGACCCTCCTTGTCTGAAAGTCTTCTCTCATCCTCTGCCCTATGTTGCAGGAAAGTGACCCTGGGAATTTCCCAGTCTACCTTGTCAGCTGACTTCTGCATGGGTTCAGCCAGTGGGAGGGGAAGCACTGGCAAGATTTTGGTGGCCAGGAAAAAGGGAAGCCCCAGTGTTGGCCAGGCGTGGTGGCTCATGCATGTAATCCCAGCACTTTGGGAGTCCAAGGCAGGTGGATCACCTGAGGTCAGGAGTTCGAGACCAGCCTGGCTAACATGGTGAAACCCCATCTCTACTAAAAATACAAAAATTAGCCAGGCGTGGTGGCAGGTACCTGTAATCCCAGCTACTGGGGAAGCTGAGGCAGGAGACTCGCTGGAACCCAGGAGGCGGAGGTTGCAGTGAGCTGAGATCTCACCACTGCACTCCAGCCTGGGTGATGGAGCAAGACTCCATCTCCAAAAGAAAAAAAAAAGAGAGGCCCCAGTTCAGGCTAGCTCTGTCTGTCTTGTGGGGCATCTCTGATGGTGACGGCAGCTCTTGTCTGGCTCCAGTTCCCACCAGACAAGCCTGCTGTGATTCCAGTATCTGCTGGTGTCCCTAGCCTCTGGGCTCCATGATACCGCTGTTTCCTTTTGTTCCTCCAGCCTAGGGGAGTGGTGATCTTTAGTTTGCCTTGCCTTTTTGTCTCATGGTTGGCTTCTCAGCCCTTCCATCACTTTTATTACTAACTCCTGTTAAATTCTCTCTTGTTTAAATACTTAGAATGGTTTCTGTTTTTCTAGTAAGACCTTGGATGATATACTCTGTAAAAAATAAATGAATAAGAGAAGAAAAATAATTAGACACAACAAAGAAAGAGAGGAAAGAAAGGGAGAAGAAAAGGGGCAAAATGATAAATATAAATAAGTTAAATATAAGGTTGGGTGCGGTGGCTCACACCTGTAATCCCAGCACTTTGGATCACGAGGTCAGGAGTTTGAGACCAGCCTGGCCAAGATAGTGAAACCCCATTTCTACTAAAAATACAAAAAAAAAAAAAAAATTAGCTGGGCATGTTGGCGCACATCTGTAGTCCCAGCTACTCAAGAGGCTGAGGCAGGAGAATTGCTTGAACTCTGGAGGCGAAGGTTGCAGTGAGCCAAGACCACACCATTGGACTCCACTCTGGGCAACAGAGGTAGACTCCATCTCAAAAACAAAAAAAAAGATAAGTATAGAAAGAGGAACACAGAGCCAGGCACAGTGGCTCACACCTGTAATCCCAGCACTTTGGGAGGCCGAGGTGGGCAAATCACCTGAGGTCAAGAGTTCAAGACCAGCCTGGCCAACATGGTGTGAAACCCCATCTCTACTAAAAAAAAAGAAATACAAAAATTAGCCAGGCGTGGTGGCGCATGCCTGTAATCCCAGCTGCTCGGGAGCTGAGGCATCAGAATCACTTGAACCTGGGAGGCAGAAGTTGCAGTGAGCCAAGATCGCGCCATTGCACTCCAGCCTGGGTGACAGAGTGAGACTCCATCTAAAAAAAAAAAAAAAAAAAGAGGAACATAGGCCAGCACAGTGGCTCATTTGCATGTAATCTCAGCACTTTGGGAAGCCGAGGCAGGCTGATCACCTGAGGTCAGGAGTTTGAGACTAGCCCAGCCAACATGGTGAAACCCTGTCTCTACTAAAAAATAAAAAATTAACCGGGCATGGTGGTGTGTGCTTGTAGTCCCAGCTACTGAAGATGCTGAGGCAGGAGAATCACTGGAACACGGGAGATGGAGGTTGCAGTGAGTGGAGATCACCATTGCACTCCAGCCTGGGCGACAAGAGCAAAACTGTCTCAAAACAAAAAAAAAAAAAAAAGGGGGAACATAGAAATAGAAAGAAGGGACAGAAAGAATTGAAGAGAATGGCAAGGCTGGGCACAGTGGCTCACGTCTGTAATCCCAGCACTTTGGGAGGCTGAGGCGGGCGGATCACTTGAGGTCAGGGGTTTGAGACCAGCCTGGCCAACATGGGAAACCTCGTCTCTGCTAAAAATACAAAAGCTAACCAGGTGTGGTGGCGAGTGCCAGCTACTTGGGAGGCTGAGGCAGGAGAATTGCTTGAACCTAGGAGGCAGAAGCTGCAGTGAGCCGAGATTGCTGCCACTGTACTCCAGCCTGGGCGAAAGAGTGAGAATCCATCTCAAAAAAAAAAGAGAATGGCTTGTTGACAAATCATGCATTGAAGCTGTGATAATCCATTTGTCTTTTCTCTTGGCTCCACATACAGGTGGTGTGCAGATCCTGCCTTACTAAACTGTTTGAAGCAAAAAAACACCGTGGTCAGGTTGGTTTTACTACTTAATCCTTTCTCCCTCATCCACAAGTTGTGTTTCCTAAAGTAGTTGATTTGTTGAGCATAGTTTCTAGTCTGCTTTCTTCATTCTCACTCAGTACAGTGTTCCTGATTTCTGTTAGGTCTTTGCCAGAAATCAGATTCTTCCTACAAATGTTTTTTTCTTGGAGTGGCTGTCCTTTTCCTCTTAGATTATTAGAAGCCAGCAGTTCCTCTTAAGAGAATCTTTTTTAAGCTAGCACATACCTGTCAAAAGGCAAAGTTGGAGGAGGCATCATGGAGCTGCTGGTGTATTAACTTCAAAAGGTAGTGGTTTACAATATTTCTATAAGCCACTTTTGTTTTTGATTTTTTTTGTTAGAATAAAGCAAGATATACATAGAACTATATCCTTTTTCCTTCCTGTGTCCTTAGAAACTACCCCAAAAACTTTTCTTCAGCCCTCTTATCTCCCTTAAGTTGTCTCTAACAAAATCTACTTCTTAAGTACTAATTTAAATGCCACCTCCTCCATGAAGCCTCCCCTAATATAGTCTCTCTCATAAATGTCCACTTGTTTGCACCCAGAATAACTGACGAATAAGAACTGCATGCTTATTGTCTTTGTATCCCCTCCGAGGGCCTGACTGGTATTGTATACGGTGTCTAATTTTACTCACTTGAATCACATCTATAAACAAGTGGAGGAATTGACTCCCAGCTTTAAATACCAACACTAGTACCATTTTCCTGTGGATAAAGCAAACTTCAAGACAGTGCACATTTGCCGCCTTTTCTCATCTTCTCTCACCCTGGAACTCCTTTCACCTCCACTGTACATGTGCATATGCTGCTTTCACTTGTAACACATCTTTAGAGATTTAGTGATAATAGATCCAGCCTCTGTGCTCAGATGCAGTAGGAGTCACATCACTAAGAAAAGATCTTCGAGTAGAGAAAAAAGAAAAGTTTAAGATATGAATACATATTTTTGGACTGTTAATCTCACACAATTTTTCCTTTATTTCAATTCACTGTACACCTTTTATACATCTGCTATTTACCCAGCATGGTACTGAAATACTCTGGAAAATTTAAAAGAGGTAACATAGCTTTTGGTCATGAGTCATCTACAATCTAGTTATGAACATAAAACTTAAGACATTATAACATAAAGTATAATGATGTATGGAATATACCATTAGTGCTATAGAAATTTAAAGAGGAAAAGATTGTTAATGAGGCAAGGTTAGTCTTAGAGATCATTTTTAGCTGAGTATAGAAATAATTATAAAATTTAAGCCAGGCACAGTGGCATGCACCTGTAGTCCCAGCTACTCAGGAGCCTGAGACAGGAGTATTGCTTGAGCCTAGGAGTTCAAGGCCAGCCTGGGCAACAGAGTGAATACTGTCTCTAAAAAAACAAACCAAAAAGTGTCTAGGTTTGCCAAATAAATGTTATGGTTGTACTAAATATAGACAACTGAATTGAAGATGAAAAGAATTACAGAATTTAAATTGATTGGGGCCAGGCGCCGTGGCTCACACCTGTAATCCCAGCACTTTGGGAGGCCAAGGTGGGCGGATCACCTGAGGTCAGGAGTTCGAGACCAGCCTGACCAACATGACGAAACCCCGTCTCTAGTAAAAATACAAAAAATAGCTGGGCATGGTGGCAGGCGCCTGTAATCCCAGCTACTCAGGAGCCTGAGGCATGAGAATCGCTTGAACCCAGGACGCGGACGTTGCAGTGAGCCGAGATCGCACCATTGCACTCCAGCCTGAGGGATAGAGTGAGACTCTGCCTCCAATAAATAAATCAATAAATTGGTTGATTGGTTGATTGACTGGGGTTTGAGGAGAGAATTTCACATTATTCAGATGATCTTCCCCAATACATGCAAGCAAGGCTTTTATTGTATCTAGTTTGGTGAGAATGAGTAACATTTGCAAGCATGTATTAAGTACTAAGTATATTGTGTTTTACTTCAGTATCTCATTTAGTCCTCAACCGCTCTATATGTTTCCTTAATGCTAATATTCATATTTAATTTGACATTTCTTAAATCAATATTAGCCTTTTAATTGATAAGTTCATTTAATGTAATGTTTCTCTCCCTCCCTTCCCCAGAACCTGATTTGATGGTGGCCCCATGATTGGAGTATGGTATATTTTATCCCTAGTTTACAGACAGGGAAATACAGGCTTAGGTTCAAAGACTTGTGAAGTGTCAGAGAATTTAGGATTTGTAACCAGCTCTAATTTCAAAGGCTGTGTTCTTAACTACTACTTTATGTTACTTCCCTATACAGTACAGAAATCTAGCTATAACAGTTTAGTCCTAGAAACTAGAGGAAGTTAAGTTTGGAAAGGAATCCAGCTGATGAAAGATTTGGAATTATAGGCTGAGAAGTTTGGATTTGATCAAGTCAACAGTGGGAATTACTTTGGATTGCAAGTGTAGATCCTTTTGTTATTTTTAAGACATTCTTCTATCACTTTGGGCAGTTTTTGATCTGGGGTTATTTACTCTAAAATAAAATTGCCTTTTAAATTACATTGTAGGTACCCTAGAAAAAGAAATAGTTTGATAGAGCTTCCTGATGACTATAGCTGCCTCCTGAATCAAGCTTCTCATTTCAGGTAAGGAGAGTGTGTATATATATGTGTGTAATTTTAAATCATTTTCTGAACTCGCAATTGGTATATGCCATAACTAACACACTTCCTTGTTTTTGTTTTTTTGTTTGTTTTGGTTTGGGTTTTTTTGTTTTTGTTTGTTTGTTTTTTAGACAGGATCTTGCTCTGTTGCCCAGGCTGGAGTGCAGTGATTTGACTATAGCTCACTGCAGCCTCAAACTCCTGGGCTCTTCCCATCTCAATCTCCCAAGTAGTGAAACTACAGGCAGGCGCCACCATGCCCTGCTAATTTTTTTAATTTTTCATAGAGACAAGGTTTCGTTATGTTGCCCAGGCTGGTCTCGAACTCCTGGGCTCAAGTGATCCTCCTACCCATTGGCCTCCCAAAATGTTGGGATTACAGGCATGAGCCACTGCACCTGGCCACAAATTTCCTTTTTTAGCGGTGACCTCTGAGTATCCTTCATAACAGTGGTTGTCAATTTTTTTTAAGTTGAGGGGAAATCCACATAACATGCAATGAACCATGATAAAGTGTACAGTTCAGTGGCATTTAATGTATTCAAAATGTTGTACAATCACCACCTCTTTAGTTTGCAAACTTTTTCGTCACCTTGTACTCACTAATCACTTCTTATTCCCCTCATCCCGTACCCTATGGTAATCTGTAATCTACTTTCTGTCTCTATGGATTTGCCTATTCTGGATATATTATATGAAAGGAATGATACAATATATGACCTTTTGTGTTTGGCTTCTTTCACTTAGCATGTCTTTAATATTTATCCGAGTCGTAGCATATGTCATTACTTTTTTCCTTTTTTGACTAAATAATATTCCATTGTATGTATATATAAGAGTTTGTTTATTCCTTCATCCATAGATGGGCATTTAGGTTGTTTCCCCCTTTTGACTATTACAGATAATGCTACTAAAAAAAATACTCATCTACAAGTTTCTTTGTGGACATAAAGTTTTCATTTCTTTTGGATGTATGCCCAGGAGTGGAATTGCTGAGTCATATGGTAATTTTGTGTTTAACTTTTTGAGGAGCTGCAAACTGTTTTCCACAGTGGTTGCACCATTTTATGTCCCAACCAGCAATGTGTGAGGGCGCCTTTTTTCTCACATCCTTGCTGGCCCCTCAGTGAACCACCAGAGAGATCTAAACATACAGCCTCAATTTTTGGAAGACGTCTCTATTGCCTACCCTGACACAAGCAAGCCACACCAGAAAAACAAGCCATCATCCCCATGGCTACCTGCCATGACATTGGGGAATAGAGGATGCTAGCCACTACACAAAATGCCAGCTTCTTCCTTTATTAAGCATTCCCCTGGATGCTGCAAGCATTTCACCAGGCTCCAGAGTTCCAAAATAGTTGCTTCAGGCTGGGCACAGTGGCTCATGCCTGTAATCCCAGCACTTTGGGAGGCCATGGTGGGTGGATAATTTGAGGTCAGGAGTTCAAGGCCAGCCTGGCCAACATGGTGAAACTCCGCCTCTGCCTCTGCTAAAAATACAAAAATTAGCCAGGTGTGGTGGTGCGCACCTGTAATCCCAGCTACTTGGGAGGCTGAGGCGTGAGAATCACTTGAACCCAGGAGGCAGAAGTTGCAGTGAGCCGAGATCGTGCCACTGCACTCCAGCCTGGGTGACAGAGTGAATGAGACTATGTCTCAAAAGAAAAAAAAAGTTGCCTCAGGCAGTTCTTGCTGGCTCAACAGTTGTTTCATTAGAGTGACTGATTTCTGGAGCTACCATTTTCTATGATATCACTCCTTAATCTTTTTTTGTTGTTGTTTTTTAAGCCACAAGAACCGTTATTAAACAAAATCTTACATGGAAGCCCATTAAACAGCAGAACAGGTAATAGCATCGTGACTCAGGTTCAAGCTTGAAGAGTGGAGTACACCCGCTTAGGCTTTTTTGGCACCATCCCCCCACCTCAATCAAACCACTCTAAAGCAGTGGTTCCCAAACTTTTTTATCTCTTTCACCCCTTTCACTGATAATTTCAAGTGGAAAAAGAACTGGATGATAACAAAGACTGGTGAAAACAAAATAGGTTAACAATATACAGGTACTCATTTTTAACATTGTGTGTGACTTACCTATTAGTTACTTCTGTAAGAGCATAAGCCTAAACATGTGTCTACATGATAAAATAATGTCCTGTAGCTTAAACATAATTTTGTATCTTATTATGCTTACCTTGCTATAATATGTTGTAAGTTATTTGAGTAGCATGAATCATGACCACCACCAGTGAGATGTCACTGAATGGAGGAATTATATTCACATCTGCTTTCACCATTGGGGGGTGAATACTTCATATTTGAATCATAATGCATTATGTCTTGAAAATACTAAGCCAAAACTTCTGTTGATGTAACTATGTATTCTGGATACTCAGGAGGCATCATATCACCTCCCATAGCAAACCACATTGATAATGATGACATGTAACAAGTAGTAACTTGTAATTAAAAGACAAGAATCTCAGTAGCCTGAAAAACAAAGCCTATTCAAGACTTTATTGATTTACTAGTAAGTAATCATCCTTTTTCCAAATTGCAAGAATTCCAAAGCTCCTTTAAGAGTTTTGTAATATTACTAAGCATTATGCAGCAGCCAGACGTTTTAGTAAAATACTTAAATTAATTCAAGATCTCAGTAAATACACATAACTCTTACATTTTGTTTTAAGGATAGCAGTTAGTAGTCATAATTAACTGCTTTCATGTAGTAGTCCTCAGTCATATGTGAAATAACTTGCTGTCATTTGAAGGAACCAAAAAAAAGGAGTGCAGTTTAAATTTGTTTTTGTTTTGTTTTGTTTTGTTTTTGAGACAGAGTCTCGCTCTGTTGCCCAAGCTGGAGTGCAGTGGCACGATATCAGTTCACTGCAGCCTCTGCCTCCTGGGTTCAAGCAATTCTCTGCCTCAGCCTTCCGAGTAGCTGGGATTACAGGCACCCGCCACCACTCCTGGCTAATTTTTGTATTTTTAGTAGAGGCAGGGTTTCACTATCTTGGCCAGGCTGATCTTGAACTCCTGACCTCGTGATCCACCCACTTCAGCCTCTCAAAGTGCTGGGATTACAGACGTGAGCCACCGCACCTGGCCGGTTTAAGGTTATTTTGAGGCCAGGTGCGGTGGATTATGCCTGTAATCCCAACATTTTGGGAAGCCAAGGCGGGCAGATTACTAAAGGCCAAGAGTTTGAGACCAGCCTGGCCAACATGGCAAAATGCTATCTCTACTAAAAATACAAAAAAAATTAGCCAGGTATGTTGGCGCATCCTGTAGTTCCAGCTACTCAGGAGGCTGAGGCACGAGAGTCACTTCAACGTGCAGGCACAGGTTGCAGTGAGCTGAGGTCACACCACTGCACTTCAGCCTGGGCAACAGAGTAAGACTGTCTCAAAAAATAAAAGATCATTTGAGGTCTTAAAGAGCCCCTCTTTGACTCGCTCTGAGAATCACTGCCCTGCGGAATGACTCAGGAAATTCTCTTATCTAGTTATAACCATTGTTTTAAGCCATGAAGTTGGGGAAGTTAACTGGCCCAATAGGGTCTTCAGTAGCTCACACCCTAGCCACTGTTACAGTATAAAATTGACCTTCCTGTTCTAGCTCCCTTTCTAGTCAATCATCTAAAGGAATGGTTGGGTCACTTTACCTTTCAGCCCTCAAACAATTAGCTAATTAGTTTCAAAGATTGCATCCATCTCTAAATTCAGTAATTTTCCTAATCTTGGGGCTACATTGCTACCACAAAAGCCTGGTGAATAGATATTATCTTCCAGGCATTAAGAATACCAGGTTGGCTGAGTACAGTGGCTCATGTCTGTAACCCCAGCACTTTGGGAGGCTGAGGTGGGTGAATCTCTTGAACTCAGGAGTTCAAGACCAGCCTAGGCAACATGGGGAGACCCTGTCTCTACAAAAAATACAAAATAATTAGCTAGGCTTGGTGGCATGTGCCTGTAGTCTCAGCTACTCGGGATGCTGAGGAGAGAAGATCACTTGAGCCGAGGAGGTTGAGGCAGCAGTGAGCCGTGACTGTGACACTGGACTTCAGCCTGGGTGACAGAGCCAGACCCTGTCTCAAAAAAAAAAAAAAAAAAAGAATATCAAGTTGTTGGCTCCTCGGAGGATCTGTGGAGAGTGTTGGTCTTTATTAATCACAATGAGGATCCTTCTGGATGATATTACCACTTATGATTTCACATAAGAATGAAAATCAATCCTATGATGTCTTCCAGTTTTATTGTCACCACCAATTTCCATAAGACAGAACCATCCCTAGTGTTGGAGGGTGGCTGCTCAGTCATATACTTTAGGCTCCCTCCCAGCTTTTCCTCTGTAGGATGTCTAATGACTCAGACTCAGCCATCCTGTGTTAAAGATGAAAGAAGATGTTGGCTTTATCCAAAAAGGGCTATAATTATGTTCTGGAGCAACCTCCCGGAAGTGAAAATAGTCCTCTCATCCTATGCGCAGAGTCCCTCTGCTCCTATGGAGACAGGTGTTTTTTGTTTTGTTTTTTATCCTGTCTGAGAAACTGGGGATCAGAAAAAAGGCTGTCAGTACCCTATTGGAGATTCTTTCTGATCTTCTTTATTCCGACCCCAGTGTGGGCCTAGTTGGATCTCTCCTTCGGTTGCATTTATCTTCTACTTCCCAAATTAAGGAATTTGATATTTCCCATTGTGTTCAGTGTACAGCATAGATGGGAGGAGCATGGGAAACTCCTTTTTAAAAGATAACCATTATCCCCCTTGGTGGGGCATTATAGCACGCCTCCAGCATACTATGTAAAATGGTCTCATCATAAAACACTAGTTGACTCAAGCAAGTCAGCACTATCACTTTTTCCTTCCTAAGACTTACTGTGATTCCCAGATGGAAGGCTGGGCCAACTCAAAGGCTACAATCTCTCATTTCAGTCCCAGCTACTCGGGAGGCTGAGGCAGGAGAATTGCTTGGACCGGGGAGGCCGAGGTTGCAGTGAGCCGAGATCATGCCATTGCACTCCAGCCTGGGTGACAGAGCAAGACTGTCTCAAAAAAAAAAAGAAAAGAAAAGAAATGGGGGGAATGTGTTTGGACCCTTACTGTAAATTTTAATTTTTTTTCTTTTAAACAATTGCATACTTACAAGGTCATATTCCTTCAACATCGAAGACACAAGCTTGACTAACACAATACAGAGGAGGCAGGTAACTGTAAATTGGGCATGTCAGATGAAGACTGGAGTCTATCAGTGAATCTCAATCACAAGGCATATTCAACCACCATACTTTATGAGAATTATCAGGACACCATTTATGTAATATAGATTTTCTTACTATGGATTAATTGGAAGATTTTCCATGAAGCCCTTTTAGGGGGCATATTAAAGAGGAATTGGCTAATTAAATGTTTCCTTGTGTTTTAAGAGCTTCCTTGCTGGAAAGGGGTCAGTGATGAAAACATGCTTGATTGCTAACAGGATATATGGTACTTATTTGTTTTGTTTTGTTTTTCCATCATTCTCTAAATGTTTTCTTCTCTTTTGAGGTGCCCACGGTCTGCAGATGATGAGCGAAAGCATCCTGTCCTCTGCCTTTTCTGTGGGGCTATACTATGTTCTCAGAACATTTGCTGCCAGGAAATTGTGAACGGGGAAGAGGTTGGAGCTTGCATTTTTCACGCACTTCACTGTGGAGCCGGAGTCTGCATTTTCCTAAAGTGAGTAGTGAGTGTTCTGGAAGCTTCATGATGAACTTAAGGAATCTGGATCCAATCTGGGGGTCACTATGGTGGGACAGTGTGTTGATAGCAAATAATCAATCAGAAGTTAGAGTATTAACCTGTTATTGACATGAAATTGCATTTGAGAAGATACTGTGAAAAAAGAATAAGTTTCTGTTCACATTTCCATTATTTATGGAAAATCTTAAATAGGATAGAGTTTGTATTAATTGCTCTGGTATTATATAATACTCAGGTGTAATGAAAGAACTTCAAGTCCTAAAACTTGTATTTAAAAAGTACTCTTCCTGGAAGATGAGCTCTTTAAAATAAATAAAAATAAACAAATAAAAGGTACATGTAGGCCAGGCACAGTGACTTATGCCTATAATCCCAGCACTTTGGGAGGCTGAGGCAAGAGGATCACTTGAGGTCAGGAGTTCAAGATCAGCCTGGGCAGCAAGGCGAGACCCCCATCTCTATAAAAAATTAGCCAGGCATGGTAGCACATGGCTGCAGTCCCAGCTACTTGAGAGGCTGAGGTGGATGGGCTGCTTGAGCCTGGGAGTTCAAGGCCATGATCGTGCCATTGCATTCTAGCCTGGGCAACAGAGTGAGATCCTCTATCAAAAAAAAAAGTACATGTAAATTTTTACTTTAGATTGTCCTGTGATATCTTTATTTCATCTATCAACCCACCATTTCTCCTGGTCTTTCAGCAAAAGATTGAGGATAGAAAAATAGTCACTTATGGCCGGGCGCGGTGGCTCTCGCCTTTAATCCCAACACTTTGGGAGGCCCGAGGCAGGTAGATCACAAGGTCAGGAGTTCAAGACCAGCCTGGCCAACGTGGTGAAACCCCATCTCTGCTAAGAAGACAAACATTAGCTGGGCGTGGTGGCGCATGCCTGTAATCCAAGCTACTCAGAAGGTTGAGGCAGGAGAATTCGCTTGAACCTGGGAGGTGGAGGTTGCAGTAGGCCGAGATTACACCACTGCACTCCAGCCTGGTTGACAGAGCAAGACTCTATCTGGGAAAAAAAAGAAAAATAGTCACTTATATTTATGAAAAAAGAGTTTAAGTTGCCTGCAGAGAAATAAAATTCAAAGTGGATATATATCCTTTTTCTTTCCACTCTCCTCATGTAACACAGTTTCTGTTACATAAAGCCAAATGTCTTTCTAACTGTGAAATATGTAATCATTGTTCATAGGCATCTTTTGAACCAAGGGGAAAGAATGTATGGAAGCCAAACCCAAACACCTATTTTTAGGGAACCCACAGCAAGTAAACCCACTACCTTATCCCAGCTGTTTATTTTATAATTTATCTGTAAAGTACTTATCCCCCATATATGTGTACGCAAGCCTTTTTTATGTCTATTTCCCAAGAGACATAAAAGTCCCAGGTGCCTTCAGGGTGGTAGTGGCTCTTTTAATCTGCAGTGTTTCAGGCCAGCTCTAACCAGAAAAGCTGGCATACTTCCCTAGTTGATATTCTGTCTGGCTTGAGGTTATCAGACTAGGAGATGTGATTCTGTTCTTCTGTGAGGTTCCCTCCCCTCTCCAGGTTGTGTCAGGAATTAGAATAGAAACAACCCCAGCCACCATTTTCCAAGGTGTCTGTGGCTGAAGTAGGACAGTTTCCTCCCTTCAACAGATTCCGTCAGTATAAATGATCTCATTTCACCAAATCCACTGCTCCTTTTCTATAGCTTCAACAGAAATAGCAATAAGTGTTCTCTTTTATTTAGACAAAACATAATTTAGTCTATTTGTCTGTTTATATTGTCTTTTTACTGAATATCTAACAGATATTGGCCACGTCTTTTCTCTAGGTTAACATTGATGCAGTGCCTATCATTTGCACACATACACTTAACCATATTTCCTATTGATTTTCTCTTTCAGAATCAGAGAATGCCGAGTGGTCCTGGTTGAAGGTAAAGCCAGAGGCTGTGCCTATCCAGCTCCTTACTTGGATGAATATGGAGAAACAGACCCTGGCCTGAAGTAAGATTTTTTTTATATAATAGGAAGGTTTCAGTAAGTTCTCTTTTATGTTGATTGTTTTCTATTTCAGTCACATTATTGTATGTAAACGGTAATAGTTCTTTAATCACAAAAGGTAATTGAGGCCAGACACCGTGGCTTATACCTGTATTCCTAGCACTTTGGGAGGCCGAAGCAGGCAGATCATTTGCGGCCAGGAGTTTGAGACCAGCCTGGCCAACATGGTGAAAACCCGTCGCTACTAAAAATACAAAAATTAGCTGGGCATGGTGGTGCATGCCTGTAATCGCAGCTACTTGGGAGGCTGAGGTAGGAGAATCACTTGAACCCAGGAGGTTGCAGTGAGCCAAGATCGCCCACTGCACTCCAGCCTGGGCAACAGAGGGAGATTCTGTCTAAAAAAAAAAAAAAGTAATTGAGAGCTACTTTTTATTTTTATTATTTATTTATTTATTTATTTTGGGAGACAGAGTCTCCCTGTTTCACCCAGGCTACAGTGCAGTGGCGCTATCTCAGCTCACTGCAACCTCTGCCTCCTGGGTTCAAGTGAATCTCCCACCTCAGCCTCCCGAGTAGCTGGGACTACAGGCATGTGCCACTATGCCCAGCTAATTTTTGTATTTTTAGTAGAGACAGGGTTTCACCATCTTGGCCAGGCTGGTCTGGAATTCCTGACCTCAAGTGATCTACCCACCTCAGCCTCCCAAAGTGCTGGGATTACAGGCATGAGCCACCATGCCCGGCTGAGAGCTATCTTTTAAATGGCTTCAAATTTAAAAAATATGATGTCATTCTTTAGCACATAATTTTTTTTTTATTTTATTTTATTATTATTATACTTTAAGTTTTAGGATACATGTGCACAATGTGCAGGTTAGTTACATATGTATACATGTGCCATGTTGGTGTGCTGCACCCATTAACTCATCATTTAGCATTAGGTATATCTCCAAATGCTATCCCTCCCCCCTCCCCCCACCCCACAACAGTCCCCAGAGTGTGATGTTCCCCTTGCTATGTCCATGTGTTCTCATTGTTCAATTCCCACCTATGAGTGAGAACATATGGTGTTTGGTTTTTTGTCCTTGCAATAGTTTACTGAGAATGATGATTTCCAATTTCATCCATGTCCCTACAAAGGACATGAACTCATCCTTTTTTATGGCTGCATAGTATTCCATGGTGTATATGTGCCACATTTTCTTAATCCAGTCTATCGTTGTTGGACATTTGGGTTGGTTCCAAGTCTTTGCTATTGTGAATAGTCCCGCAATAAACATACGTGTGCATGTGTCTTTATAGCAGCATGATTTATAGTCCTTTGGTTATATACCCAGTAATGGGATGGCTGGGTCAAATGGTATTTCTAGTTCTAGATCCTTGAGGAATCGCCACACTGACTTCCACAATGGTTGAACTAGTTTACAGTCCCACCAACAGTGTAAAAGTGTTCCTATTTCTCCACATCCTCTCCAGCACCTGTTTCCTGACTTTTTAATGATTGCCATTCTAACTAGTGTGAGGTGGTATCTCATTGTGGTTTTGATTTGCATTTCTCTGATGGCCAGTGATGGTGAGTATTTTTTCATGTGTTTTTTGGCTGCATAAATGTCTTCTTTTGAGAAGTGTCTGTTCATGTCCTTTGCCCACTTTTTGATGGGGTTGTTTGTTTGTTTCTTGTAAATTTGTTTGAGTTCATTGTGGATTCTGGATATTAGCTCTTTGTCAGATGAGTAGGTTGCGAAAATTTTCTCCCATTTTGTAGGTTGCCTGTTCACTCTGATGGTAGTTTCTTTTGATGTGCAGAAGCTCTTTAGTTTAATTAGATCCTATTTGTCAATTTTGGCTTTTGTTGCCATTACTTTTGGGGTTTTAGACATGAAGTCCTTGCCCATGCCTATGTCCTGAATGGTAATGCCTAGGTTTTCTTCTAGGGTTTTTATGGTTTTAGGTCTAACGTTTAAGTCTTTAATCCATCTTGAATTAATTTTTGTATAAGGTGTAAGGAAGGGGTCCAGTTTCAGCTTTCTACATATGGCTAGCCAGTTTTCCCAGCACCATTTATTAAATAGGGAATCCTTTCCCCATTGCTTGTTTTTCTCAGGTTTGTCAAAGATCAGATGTAGATATGCAGCATTATTTCTGAGGGCTCTGTTCTGTTCCATTGATCTATATCTCTGTTTTGGTACCAGTACCATGCTGTTTTGGTTACTGTAGCCTTGTAGTATGGTTTGAAGTCAGGTAGCGTGATGCCTCCAGCTTTGTTCTTTTGGCTTAGGATTGACTTGGCAATGCAGGCTCTTTTTTGGTTCCATATGAACTTTAAAGTAGTTTTTTCCAATTCTGTGAAGAAAGTCATTGGTAGCTTGATGGGGATGGCATTGAATCTATAAATTACCTTGGGCAGTATGGCCATTTTCACGATACTGATTCTTCCTACCCATGAGCGTGGAATGTTCTTCCATTTGTTTGTATCCTCTTTTATTTCATTGAGCAGTGGTTTGTAGTTCTCCTTGAAGAGGTCCTAAACGTCCCTTGTAAGTTGGATTCCTAAGTATTTTATTCTCTTTGAAGCAATTGTGAATGGAAGTTCACTCATGATTTGGCTCTCTGTTTGTCTGTTATTGGTGTATAAGAATGCTGGTGATTTTTGTACATTGATTTTGTATCCTGAGACTTTGCTGAAGTTGCTTATCAGCTTAAGGAGATTTTGGGCTGAGACAATGGGGTTTTCTAGATATACAATCATGTCATCTGCAAACAGGGACAATTTGACTTCCTCTTTTCCTAATTGAATACCCTTTATTTCCTTCTCCTGCCTAATTGCCCTGGCCAGAACTTCCAACACTATGTTGAATAGGAGTGGTGAGAGAGGGCATCCCTGTCTTGTAGCACATAATTTTCAACAACTTCTCCAAAATTTGAAGGTAGTGTTTCCCCAAAATTTTTAAAGACACCAGCCATCTTAATGTTTCAGTGTTCTATTGTTTGTAATCAACCTTTCTTCAGAACTACTTAAAAGGATTGACACTGATAGTATAAGTTTGTAGTGTCCAGTGATGAAGTTTGTTTTAGAGATATTGTTTCCATTGCAATACTTGAAACTTTTTTTTTCTTTGTTTTTTGAGACAGTCTCTCACTCTGTCACCCAGGCTGGATCTCGGCTCACTGCAACGTCTACCTCCAGGGTTCAAGCGATTCTCCTGCCTCAGCCTCCCAAGTAGCTGGGACTACAGACATGCACCACCACACCCGGCTAATTTTTTTTGTATTTTTAGTAGTGACGGGGTTTTACTGTGTTGGCCAGACTGGTCTCGAACTCCTGACCTCAGTTGATCTGCCCACCTTGGACTCCCAAAGTGCTGGGATTACAGGCATGAGCCACTGCACCCAACTGAGACTTTTTATTAGCCAGCTATATCAGCCTTCTTTCCTTCTGAGCATTAACAAAATATTTAGAATCCTGAACTTTTCTGTATCCTTCCCTGGTGGTAGGAACTGGGGTCCTACTGATGACTTATGAAAATGAGGAGACTGACAGTGATCTCAAAAGTACATATAGATAAAGATTAGACCTCCTTACAATAAACTCTTTTTGGTTCACTGAAATTTTGTTCCTTTGAAATATTGCTCAGAAAGAATACACTTATTAGATGGGGCTTGGGACCTTGGATCACACAGAGCTTTCTTTTTATTGGGATGACATTTGACCTGTCTTTAGGTTTAGGGAGAAAAGCAGAGTGGTGAAAGTAGTTAATGACTGAGAATCTTAGTTGTTCCACAAGGGTACAAAGCAGAGTTTTAACATTAATTTGGCAGTTTAAAAATCCCCAACCAGGCGGCCGCGGTGGTTCACGCCTGTAATCCCAGCACTTTGGGAGGCCGAGGCGGGCGGATCACGAGGTCAGGAGTTCGAGACTAGCCTGGCCAACATTGTGAAACCCCGTCTCTACTAAAAATACAAAAACAATTAGCCAGGTATCGTGGCGGGCACCTGTAATCCCAGCTACTCTGGAGGCTGAGGCAGGAGAATTGCTTGAAACTGGAAGGCAGAGGTTGCCCTGAGCCGTGATCGTACCACGGCACTCCAGCCTGGGCAAAAAGAGCGAAACTCCATCTCCAAAAAACAAAAACAAAAACAAAAAAAATCCCCAACCAGCTGAGAGACTTGAATGTCTCAAGGAATTAGGATCTCACAGTTCTCCGTTACTGGCAACAGCCAGACTTAAGTCATTTTGGATTAGCTGTTATACAGTGTTAAAAACTGTGCAACTCTAGAATTGAAGTATAATTATTTTATTAAATTATTTGCTAATAACCAGCCAGTTTTTTGTATCGTAAGGACAGTTACAACCAAATATCTCTGAGTAGCAAAATATAATTTTAGGGCCTAGTGTTATACGTCAGGCCTAACCTCTACTGTGCAAAGATCATAAATTGAAGCTAGATAACAATATGAAGCCAAAAAGCTATTCAAGCTAACCACCAAAAAAGAA
Source organism: Homo sapiens (assembly GCF_000001405.40). Lineage (NCBI taxonomy): Eukaryota > Metazoa > Chordata > Mammalia > Primates > Hominidae > Homo > Homo sapiens. The sequence goes on along the minus strand of NC_000015.10, from coordinate 42,945,765 downwards.
TAGTGCTGCTTCAAGTTATAAACCTCAGTGACCATTTAAGTGAGGTCCCATAATGCCATAATATACCTGACCTATTTTATGAATGGTCAAGGAGTACATTTCTGCTTTATTAGCTAAGTAGCCTGTCAAGTTCTTAGTGATCAATGGTGAAGGGAAAATATCCCTTTTTAAGCCCTGTGCTGGTGAGTCCTCCCGGCTCCAGGAACATCTCAAGAGTGCATACTAATTTAGACAATAAAGATGTGGCAGTTACTAGATTCAAACTTACATGTTGTTTTTTCTTTTTTCCCTAAAGGAGGGGCAACCCCCTTCATTTATCTCGTGAGCGGTATCGGAAGCTCCATTTGGTCTGGCAACAACACTGCATTATAGAAGAGATTGCTAGGAGCCAAGAGACTAATCAGATGTTATTTGGATTCAACTGGCAGTTACTGTGAGCTCCAACTCTGCCTCAAGACAATCACAAATGACGACAGTAGTAAAGGCTGATTCAAAATTATGGAAAACTTTCTGAGGGCTGGGAAAGTATTGGAGGGTCTTTTGCTCCATGTCCAGGTTCACTTACATCAATAAAATATTTCTTAATGGAGTATTGCTTTCAATTAGCAAACATATGCTTCACAGGAAAAAAGGACATAGATCAATCTGTTTTATGTGCTAGTATTTCCAGGAATTTATTCCCCTTCATAATTTGTCTCATTTCATTTTATTTCATCCACTTGGTAGATGAAGTCACGTCAAACAGTTGTAGACATTTTATATGTTGGTTAACTCTTCTGCAATTTTGTATTTGGTGTTTTCCCCCCAAGTTTAGTTCAACTGACATTGGATCACTGACAAAATTCTAATAATCTGTGATAGTCTTCCTTGCAGTTAAAGAAGAATTGCAGAAACCATGCAATATACTTGGGAAAGATTCCAAAAATAAATTTTTTATTATTTCTCTTTTAAGGAAATACCCCTAATGTGCCACCTGCTGCTATCACCACAAATTAAACTCAATCTCTATGTGGACAGAGGATGATTTCTGCCAATATGGAAAAGCTTTTTTCTCACTGTAGGCCTCAAGAAAAGTTAGGGTAATGTATTTGTTATTCATTCCTGACGGTACAAAGAGCTTGCAGTTCTCACCTCTGACTACCAGTAGCTTTGTTGAGTTTTGAAATAATACTTGACATTTTCCAAAGGCAAATCTCATTCTGCAAGGAGATTGTGGCACCATCCTGTTTGACTCTCAGAAACCTCTTGTAATTCTGATGTAAAAACTGTAGAATGAAGATGAGAAAATTCTCGCAATGAGTGGATCATGACAACTGTAAATTAGAACAATCAGATTTAAACCAATTCCGCAGTCTTCTATATCTTTGTAAAAGACAAATCCTTGATGTTGTCTGTGTGCAACCTTTTCATAAACTCTGGTTTTATGACTAGTACAAACCACCAAAAAAGCCATGTGATCAATAGTCTGTGTCCTGTTATAACATGCTGTGGTTGAGCCATCTTGTTTATAAATAATAGAGCTCTCCTGAATTTGTGCATAGACTTCTTGGTTCCTGGCTTTTGTTTTTTGTATCAAGAGATTGTGATATAAAACAGCAGAAGATAAATGGAAACCTTCCATTTTAACTTACGTTGTTTCTGGGGTAATGTTAGAACCTTGAAAGATGCATTCAAAGACTGTATCTTATTTTGCCCTTGGCTATTAGTGTCTCACATATGTGTGTAAATGTTTTCCTACCTTCTTTTTGCTCAGCAAAGGCAAGCAAGTAAAATATATTTGCTAAGTGATTAGTGATGCACATTTGGGGCTAGATTTTTTTGGTACTTTTATGTAAAGAAAAGTGGATTTTGCAGTAAGGGATTGGCATGAGCAGGCGTCAGAATCACAATCATGATTTTCTACTTGAATAATTACAATTCAGAAGGTATCTGGATAAATAGATACATGTCTAGTGAACAATTTGTAACAATAACAGGTAAGGATCAGGAAATTCAGTATTCAGTTTGTCAGATTTGCCAGAATGATGAAAGTATTTGAACATGTGTGTTTGTTTCTTATATAATTGTATTGAGTGGATTGTTTGACTGGGAAATCTGGGCTAGAATAGGAAACAGAAGATACTGACTTCTACCCTAATAGATGGGCCCCAATTTAGCAAAGATAAACTGACTTTATTTTTAGTCCTTTTTATATTAACTTAATAAATTCTGGAGTTAGGCTCTCAAGAGGACAGAGGGACTGTCTGGCAATGGCCAGCCAGACCTTTACTGCCAAAGAACCCATTTCATATTGCGTTCCACTGATTGAGATTGATTCAGATTTTTGCACTGTAGATGAGCGTATGTCTCAGTGCTGCCCCAAGCCCCAGGGATTTCTCATTATGTTCAAATGTCCTAGTGATTTACCTTAATCATTGCAAACAATTATGCTTATGAAGTTTACTTACAAACAAGCAACTGAGTCACTTTATTTTCTTTAGTGTAGTATGTGAAGGCACTGGTTCAACAGGATGGCTCCAGAACTGTGTTTTTCTAATGTTTGGTAAGGGGCTAGTGAGAATTTTAATGATATGGTGAAGAAAAATATATCTGTATAATTAATTTATTATATTGGTGTATGGGCTGTGAGTTCACCTTTTAGTGGTCATTTGTCATTTCATAACAACTATGCATTTTGGTTCACTGTGATGATGATCTATATTTAGTGACTGCAACATGTTTATACCACTGATTCAAATTCCATCCATGATGAAGTTATACAAATAATGCATATATTGATAACTTTTATTGCAAAAATGTAAATTTAAAACTTGTATAATGTTCTTGTGCTTTTTAAAATAAAATATATGTGTATATTTAAAAAGAAAAATAGGGACTTCTCATGTTTGGGGATTTGGGTTTGAAGTATAAAAATCTGCTAGGAAGACTCTCCAGTTGAAACCTTTGTCAGCCGAGGCAAATGTTTTAAAAGACATAGGTGTTTAGTATACATGGGTCTCCAAACTTTTTAGCCATATACTCCATCAATAAATAGTTTTTAGCATGCATACCAAATAGAATATAAACACATAACACATATTTTATATTCTATATGCAGTGCTTTACTAATACATCATGCAAATTATAAAACATAGCTTTAAAAGGAGATTTAAAAATCAGTTAAAAATAGAAATAGATATTTAAATATCTTCCAATCCAATCTGCATCCTTTTGGGTATGCACGCTCTAATATGGAGACAGCTGTCTAGAGCAGCAGTATCCAGAAGAGTTTTGCAATAATAGGAATGTTCTGGCCGGGCGCAGTGGCTCAAGCCTGTAATCGCATGACTTTGGGAGGCCAAAGTGGGGGGATCACGAGGTCAGGAGATCAAGACCATCCTGGCTAACACGGTGAAACCCCGTGTCTACTAAAAATACAAAAAATTAGCCAGGCTTGGTGGCGGGCATCTGTAGTCCCAGCTACTCAGGTGGCTGAGGCAGGAGAATGGCGTGAACCCAGGAGGCGGAGCTTGCAGTGAGCCGAGATCACACCATTGTACTCCAGCCTGGGTGAGAGAGTGAGACTCTGTCTCAAAGAAAAAAAAAATGTTCTGTGTGTATTTACCATATGGAATGGCAGTCACTATTCTCATGTGGCTGTTGAACACTTGTGATGTGGCTAGTGCAACTGAGGGCCTGAATTTTTAATTTTTAGTTAATTTAAATGTAGTCATGTGTGGCTGGTGGCTACCATATTGGGCAGTATACATCTAGTGTGATGGTTCTCAAACTTAACTGTGCATTACAGTCACCTAGAGAGTATTAACAAAATACAAATGCCCAGTTCTCACCCTCGATCTGGAATCAATCTTGTGGGATTGAGCCTTAAAATAAGCAGGGTGGTTTTCTTCCATTTCTGAGCCATGACTCTTCATAAAATGAAGAGTTTGCTTTCTTTTTAGCTTGGTGATTTTCAGACTAAGTGCCAAAGATTCTGGGAGAAACGTAGGCCCGAGAGGGGAAAGAGTGCCAAAGCTGGATAGTTGTGATTTTTCATTTTGAGTTTCTGTGTAAGCTTTCATTTGAGAAAAGGGTACCTGGAATTTTTAAAAGGTTAGATGCAATTGCTTTAGTTTTAAGCTTTAAAATATTCTATGAGGGGGCCAGGCACGGTGACTCATGCCTATAATTCCAGCACTTTGGGAGGCTGAGGCGGGCGGATCACGAGGTCAAGAGATCAAGACCATCCTGGCCAACATGGTGAAACCCTGTCTGTACCAAAAATACAAAAATTAGCTGGGCATGGTGGTGCGCACCTGTAGTCCCAGCTACTCAGGAGGCTGAGGTGGGAGAGTCACTTGAATGTGGGAGGTGGAGATTGCAGTGAGCTGAGATTGTGCCACTGCACTCCAGCCTGGCAACAGAGTGAGACTCCATCTCAAAAAAAAAAAAAAAAAAAAAAAAAAAAAAAAAAAAAATTCTGTGAGGGGCAACACTGAAGGCAAAGAACGGTTTTTGTCTGTTTTTTGTTTTGAGTCGGAGTCTCGCTCTGTCACCCAGATCAGTCAAGCGAAATTTGGGGAAAAAATAGAAATGAAGACTAAGAAGGAAGACAAAAATGAAAAGTTACCAATGGAATGCACAGTAAGGAAAAGCTGGAAAGACCTGGGCATTGTGGCGCACCTGTAGTCCCAGCTACTTGGGAAGCGGAGGTGGCAAGATCCCTTGAGAAGGAGGTCAAGGTTGCAGTGAGCTGACATCACACCACTGCCCTCCAGCCTGTGTGACAGAGTGACACCCTGACAAAAAAAAAAAAAAAAAAAAAAAAAGCAGGGGGCAGGGAAGGAGAAAAAAAGGATTTAGGATAAAGAAGATTTGATATATATTCATTGGAGTCCCTGAAGAAAGAAAAAGCAATGGAACAGAACACAAATGGAAAACTATAATTAGGTTAAAATTTCTTGGGGGAAAAAAAAAACTTGAACACATTTTGAAAGAGAACATTGTAAAAACCCAGAAGAGTCAACACCAAAGGATTTTCACATCCAGACAAACTATCCAAGCATAAAGTCCACACAGATAGTTCAGAGCATGCTAATACTCAGGGAATATTTTTTCCCATGAGCCTTTCCTAAGAAATTTACCAGTGAGCAAGCTTCAGACAATCGTAAATGATTATAGAAGCCTTGGCATAAGGTCTGGGGGTGAGTGTTGCATATGTTTAATTGTACAGATGGAGGGATGAGAGACAAAATTGGATGCTCTAATGATGTAGAATTATTACAACTAACAAAAAATAGGAGAAAAAGGGCAAGTGGGTGGAAAGTTAAACAAGCTCACTAATTACATCAGTGGTTTTCGCCAGAATTAAAAAGGTATCAGGCAGAAACCCGCATCCAGGAACAAAGCCCTTTGCTCCTCCCTCAGAATGAATGGAGACCAGAGATCAGATGTTTATGTCCAAGAAAAGCAGGATTTCGTTCAGTACTTCTCCCAGATCATTGGGGATGAGATGAGGCACCCATAGACAGGAGATGCTATCACCCAGCTGAAGGAGATCCTGTAGTACAATGCCATTGGAGGCAAGTATCACCGGGGTTTGACAGTGCTAGTAGCGTTCTGGGAGCTGGTGGAGCCAAGGAAACATGATGCTGAGAGTCTCCAGCGGGCCCTGACTGTGGGCTGGTGTGTGGAACTGCTGCAAGCTTTGTTCCTGGTGGCAAATGACATCACGGATTCATTGCTCACCGCTGGTAACAGATCTGCTGGTTTCAGAAGCCGGGCGTGGGTTTGGATGCCATCAGTGATGCTATCCTTGTGGAAGCATGTATCTACTGCCTGCTGAAGCTCTATTGCTGGGAGCAGCCCTATTGCCAGAACCTGATCCAGCTCTTCCGGCAGAGTTTCTATCAGACTGAGATTGGGCAGACCCTGGACCTCATCACAGCCCCCCAGGGCAATGCGGATCTTGGCAGATTCACTGAAAAGAGGTACAAATCTACTGTCAAGTACAAGGCAGTTTCTACTTCTACATTCCTGTAGCTGCAGCCATGTACATGGCAGGCATTGATGGCGAGAAGGAGCACGACAATGCCAAGAAGATCCTGCTGGAGATGGGAGAGGGAGAGTTCTTCCAGATCAGGATGATTACCTTCACCTCTTTTGGGGACCCCAGTGTGACCAGCAAAGTTGGCACTGACATCCAGGACAATAAATGCAGCTGGCTGCTGGTTCAGTGTCTGCAACGGGCCACTCCGGAACACTACCAGATCCTGAAGGAGAATTACAGACAGAAGGAGGCCAAGAAGGTGGCCCAGGTGAAGGCAGTATATGAGGAGCTGGATCTGCCGGCCGTGTTCTTGCAATAATAGGAAGACAGTTACAGCCACATTATGGGTCTCATTGAACAGTACGCAGCTCCCCTGTCCCCAGCCATCTTTCTAGGGCTGACATGCAAAATCTACAAAAGTAAAATGTGACCAGAGACTGCAAGGGTGGGGAGAGGAGGCTCTCAATAAATTATTGTGTAAACTTAAAAAAAAATTAAAAATAAATAAAAAGGTATCACTTGAAGGTGACAAATCAAGAAATAAAAACAAGTGGCCGGGCGCGGTGGGTCACGTCTGTAATCCCAGCACTTTGGGAGGCTGAGGCGGGTGGATCACGAGGTCAGGAGATCGAGACCATCCTGGCTAACATGGTGAAACCCCGTCTCTACTAAAAATACAAAAAATTAGCCAGGCGTAGTGGCGGGCGCCTGTAGTCCCAGCTACTGGGGAGGCTGAGGCAGGAGAATGGTGTGAACCCGGGAGGCGGAGCTTGCAGTGAGCCGAGATCGCACCACTGCACTCCAGCCTGGGCGACAGAGCGAGACTCCGTCTCAAAAACAAAACAAAACAAAAACAAGTACACACATTGACACTAGGATAAAGCTAGTGGCTAAATGGTGAGAGAGAAGGAGCAGGGTAAGAAGCAATTTCAAAATTGGTCATGTATTAAGAAACCAACAGTATTTAAGGAAAGAGAATATTACATAAAGATGTAAGTATAAAATTTACTGCTAGAAGTACACCACCAAGGCCGGGCGCGGTGGCTCACGCCTGTAATCCCAGCACTTTGGGAGGCCAAGGCCTGCGGATCACGAGGTCAGGAGATCGAGACCATCCTGGCTAATATGTTGAAACCCCGTCTCTACTAAAAATACAAAAAATTAGCTGCGCGTGGTGGCTGGCGCTTGTAGTCCCGGCTACTCGGGAGGCTGAGGCAGGAGAATGGCGTGAACCCAGGAGGCGGAGCTTGCAGTGAGCCGAGATCGCACCACTGCAGTCCAGCCTGGGCGACAGAGCGAGACTCCGTCTCAAAAAAAAAAAAAAAAAAAAAAAAGTAGTACAACACCAAAGAGGAGGAAAAAGGCAAATAGACTACATAGTGAAACAATGTGGTTCCCACCCTGTGCCCTGAGCTGCAGCCAGGATAGGCTCTGGACACCTGAGACCCTGAGCTGGAATAAGCAGATAAATAATTATTTTACTTGTTTTTATCAATCTTTCTTAAATGTATGTATAGTTCACATTTATTTCAGTGTTTAATATTAGAAGTGTTTTCGTCTTTATTTAGAAGTTTGGGCCGGGCGCGGTGGCTCACGCCTGTAATCCCAGCACTTTGGGAGGCCGAGATGGGCGGATGACCTGAGGTCAGGAGTTTGAGACCGGCCTGACCAACATGGAGAAACTCCATCTCTACCAAAAATACAAATTAGCTGGGCGTGGTGGCGCATGCCTTAATCCCAGCTACTCAAGCGGCTGAGGCAGGAGAATCGCTTGAACCCGGGAGGCTGAGGTTGCAGTGAGCCGAGATTACGCCACTGCACTCCAGCCTCGGCAACAAGAGTGAAACTCTGTCTCAAAAAAAAAAAAGAAGTTTGGTGATGTTTTTGTGATGAGAAGTGTGCCATACGAACTTAACTCTTGTTTATAGTAATTAGCCTATGGTAAAACTGGCTTTGTTATACATCATTTTGCTTAAAGTCACAGTTCCCAAGGGTTAATGATGTTAAATGAAGACTCATGTACTGCTTCACACCTACCAGAATGGCTATAATCAAAAAGATGGGCAATAATGTGTTGGCAAGGATGTGGAGAAAGTGGAACCCTTATACATCACTGGTGAGGATATAAAATGGTACAGCTGCTTTAAAAAACAGATGGGCAGTTCCTGATAAGATCTGTTACCAGATGACTTAGCAATTCTTCTCCCAAATTAAAATTTCAAGAGAATTTGAAACATCTTCACACACACACACACAAAAAAAAACTTATACAAAAATGTGCATAGCAGCATTATTCATAATAGCCCAAAACTGGAAACTACCCAATTGTCCATCAACCAATGAATGGATAAATAATATACCTATCCATACAATGGAATATTATGCACCCATAAAAAGGAATGACATTCTGATGCATGCCATAGCATGGGTAAATCTTGTAAACATTATGCTCAGTGAAAGAAGCCAGTCACAAAAGACCATATATTGTATGATTCCATTTATATCCAATGTCCAGAATTAGACAAATCCATAGAGACAAACAGTAGATTAGTGGTTGTCAGGGGTTGGGAAGACAGGGGAGTAGGGGATGACTGCTAATGGGTATGGGGTTTCTTACTGGGTTGATGAAAATATTATGGATTAGATAGTGTTTCTGATTCAATGCATCCTGGAGCATGGCACCCACCTTCAAAGCTGACACTTCCACTGTACCTTCAGCAGGCCATTCCAACATTGTATTGGCTCAGCTGCTCCTGAGTGGTGCAGTATGCAGTACAACCAGGGTAGCCCATAGTCATGGGGCCCACTGCAGCACTTTCTTACTGTGAAATGGGTTCCCTGGTTACATGCTATGCTGAGTGGAATTCCATGTTGTAGAACAGGTACTCGACAAGCCCCCAGACACTGGTGCTGCCTGAAGCTCTGTGGGCAGGAAAGGCAAACCCATATGCTGAATATGTATCTGTTCATATGAGAATGAACCAGTGACTCTTCTAGGATAGAAACATCCTGGCCAGGCACAGTGGCTCATGTCTAATCCAAGCACTTTGGGAGGCCAAGACAGGAGGATTGCTTGAGCTCAGGAGTTTGAGACCACCCTGGGCAACATAGTGAGACCTTGTCTTTACTAAAAATAAAAAAATAATTAGCCAAGTATGGTGGTACACACCTGTAGTCCCAGCTATTCAGGAGGCTGAGGCAGGAGGATTGCTTGAGCCTGGGAGATTGAGGCTGCAATGAGCTATGATTGTGCCACTGCACCCCAGCCTGGGTGGCAGAAGGAGACTGTCTCAAAAAAAAAAAAAAAATGTAGTCAAGTTGCTGCAAGGTAGCTGGTTGATTTTGAAAAACAGTGCCACAGGCTGGGCGAGGTGGCTCACACCGGTAATCCCAGCACTTTGGGAGGCCAAGGTGGCCAGATCACCTGAGGTCAGGAGTTTGAGACCAGCCTGACCAACATGGCGAAACCCCGTCTCTACTAAAAATACAAAAATTAGCCAGGCATGGTGGCACGTGCCTGTAATCCTAGCTACTCGGGAGGCTGAGGCAGGAAAATCACTTGAACCCAGGAAGCAGAGGTTGCAGTAAGCCGAAATCGTGCCACTGCACTCCAGACTGGGCGAAAGAGTGAGACTCTGTCTCAAAAAAAAGAAAAACAAACAAAAATAGTGCCACATCCGTAGAGCATTGGTCTCTGTGGCTGACAGGTTGGATGTTCAAAGGTGGCAGTCTTGATGAGTGGAGGTCCATGCCACTAGGCCCATGCTTAACCCCCATCTGTCCATTTGTGTACCCATTGTGCCAGCTTCCAAAGGGTGCTAAAACATTAGTTTGAGCATTATTTTGACACTTGATTGTTTTGGTCCCTCTTCTGTAATGGATGCTTTCTGGTGGCTGTTAACATGTAACACAGAAATCTTCAGTGTGCACTATGTGCACTCACTTAGCCCATCCACGGTAACATACAGTATCTATTTGTGTTCAAGTTTTTCACCTTTGAGATTCATCCATGTTGTATGTTCCAGTAGGTCTTTCTTCTTATTGCTAGTTAGTATCTAGTTGTGTGAGTACATAATTTACCCACTCTCCTATTGATAGGCATCTGGGTTGTTTCTAAATTTGCCATTCGGAATAAAGCTGTTATGAGCTTTTTTTTTTTTTTTTTAAGACAGGGTCTCACTTTGTTGCCCAGGCTGAAGTACAGTGACGTTATCTCAACGTCCTGCAGCCTCAACCTCCTGGGCTCAAGGGATCCTCCCACCTCAGACCCCCAATTAGCTGGAACTGCAGGCGTGTGCCACCATGCCCAGCTAATTTTTTGTATTTTTTTGTACAGTCAGGGTTTTACCAGTTGCCCAGGCTGGTCTCGAACTCCTGAGCTCAAGCGATTCACCCGCCTCGGCCTCCCTAAGAGCCACCACGCCTGGCCAAAGTATGGACTACAGTGAGTTCCTTCTAAAGAATACAATATGAAACGGAGAAAAAAAAAAAAAAAAAAAACTTTACAGTGAAGAAACCTAACAAACATTACCTCAACCAGGTGAGCAAGGTAAATATCAGTAGTGATAGAATCACGCTGATGGTATGTAACCTTGACATGATATGATGAAATGGTACTTTATGTGGTTTTCCTCCCTAAAACCCTTAACTCCAGTCTAATAATAAGAAAAACATCACATTCCAATAGAGAGACAAGCTACAACATACTTAACAATATTCCTCAAAGCTGTCCAAGTCATAGCCAAGTCATAGATGTGAGGTGGTACCCTGGATGAGATCCCAGAACAGAAAAAGGACACTAGGTAAAAACTAAGGATATTTGGACAAACTATGGACTTTAGTTAATAATAATTACCCATTTTATTATTTTTATTTTATTTATTTATTTTTGAGACCAGGATCTCACTCTGTCGCCCAGGCTGGAGTGCAGTGGCACAATCTTAGCTCACTGCAACCTCCACCTCCTGGGTTCAAGTGATTCTCCTGCCTCAGCCTCCTAAGAAGCTGGGACTACAGGCACGCACCACCATGCCCAGCTAAGTTTTGTATTTTTTAGTAGAGACGGCGTTTCACTATGTTGCCCAGGCTGGTCTCGAACTCCTGACCTCAAGTGATCTGCCCACCTCAGCCTCCCAAAGTGCTAGGATTACATGCGTGAGCCACCGTGCCCGGCCTTATTATTATTATTTTTTTAGAGACAGGGTTTTGCTAGGTCACCCAGGCTGGAGTACAGTGGTGAGATCATAGCTCACTGTAACCTTGAACTCTGGGCTCAAGGGATCCTCCCCCCTCAGCCTCCCAAGTAGTTGGGAATACAGGTGCACACCATCATGCCTGACTAGTTTTGAAATTTTTTGTAGAGATGGCGTCTCACTATGTTTCCCAGGCTGGTCTTGAACTCCTGGGCTCAAGTGACCCTCCTGCCTCACAATATACTCTTTTCATACCTTTTGAATGTTTTAATGCCTTTTGTTTGAATGTTTTAATACCATTTGAACTTTGCATGCAGCAAGAAATCAAGATTCTTCTGAGAAGGGGATCCTTTCTACACCAGGGTGAGAAAACAGTCCTTATCACCAGAGACGGAGCTGGAGGCAATACACATGTAAAACTAATAAAATTTGTATACTTTTCTCTGGTTAACCACAGGTCAATGTGGTTTTTAGATCCAGCTGAAGAGCACACTAAGAGCTAAAAGAGAGGTTGGAGGTTATCTCTGGCTCCCATACCATGTATAAGAAACCAGTAATAAAAGTCAGGGAACATCCATGGGAGATGTGGATGGAAAGGAGGCTTACTCTTCACTATATATATAAATATAAATATATATATATATTTTTTTTTCGAGACAGGGTCTCACTCTGTCGCCCAGGCTGGAGTGCAGTGACATGATCACAGCTCACTGCAGCCTTGACCTCTTAGGCTCAAGCAATCCTCCCACCTCAGCCTCCCAAGTATCTAGGACTATGTCTAGTTAATTTTATTTTAATTTTAATTTTTGTAGAGACAAGGCCTCACTATGTTGCCCAGGCTGGTCTCGAACTCCTGGGCACAAGCAGTCCTCCTGCCTCACAATATACTCTTTTTAATACCTTTTGACCTTTAGAATGTTGCACTATATGAATATATTTTCTATTAAACAAACAAATAAATAAAATCAGAAAAAAAAGAAAATGGTCTACCAAATCCTCCTCCTGACATTTGTAGTTGGAGTGGACTAGAATTTTTCCTGTCAGGAAAGAATAGGCAAGGGGTAGCTGAGAATAACCCAAAATGTTCTGAGATCCTTCCAGGAGGAGCCTCTGGGTAAAAGTAAACACAGTGAAGTAAGAGGCAAGGAAAGAGGATCTGGGAGCTCAGCAGGAACACTTTTCACACAGGTCAGACTGTCCTACCCAATGGCCTCTCCTCAATCCTGTCCTTCCATCTTCCTTTTAAATGTTGGCTTTTATCCAGGTTCCAATCTTGCCCTCTTGGCTTCTTGCTTCCTATGTACTTCCTTGTGGATTTCATCCATCAAAGTCATTGATTCTAATTAGGGCTGGAATCAAATGAGAGAGAGAGAAATACTGGAGATATTTTGAACAGCAGCTACTATTGTTTTGAAACTCAGTTTTATGGTCTATGAGGGATTAATGCTTAGGTGAGTTAACATGGTTGAAAGATAGGGAAATCCCTATGTTTACTATTTATTTATTTATTAGAGACAAGTCTCAATCTGTCTCCCAGGCTGGAGTGCAGTGACACAATCTTGACTCACTGCAGCCTCTGCCTCCAGGCTCGAGAGATCCTCCCACCTCAGCCTCCCAAGTAGCTGGGACTACAGGCGTGCACCACCATACCTGGTTAATTTTTGTATTTTTTGTAGAGCTGGGGTTTTGCCATGTTGCCCAAGCTGGTCTCAAACTCCTAAGCTCAATTGATCCGTCTGTCTCAGCCTCCCAAACTAGTGGGATTGCAGGCATGAGCCACCGCCCCCCAGCCTAGTTTTTATTTTTATTTTCTCCTAATTATTGTCTGTGCATGACTCTAGGCTAGGTGGCATGTAAAAGTTAATAAATTTGCTCCTGCAGAGTGGGATTTATAATTTGCAAAAGACCAACACAATTAGTGTCCAGTGTATGAAATGGCACAAGGTCAAACCAACAATTAAAGGAGCATCAAAATAAGCCTGTATTAATCCCTTCTCACACTGCTCTGAAGAAATACCTGAGACTGGGTAATTTACAAAGGAAAGAAGTTTAATTGACTCACAGTTCCACATTGCTGGGGAAGCCTCAGGAAACTTACAATCATGGCAGAAGGCAAAGGAGAAGCAGGAGGCACCTTCTTCACAAGGCGGGAGGACAGAGTGAGTGCAAGCAGGGGAAATGCCAGATGCTTATAAAACCACCTGATCTCGTGAGAACTCACTCACTATCACGAGAACAGCATGGTGGGAACCATCCTCATGATCCAATTGCCCCCACCTGCTCCCGCCCTTGACACGTGGGGATATGGGGATTACAGTTTGAGGTGAGATTTGGGTGGTGACACAGAGCCAAACCATATCAAAGCCTGATTTGAATTTTTCAAATGTTTTGTTATAATTCTTAGCAAAGATAACACAAACCATAGGAGATTTACAGCCATTTCTTGAAGAAATCCCCAAGTTCTAACATAGAAATAAATAATGCAGAAATGACAAAAGCAAGGATATATAAATGAATAATATTATGAATGCAAATTAAAAGATGCAAGAAAATTTAAGAGTTGAACTCAAGCTTTACTTCCTGGAGGAATGTTGTTTTTTGACGCTCCCTCTGGCAGGCACACAACAATGTCCACTTGCCTCTACAGGATGTTCATGTTCTACCCTGTAACCTGTGAACATGTTTACCTTACATGGCAAAAGGGACTTTATAGATGTGATTATGTGTGCAAACCTTCAGATGGAGAGTTTTCTGGATTATCCAAGTGGGCCCAAATTAATCACATGGATTTTTTTTTTTTTTTTTTTTTTTCTGAGATGGAGTCTTGCTCTGTCGCCCAGGCTGGAGGGCAGTGGCGCAATCTCGGCTCACGGCAACCTCTGCCTCCCAGGTTCAAGCAATTCTCCTGCCTCAGCCTCCTGAGTAGCTGGGATTACAGGTGCGCACCATCAGGCCTGGCTAATTTTTGTATTTTTAGAGATGGAGTTTCACCATGTTGGTCAGGCTGGTCTCAAACTTCTGACCTCATGATCCACCGGCCTTGGCCTCCCAAAGTGCTGGGATTACAGGCGTGAGCCACCACGCCCAGCTAATCACACGGATTCTTAAAAGGAGAAGAGGCTTGCAGAAGCCTGGGTCAGAGAGACGTACCATGAGGACTTGGCCCACTGTTGCTGCTGACTTTGAAGATGGAGAAAGTGGGCCATCAGCTGGGGAATATGGGCAGCCTCTAGAAGCTGGAAAAGGCAAGGGATCAAATTCTCTCCTTGTGCCTCTAAGAAGGAAGGCAGCCCTACCAATTCCTTCATTTAAGCCCAGTAAGACCCATGTTGGACTTCCTGACCAACAAGGCTGTAAGATAAAAATGTTGTGTTGTTTAAGCCACTAGGTTGGTGTTCATTTGTTACATCAGCACAGAAAGGTGGTGTGCACTGCCCTCAGCCCTGGGTAGAACTGAACACTCCGTGCATTTGCAGCCCTGCTGGATCCTAAGTAGATGTTGATCAGAGGACTGGTTTCCAAGATGGCTCCTTAACATGGTTGTGAAATATTTTTTTCCAATATTTTATTATGAATATTTTCTTTTCTCTTCTTTTTTTATAGACAGAGTGTTACTCTGTTGCCCAGGCTCAAGTGCAGTGGTGTAAGCACAGCTCATTATAACCTTGAACTCCTGGGCTCAAGTGATCCTCCCACTTCCGCCTCCCAAGTAGATAGGACCACAGGCATGCAACACTATGAAAGGCTAATTTTTTATTATTTTTAAATTTTTTGTAGATATGGGGTCTTACTGTGTTGCCCAGGCTGGTCTTGAACTCCTGGTCTCAAGTGATCCTCCCATGATAGCCTCCCAAAGTGCTGAGATTACAGGCATAAGCCACAAAACTGGTCTATTATGAATATTTTTAAACATACAGCAAAGTTGAAAGAACTTTATAGTGACCATCCATATACCACCACCAAGATTCTACCAATAATAATTTGCTATACTTGCTTTATTGTATATCTATCCACCTATCCATCCCTCTATTCATTCATCAATCCCTCTTATTTTTGGGAGGAAATTCAAAGTCAATTGCAATAATTAATACATATGCCCCCCAATGTATTTTGCATGCATATAATTAACTAGAACTCAATATTTTTTGCAGGTTTTTTCTTTTTCTTTTTCTTTTCTTTTTTTTTTTTTTTTTTTGAGACAGGGTCTCACTCTGTTGCACAGGCTGCAGTGCAGTGGTGCGATCACACCTCACTTCAGCCCCAATCATCTGGGCACAATCCTCTCACCTCAGCCTCCCAAGTGGCTGGGACTACAGGTGCATGCCACTATACCCAACTAGTTTGTTTCTATTTTTGTAGAGAAGGGTTCTCACTATATTGCCCAGGCTGGTCTTGAACTCTTGGGCCCAAGCAATGCTCCTGCCTTGACCTCCCAAAGTGCTGGGAAAGGCATGTAAGCCACTGTGCCTGGCCAGTTTTTAATTTTGATATAAAATGTACATTCAATGAAATGCACAAATCTTAAGTGTACATTCATGGAATTTTGACAAATGCAGGCACCTGTGTAACCCAAAACCCTATTAAGATATAGAACATTATCATTACTCTCTATACTCTTACCAGCTAATACCAGCCCCTGTCTACTCAGAGGCAACCATTGTTCTGATTTTTTTCTATCATAGATTAGTGTGTCTTGTGCTAGAGTTTTATATAACTGGAATAATCCAGTATGTTCTCTTTTCCATAAGACTTCCTCACATAAATAGAATCATATAATATGATGCTTTGGCAAGGTTTATTTCATTCAGCATATTGTTTTTGAGATTCATCCATGTTGTTTTGTGTATTAGTTTATTTTTAGTGTTGAGTGATATTCCACTTATGAACATAGTACAGTCTGTAGTCTGTTCTCTTTCGGACCTGAGCTGTTTCCTATTTTGGGATATTATAAATAAAACTACTTTGAACATTCTTGAGTTAGTCTTTTTGTGAAAATATGTTTTCATTTCTTTTGGGTACATATCTTGAAGTCAAACTGCTGATTCATAGGATAGATATATGTTTAGTTTGAAAGAAATGTCCAGATCTTTTTTTCAACATGAATGTACCATTTACATTCCCACCAACAATGTATGAGAGCTCTGGTTGCTCCACGTCCTCACAAACATTGGATGCTGTTAGTCTTTATAATTTTAGCTGTATAGTAGCTACCTTATATTTTTTGCCCATTTTTCTATTGTTTTAAATTCTATTTTCCCTTGATTTTTAAGCATTTTTAATATATCCAAGATATTAGCTCTTTATCTGTGAAATATATTTTAAATATTTTATCTCACTGATTTTGACTTTATAGTTTTAATTCCATAAAAGTTCTTTCAATGTTTTGTAGTTAAATTTTTCAATCTTTTCAAAAATTACATCTGGATGTTGAATTATAATTAGAAAGCCTCTTCTCACACCCAGGTTTAAAGGAATTCATCCATGTTTTCTTCTAGTACTTGTATGATTTCACTTTTTATATTTAGATCTCTGATCCATTTGGAGTTTATTCCTGTTTGTGGTTCAATTTTATTATTATTTTTAACCATCTAATCTGGTTCTCTGGACACTATTTCTAAGAGGGTCCATCTTTGTCCGAACTATCTGAGATGTCACCTTTATCATATATAAAATGTACTTGAGTTCATTCTCAACTTCCTATTACATGCAACTAGAATTCAAAGTTTAAAATTTTTATTTTTTCCAGTTGTTTTTATTTTCCCAGCAACGAATTTTTTCAAAATCTGTGTGAGCAAAAAAACGAAGTTTCAGTTCACTAAGAAAACAGGAGGCCAGGCGAGGTGGCTCACACCTGTAATCCCAGCACTTTGGGAGGCCGAGATGGGCGGATCACCTGAGGTCAGGAGTTTTGAGACTAGCCTGGCCAACATGATGAAACCCCATCTCTACTAAAAATACAAATAAAATTAGCTGAGCTTGGTGGCGGGCACCTATAATCCCAGCTACTGCCTCCTACTGAGGCAGGAGAATTGCTTGAACCCAGGAAGTGGAGGTTGCAGTGAGCCGAGGAGGTTGCACTCCAGCCTGGGCGACAAGAGCAAAACTCTGTCTAAAAAAAAAAAAGAAAAGAGGAATAAGTATACTGTCCTTCTGCAAGGCTAGAACTCATCTCCAACTGGATCTGGATATTCCCCCACAGACTTGCAACCCTGACTTGTTTAGAGCAAGCTTAACATGCGAGCACACAATGAGATGCCGTGCTAAGAATAAGCAGGGACTCTATTTGAATGCTGTTTATCAGACAGACTGACCCAGGAACGCAAAAAGTCCCGTTTCTAGTTCCATACTGCTGTTACCACTCCCAAGGTAAATTTCCTAGGATTGTTCTCTCTTCTGTCTATTCTGAGGTCTCCACACTGAAGGATTTTCTTTGTTGTTTTAACAATCACCCTTGTTGTGTTTCTGGATAAGAGTTGAGGAAAATAAAAAAGCATTTTGCTGGGTGCAGTGGTTCAAACCTGAAATCCTAGTGCTTTGGGAGGCTAAGGTGAGAAGATACCATGAGGCCAGCGGTTCAAGACCAGACTGCGCAATATAGTGCTAGCCCTGGCCCTACAAAATAATAATAATAAAAAAGATGAGGTGGTACACTGCTGTAGTTCTAGCTACTGAAGAGGCTGAGGTGGGAGAATTGCTTGAGCTCAGGTGTTCAAGGTTACAGAGAGCTATACTGGCACCATTGCACTCCAGCCTGGGCAACAGAGTGATACCATTTCTTTTCTTTGAAAGCATCTTAATACAGAAAAATGCAGAAAAAGGCAAACCCAGAGGTGTTGATAGCACTTGTTTGAAAGGTAATACAATGTGACATCACTTGTATTTTTGTACTTATTAGTATTTAACTTTTTGCATTAATTATTTTAAAATACCTACTGAGTGTACTTAATATTTACAGAGTGAAGAAGGTATGGGGAATACACAGTATAAGAAATTATCCCTCTACATTCTATAAAAATAAGATGTACAAAAACTATAATTCAAAATAGCATATATAGGAACCACATCTTATATATTTTTAATCCTCCATAGGATATCCTATGGTAGCCTTGATGTAGGTGCTTAATACATTTCTGGAAATTTTTATCTGCCATCTATGAATATATTTTATTTGGTAGAACATACAATTCCCAAATAACACCACCGGAAAAATATTTTAAGATCATCTTTGGCCCGGCGCAGTGGCTCATGCCTGTAATCCTAGCACTTTGGGGGGCTGAGGCAGGTGAATCACCTGAGGTCAGGAGTTCGAGACCAGCCTGGCCAAGATGGTGGAAACCCGTCTCTACTAAAAATACAAAAATTAGCTGAGCATGGTGGTTCATGCCTGTAATCCCAGTTACTCGGGAAGCTGAGGCAGGAGAATCACTTGAACACAGGAGGCAGAGGTTGCAGTGAGCCGAGATCGTGCCGCTGCACTCCAGCCTGGGCGACAGAGTGAGACTCCGTCTCAAAAAAAAAAAGATTATCTTTTTCATGAGCATAATCAGGTCTTTAAAAATGATTAAAATCTTTAGCCACTGGCTAGTCGGCTTTGATTAATGTCAAAAATATAAGACCAGTTTTGCTTCAATACACCTTGCAGTGGAACACTATTATCGCTAGGGTGCGCTATTAGCATTGCTAGCCAGTTAATGATCCTGCCAGAAGAGCCTGAAAATCACAGAAAGCTGTCCAGTGTTTGGAGTGGAGTGGCAGGTTCCTGAACTAGACTGAAAGTCACTGAACTTTTTCCAGACTGTCACAGGCACAATCATAACATCACCCCACTACTTTCTCATTTTAAAAATATGAGTATACAACAATAATATATTAATGGGGCCGGGCGCAGTGGCTCACACCTGTAATCCCAGCACTTTGGGAGGCCGAGGCCAGCGGATCACCTGAGGTCAGGAGTTCGAGACCAGCCTGGTTAACATGATGAAACCCCGTCTCTACTAAAAATACAAAAAAAATTAGCTGGGTGTGCTGGCAGCCACCTGTAATCCCAGCTACTAGGGAGGCTGAGGCCGGAGAATCACTTGAACCCGGGAGGCGGAGGTTGTGGTGAGCTGAGATCGCACCATTGCACTCCAGCTTGGCCAACAAGAGCAAAACTCCATCTCTGAAAAAAAAAAATTATATATATATATGACCTTGCAACAAAAATATGAGCAAATATGTGTAGCTATAATTCACTCTTCTAATAAAACCTGCAAAAAGTTAACAGTTAATGATATAATTATTCTGTGTTTCATAAAAGGCCTAAACAGGAAGCAGATCAAGAAATAACCACAATTAGAATTACTTTGTGAATGTAAACTCTTTTAGTTTCTTTTCTCACTTTACTAGGTCTAATCAATGTCAATCTTTTCTGATATTACGGTCTATTTTAATCATCATCATTAAACACAAATTGATATCAATAGGTTAAAAGGCGATAAACTCATATCTCCCAAATTGAGAGTTTTTTGCCTTGCCCGCTCAACACCGTTTTCTCTTACCTAATTCTTTTTGCTTGAAATTTCTTTAATTAGAAATCAGGGCCTGGTGCAGTGGCTCATGCCTGTAATCCCAGCACTTTGGGAGGCTGAGGCAGACGGATCACGAGATCAGGAGTTCGAGACCAGCCTGGCCAACATAGCGAAACCCTGTCTCTACTAAAAATACAAAAATTAGCCAGGTGTGGTGGCACATACCTGTGGTCCCAGCTACTTGGGAGGCTGAGGCAGGAGAATCGCTTGAACCCGGGAGGTGGAGCTTGCAGTGAGCCAAGATGGTGCCATTGCACTCCAGCCTGAGTGACAGAGCAAGACTCTGTTTAAAAAAAAAAAAGAAAATAAATCAAGGCTGGGCGCAATGGCTCACGCCTGTAATCCCAGCACTTTGAGAGGCTGAGGAGGATGGATCACTTGAGGTCAGGAGTTCAAGACCAACCTGGCCAACACGGTGAAACCCCGTCTTTACGAAAAATACAAAAATTATTCTGGCGTGCTGGCAGGTGACTGTAATCCCAGCTACTTGGGAGGCTAAGGCGGGAGAACTGCTTGAACCTGGGAGGTGGAGGTTGCAGTGAGCCAAGATCGTGCCACTGCCCTCCAGCCTGGGTGACAGGGTGAGACTCCATCTCAAAAAAAAAAAAATCAAGTCTTTTACTTAAAAGTAAAATTTTCACTAAAAAAAAAAAAAAAAAAGAACAAAGTTTCAAAAACACAAACACTTGAGGTAGTGAATATATTTGATGTGAATGCCTTTCTGTCGAAATCAGAATGCAGCTGATACTGACTTAAAGAAATGAAGCTCTCAGAGAACCCCAAGGATTTGGCCTTTGAGTATCTTTATATGCTGTATACCTCTCTTATAGCAGTTATTACAATGTATTCTAATAAGATTTGCATGTTTGCTAATCATTACATTGTGAAACCCTGAGGGACAGGACTGAATTTATTCAAATTTGCTTTCCCAGTGCCTATCAGAGTAGATGGCATTAGTAGGCTCTATAAAAACTTGTTTATGGGGGCCGGGTGTGGTGGCTTACGCTTGTAATCCCAGCACTTTGGGAGGCCAAGGCAGGCGGATCATGAGGTCAGGAGATTGAGACCATCCTGGCTAACACGGTGAAACCCCATCGCTACTAAAAATATTAAAAAATTAGCCGGGCATGGTGGCGGGTGCCTGTAGTCCCAGCTACTCGGGAGGCTGAGGCAGGAGAATGGCATGGACCCGGGAGGCAGAGCTTGCAGTGAGCCGAGATTGCGCCCACTGCACTCCAGCCTGGGTGACACAGCAAGCCTCTGTCTCAGAAAAAAACAAAAAAACTTGTTTATGGGGATTTTGTTTGTGGATTAAGTAACATTCAAATAGAAACTTATTTGCTGAAAAACTGAAAAACAGGGCTGCTTGCTGGTTTGCAGAAATGCTTGAGCACCAGTTCACTATTGAGTTTCATGTTTCAAAGCACTGCGTAATGAGTTTAAAAAAGAGATTTATTGAGATATAATTAACATAACATATATTTACCCACTTCTCATGTGCAACTCTGAGATTTGTTTCTAAAGAGAGAGATAGAAAGAGAAAAGGGCAGAGGTCTCTTTTCCTTGAGTTGCACACTGATTCACACTGTGGTGCTGTCCTAATAACAATGTGATGTAAATGACACATCTAGATCCTTTTCTGTTTGGATTATGGGAAGAAGGTTACAAAGTGGTACCTAAAGATAGGCAGAAGAGGACATAAATGGAAGGAAAGGAAAAGAAGAAAGAGATTCTTCAATATGTTATTTATTTCATGCTAGGAGAAAAGAAGCTGTGTTAAAAGGGGCTTTATGTCCTGTGTGGGGACTTTTTAATGTCTGAACTTTGGACATTGTATCTTTGAATATGCTGTAAGACTGATCCTAGAGTCTGTCTGATTCCTTTAGACTTATCCAGGGACACATCCTTAGACTTGAGTTATTCCTCTCTCTTATTTTCCCAAGTCTTACTGTATTCGTTATCTCTTGCTGCATGACCAATTATCCCAAAAATTAATGCTTAAAGCAATAGTAAATATTTACTATATCACATAGTTTCTGTGATATAGTAACACATTTTAGAAGTGGCTTAGCTGGGTAGTTCTGGCTTGGAGTGTCTCACAAGGTGGTGGTTAAGAAGCCAGCTGGGCTTTCAGTCATCTGAAGGCTTGACTGGGGCTGGAGGATTCATTTCTAAGAATGGCTCACTAACATAGACGGCAAACTGGTGCTGATTATTGATGTGATGCTTCAGTTCCTTGCCAGGGGAACACTGCATGGAACTGCTAGAGTATCTTCAGGAGAAGACAACTGGCTTCTCCCTAAATAAGTGATCCAAGAACACATAAGGCAGAAGCTACAATGTCTGTTATAACCTGGCCTTGATATTCCCACACCATAATTTCTGGAAAATCCTATTGGTTACACAGGTCAGTCCAATTCAGTATGGAAAGGAATAAATAAGAATGAGAGTAAGTGAGGTAGGGATCATTGGGGGCCATCTGGAAGTCTGGCTACCACATTTATGTATTAGAGACAGAGTCTTGCGTTGTCACCCAGGCTGGAGTGCAGTGATGCAATCATAGCTCACTGCAGCCTCGACCTCCTGGGCTCAAGCAATCCTCCCACCTCAGCCTCCTGGGTAGCTGGGACTACAGGGGCCAGCTAATTAAAAATATATATTTTTTGTAGAGACAGAGTCTCACTATGTTGCTAGGGCTGGTCTCCAACTCCAGGGCTCAACAGATCCTCCTGCCTTGGCCTCCCAAAGTGCTGGGATTACAAGTGTGAGCCACTATGCTCAGTTTATTTCTTAAAAGAGATACATGCATATATATTTGAGTTTTATATATATACTTGAGATCTATCTATATCTATAACTCAAAGGGGATTCCTAAACTCCAGTACCAGCTCTTGAATAACATATTACATTGACATTTAGCCTGACTGAAAGAGTATCTCTGGGGACAGCTCAATAATTCTAAAATGGAAAAGACTGGAGAAAAGGGGAGGCTTTTATTGCTAAGCCTAATTTCAATGAATCTGGACATTTTTTCCCTAGAAACTTTTTTTTTTTCTTTTTTAAAGACAGGGTATCTCTGTTGCCCAGACTGGAGTGCAGTGATGCGATAATAGCTCACTGCAGCCTTGACATCCAGGGCTCAAGCAATCCTCCTGCCTCAGCCTCCCAAGTGGCTGGGACTACAGGTGCATGCCACCACACCTGGCTAATTTTTGTATTTTTAGTAGAGACAGGGCTGGCTAACTAAAAATTTTTTGTGTGTAGAGACAAGGTCTTGTTATGTTGCCCAGGCTGGTCTTGAACTCCTGGGCTCAACCGATCCTCCTGCCTCAGCCTCCCGAATAGCTGAGACTACAGGGGCATGCCACCATGCCCGGCTAATTAAAAAAAATTTTAAATCCATGCTTCCGTGATCATTTTGTGTGTGTGTGTGTGTGTGTGCAGAAGGAGTCTCCTTATGTCTCCTTACATTGCCCAGTTTGGTCTTGAACTCCTGGACTGAAGTGATCCTCCCACATCAGCCTCTCAAAGTGCTGGGATTGCAGGCATTAGCCACTGTGCCTGGCCCCTATAAACTTCTTTAATTTTAAAGAAAAATATTTACAGAAACCCTAATGTTTTCTTATTCAAATTATGTGATTGGTCAATACTCTGAAATGAATGAAGTACTCTATTAGACATAGTAATAGAAAAAGTAACGTGTGGTTTTAATCAGTAGAAATAAAAAACAATTTGGCAACATCTTTATGTTTGCATAGAACAAGATGAGCTGCATCATCACTTGCCTTTAATGTACATTTTGTCCTGCTTTCAATCCAAGGATCTGGACATGACAGAGAGTAGAGATGCCTGCTGTTTTTAAAAAGAATGGCAAGAGGCTGTGGCACTTCCTGAGCAAGAAGAAACAGATTCTATAGGAACAGTTCCAAGATTGAATATAGGATTAGTCATTTACCTTTCTATATTCTTAATCAGCTTTAATGACAATGTCACTTGAGTGAAGAAAAGGATTTAAAGTAAAAATGAAGTTCATAATTCATTACATTCTTTCCATTCATGGCAGAACCCTGGGGATCATTGTGATTCTTAAGTAGAAAGGACATTAGATGTGGGGCGTATGAGAGACCTGAGTTTTGGTTTTGCCACTGATTAGTTTATAGCCTTAGGAAAGCTGTTTAGCGTTTTTCATGTGTTTTCTCTACTGTACACTGGTGGGCAAAGATGGGAGAGGTGCTTAATCTTAAGGTTTTCCTTCGCCAAAGCGACTGACACAACACTAAATAGAAACGCATCCTGCACAGCGTCCTTGCTCCGCCCTCCTCGCTTTTCTTTGAAAGTCTTTGAGCACCTCCCGCATACACTTGCTCAGCATCGCATACTGGTGTGCACCGGGGCTGGCCATTGAGTCTTTAGCTGGTGGTGTTTCACAAAGGGAATGAAATCTTGTTCTTGGGTTGTGAAACCGTAAGGACACTCCGGTCTCCAAGTTGACATTCGTTTATGGAAGTGCCCATCTCCTTTCCTCGTCACACCTAAGGCCCTTCCCCAGTCCCCCAAAGATGATTAGCTTCACGTTAGGCGGTTCTGGGGACGGCGCCAATTTGCGGGATGCTGTCAGCGCTGATGCTGAGGAAGAGGATGGATCCTTAAGGCTTGCAGGGCCTCACGATTTGGGCCCTTCATCGCGACTGCCTCAGTGTGTAATTTCGTATCGTGACAAAGCATTTCCGATTTTATTCCGAAAAGCCCAACCATGGGGTCCCAACCATCCCTCTATAACCAATTTAACTGTCACGCTAGGAGAACACCTATGTGCGCAAACTACTTGTCTCGGAAGCCCTACTTCTCTCCTCGGGACAGGCGGGGAGTTGCGGCTATGGCTGGAACTACGAGGCCCAGAATTCCTAGGCGCATGCGCGCTGCCATTGTGATGCTCCTTTCCCGGTAACTCGCCCTCTCAGGCAAACCTGAAGATAGCGGCAATTCTCCGGTGGGGGGCGGAGACGGTTTCTGCCCGACTCTCCGCCCCCTTCGTGATAGGCAATGGGACTAGCCAACCGACGCTGCGAGTTCGGAACGCACTCTCCAATCAGCACCTGTAGCGGAGAGGTGGGCGTGCGCGCTGGCAGGGCAGGTGGGCTAGGCTGTGTCGGGTTACGAGGGGGGAGAATAACGTCGGGTCGGGTCAGCGGGCTCTGCAGTAGTCGCCGCAGCGGCGATGGGAGCGGTGGGGACGAGGCGGCGGCGGCGGCAGGAGGGGGAGCAGGTGCTGGCACAAGAGCAGCGGCTTGGGGGAGCCGGCAGCAGCAGTAACAGCAGCAGCAGCCGCCGCCGCCGCCGCCAGTAAACGCGGACGGTACCCCAGGGGACTACCCAGCCGGCCGGCCCTGGAAGCCGCGCTCGGGTCCCGCCGCAGTCGGCGGTGGGGGATGGGCAGGCAGTGGCGGTCCCGCCTGCCGAGGGTTAACCCCCGCCGGTCCCGGTCCTGAGCTGGACCAGAGCCCTCCTCCAGAAACCCCTGCGTCCGCCACGGCCCAGGTAGGACACACCCCCCGACCCCCCAGGGCGCCGCCCTCCCCCAGTCTCGACCCCCTCCTCCGGCCGCACCCCTCGCCGAGTGACCGAGCCTGCTGAGGAGGGGAGGGGTACCGGGGACTTTCAGTTCGCTGCAAGCCCGGGGCTCGTGCCAGACCCCGTCACTCTCCATCTCGGAGATCGTTCTGGTTCTGCCCGATTTCCCCGAAGGCTGCCGCCTCGTTTTGCCCCAGGCTTTGGGTGTCTTCACTGAACTTGGAGGGTCACGAAGCTTCGTTCTGCGTCTCTCTCTGTGGGTGACCCACATATCACTTGTACCCATGCCACTTCTGGTACCAGCACCGAACACGAAGGATTCCTAGGAAATCTGAGCGCTTATTTCCCACCCCGCCTCCCCAACTATCATGGAAAGGAACATGGGACTACTGAATCTGTTTGCTGTGTTGTAACGACAGTGAAGGCCGCGACTTTCTTGTACTTAGGGTGCTGAAGTAATGATCTGAGGGATTTGCTCGTCATTTGCTGTGGCAGAGATGATGTTGACACCCTGGGATGCTGTGGGAGGGACAAAAGACTCACGTATATGTTCTGTCAAATCGGAGAAGTAAATAATCCATTGGGATGCCAGGATACTTTATTCTACAGCGAAGTTAATTTTGTATCCGTCGAGGCTACAGTAGAGGTAAAAATGACATTGAGTTGTACTTTGCTTTGAATTAAAGTTGATGGGTAGCAGCAATCCTGGTATTAACTCTTCTCTCTCATCGCTTTAGAAATTATTCTTTCTTTGAACATTAAAGAGGACAGTTTTATTATACACTTCTAATAATGTGAAGATGTTTTGTAATTCAGTAGAAATTGAGTTTCTGTGTGTGTAGGAGGGTCATGTTATGAATGGGCACATGTAGACACACACGCAGAGGGAGGATCCACTCAGTGTGTTTTGTTAACAATGTTTGGTTCTGAGCCATTGATAATAGTTGCATTGGTATCTAAACCCTGATTTGCCACAGTATAACACAAAGATGTGTTGGCTGTGTACCTTTGGCTAAATGGAATAGAATAAAGTTCATTTGGGGATAGAAGGGGGAAATGATTTTAACTTATCAAGGGAATTGAATGCTATGTATTGCTTGCTTTATTTCCTTTTTTTTTTTAAATAAAGAAGCAGTAATGATGACAAATATAGCTTAATATGATTAATCTTGAGGCATTTGTCTGAAGTCAAAAAATGTTTCAAATAATGTGTGTGTTATATTGTGATCTATGCAAATTGAAAACATTGAAGGAAATCTTTGATTTAGAAGCTTATGTTTTCCTGTATGATAACATTTTATCAAGACACCGAAGGGGACATATGAAGCATGGTTTTAAAGGAAAGTTTCTCTTAACATTTTTCTTTTATGATAGAATGTTAGGAAATGCTTTCTTCCCTCTTCCAGTTTTAGACACAGAAGAAATTAAAGTCCATAACTTCATTAATTTAATATATAATATCAAGTTGATGCAAATTTGTACATTGGTTAGGGGGCTGAGAATAATATATCTTGCTCATTATCTTGTACTATGGTTAATACATAATTTAGTAAATTCTCTATTGCATTATATATGACTTTAGATTGTTGTATCTTCTTTTGATTTTAAGTGTTGATTATTTTAATACTTCAGGAAATCTTCAAGAGGTTAGACCTCATTTGCTTTAGCAAATTGAACTCAATTATGTGGGGCTTCAAGTATCTTTAAATGTAATACTAGAAGGGAAGTTTGCATAATTTAGACCATTTTCGAGCGTATTTTACTTCTAAAAAGTGCACTAAAAATGTGGCAATGATAAGTTATTGGTTTTTCAAAGTAAATGAATATTACAGATCCGAGTTAGCTGTGATCATGGAATTTAAATTTCACTTTGGTGGGGGGCAGCCACTTTTTTATATGCTTTATAACTTTAAAAAGTAACATATCCAGATGACTGCTTGATTGCAACTCATGAGAGACTCTGAGCCAGAACCACCTACCTAAGACACTTTCAGATTCGAATCCTGAGAAACTGTGTGAGATAATAAATGTTTGCTGCTTTAAAAAAAAAAACCTCATGCCTGTAATCCCAGCACTTTGGGAGGCCAAGGCAGGAGGATCGCTTGAGCCCAGGAGTTTGAGACCAGCCTAAGTAACACAGGGAGATCCTGTCTCTACAAAAAACAAACAAAAATTTAGCCGGGCATGGTGGCTCACACCTGTGGTTCCAGCTACTAGGGAGACTGAGGGGGTGGATCGGAGGTTGAGGCTGCTGTGATCTGTGATCGCTCCACTGCACTCCAGGCTGGGTGACAGAGCAAGACCCCATCTCTTGAAATAAATAAATAAATAAATAAATACAAATCTATGACAAGGGAAAGTGTTTAGGATCATTATTGATCTAGTAAGGACTGTGTTGATCAGTAAAATAAAAAGTCTTTGAGAATTATGGAAAATATAGCTATAGCTTACTTCTTTCCACACTTAAAAAAAAATCCTATAGGAAATATTCTTTTACAAATATATAGCAAACAGTGTTTTCAATTTGAGGGTATGCTACTCAAAATTACTCTAGTCATGTATTCATTTTTTGTTCTTATTGAGGTTTTTGAGAGACACTCAAAATGTAGCTGGAGCTATTTCTGTTTGATTAGTAATATTGCAATATACCTTCAATATTTATGGATTTTTGAAATTAAATACATTTTATTTAGTTTTATTTCCTAGTCTTTTTTTTTTTTGTCATCCAGCATATTGTAAACAATGTGTGGTAGTGGAAGTTTTTTCCCCAGGCTTCAGTGGATAGAACCTTTTATGCCGAAAGTACTGAAAGCTTTCAAGTTAAATATCGTACATATTTGGTGAAAGAGCCTTTAAGGTCATATGAAAAAATTCAGTTTTTTAGAACTAAATTTTGAGCATAAGGACAACACATATTACTACTCAAAACTGCCTCATTAAAGTCTGGTGATCCTTGATTATAGGTTTATAATACAGATTGAAATTATATTATAACATAATATGAATGTCAATTTTGCTAGATAGTTTCTTCTTTTCAGTTGGTTATTTTTAAATAGCCTTCTTAGTATATTTTCATTAATGTCATGTGACTTTATTCTTGATGCTTAAGTGAACATATAGTACTTACAAACTTTTGTGAACATTTTGGATTTTTTTTCCTGTGATTTTTTTTTTAACCTTTGTCTCTATAATCCTTGGTGTTTTGGAGTGTTTATAGCTGTTTTTTATTGTATATAGGAATTTGCTTTCACTTCAGTTAGGGTAAAGCTTCCCAATGTGAAAAACTTAAGTGTCCTTTGAAAAGAATCTGGGATGTAATAGTGCCTCCTAAAGAGTGGAAGTTACTAAGTAGCTTCTTAGCTTCCTTTGGTAAGCTATCGAGATTTAACCATGTTTTCAGAATCATTATTTTTTTAAACAGAGAATTAACATCTTTATTGAAAACAAGAATCAGCATTTTAAAATGTTTGAATTAGAAAACATATTTGCCATTATATATGTTTTTACCAAAATGGTTTTATAATTAATATTTTTATATTTGTCTTTTTCTTTCTGCAGTTTCAAAGTAGTTGCCTTTAAAAAAATGGAGTTGCAGTTTCCATCATCTTGTTCTAGCCATATGATCATTGAAAGACTATATTTTGTTCATATTTTTCCAACATTGAATTTTCCACGTTATATATTATAGATGAAGTTTGTAAAGTCTTTTTAAATTTCTTGATCCTCCAAGTGCTTCAGTTTCAAAAATATCTAAAAGTTTTATCACCATTTTTCAGCCGGGTGTGGTGGCTCACACGTGTAATCCTAGCACTTTGGGAGGCCAAGGTAGGTAATTGAATCACTTGAGGTCAGGAGTTGGAGACAAGTCTGGCCAACGTGGCGAAACCGCATCCCAACTAAAAATAGAAAAATTAGCAGGATGTGGTGGCATGCACCTGTAATCTCAGCTACTTGGGAGGCTGAGGCAGGAGAATTGCTTGAACCCGGAGGCGGTGGTTGCAGTGAGCTAAGATTGTGCCACTGCACTCCAGCCTGGGTGACAGAGTGAAACTCTGTATCAAAAACAAAAACAAAAAACATTTTTCAATGACCAATAAGGCGAAGATGAGGGGAGGAAAATAGGAAAAAATGAATAACCAAAGAAAAAAATGTGAGCCTTGCCTCTCATGGAAATTTGATTTAAGAAAAATCATCTGGAGGCTAAATTATATGGTAGATAATAAACTAGATTAGGACTTCATTTCTGCTGGACTTCCCTAGCACTTAAAAAATTCAACATATCCAAGATAATAGTCAGTTCTCTTTTTAACTTCCTTAATTCTATAAATAAAGGCATTATCATTTAGTCATACAGGATCAAAACACACATTCTCTCTCTCTCTTTTCTTTTTTCTTTTTTCTTTTTGCTCCCTATTTCTCCTGGATCTCACCCACACAAAACCTCTGCTTTCTTTCTTTTTTTGGAGACAGGGTCTTGCTCTGTTGCCCAGGCTGGAGTGCCATGATCGTAGCTCACTGCAGCCTTGACCTCCTGGGATCAGGCAGTCCTCCCCCCTTAGCCTCCTGGGTAGCTGGGACTACGGGCATGTGCCACCACACTTGGCTAATTTTACAATTTTTTGTATAGGTGGGGTCCCACTATGTTGCCCAGGCTGGTCTTGAACTCCTGAATTCAAGCAATCCTCCCACCTCAGCCTCCCAAAGTGCAGGAATTATAGGCATGAGGCACAATGCCTAGCCCTCTGCATTTTATTTCCATTGCTACCACCTTACTTTGGTCTCTGTGAAACTTTAAACTACTGTAGTCATCCCCATCTAAGGGGCATGCATTCCAAGACCCCCAGTGGATGCCTGAAACCTCAGATAGTACCTTACCCTATAGATAATTATGCTTTTCCTATACATACATGGCTGTGATAAAGTTTATAAATTAAGCATAGTAAGGGAATAATAACAATAGCTAATAAAATAGAACAGTTATCGTAATATGCCAGCATCACTACTCTTGTGTTTTAGGGCCATTATTAAGTAAAATAAGAGTTAGTTACTTGAACACAAGCACTGCTATACTGAGACAGTGATCTAACAACCAAGATGGCTACTAAGTGACAAACAGCACAGACGGTGCAGATACATGCTGGACAAAGGGATGGTTCACGTCCTAGGTGCAACAGAGCTGAACAGCTTGAGATTTCATCACCATACTCAAAACAATATACAATTTAAAACGTATGAATTGTTTATTTCTGGAATTCTCCATTTAATATTTTTGGACTGTGGTTGACCACGGGTAACTGAAACTGCAGAAAGTGAAACCATGGATAAGGGGGATTACTGTGTAACAGTAGCCTCATTCCTTGATTAAATACTTGCTAAGCATCTACCATGTTACTGTGCTAGGGGTTGGAGATTTAACAGCCAACAAGACAAATAATCTACTCACTTTTGGAGCTTACAAATAGTGGAAGCAGAGATTTGCAGGAGAAGGAATTACAAGTGTTCCAGGTATTATGAAGGGAAGATGCAGACATGAGCATTTAACAGACCTAACAGTCAAGAGGTGGGTTCAGGGAAGAAGTTTCTGTTTCATCAGCCACAGTTCATTCTACATACTTCACCAGAGTCAGAGGCTAGTGGATATATTATCCCTATAATTAGTTAAATAATTAAATAAATAATGACAAAATAAATGTTTTTAAATTTAAAAGACTATTTGAAATTAAATGTCCACACAACCCATGAAACAGCTTTAGACAAGTTCTTTCAGAACACAAGAACACTTGAAAGAGTTTTGTCCTAAAGAGTCCCCACTCTCCCTCCAATATGGGTTTCTACTTTGGATTCTCCCAAGCCTCAATTACTTGAATACTGACAGAGTTCCTATGTTATGGTTTTACACTCTCTGTTTGAACCATGAGAACTTAGGACTGTGTTACCAGAAGCCAGAGTACAAGCCATGGTTACAAGAAAGAGGTGTTCCAAGTAGATGGCTATAGTGTCTCTGTAGCTAGGGTCCAGCAGCTTATCGGTGATTCATTAAATGTACAAGTGATTAGGATATAATATATTAGGATATATTATATTATACTGTGGCTGGCCAGTTTTGCTGTTTTTGAAAAAGGAAGTTAAGGCCAGGCGTGGTGGCTCATGCCTATAATCCTAGCACTTTGGGAGGCTGAGGCGGGCAGATCACGAGGTCATGAGTTTGAGACTAGCCTGGCCAATATGGTGAAACCCTGTCTCTACTAAAAAATATAAAAATTAGCCGGGTATGGTGGCACGCACCTGTAGTCCCAGCTACTTGGGAGGCTGAGGCAGGAGAATCGCTTGAATCCGGGAGGTGGAGGTTGCAGTGAGTCGAGACAGCACCATTGCACTCCAGCCTGGGTGACAGAGCAAAACTCCATCTCAAAAAAAAAAAAAGGAAGTTAATATACTTAAAATGTTATTGCAGTGAAGATACAGAAAAGGTTCTGTATTGATTTTTCTTTGTGTTAGTGGGAAGATCATAGACATAATGCTTTGCTCGGTTGATTTGGTTATAGTAGATTTTACCCGAGGAATGATTTTGTTTACCCAAGGAATGTGTAGTGTTTTCCTTAACAATCTGGTCATGTAAGTTATACTGTACTTCCTATAAGGGAAGAATTTGTTTATGTGTTGCTAGTATGGTAGCCAGGGAGAGGAAAACTAGGTTGTTTACACTTTTGTTGTCAGTAATTGTAACCATACTGACCTGTAAAGCTTCTCTTTACTTTTTTTTTTTTGAGACGGAGTCTCGCTCTGTCGCCCAGGCTGGAGTGCAGTGGCGTGATCTCGGCTCACTGCAAGCTCTGCCTCCCGGGTTCACGCCATTCTCCTGCCTCAGCCTCCTGAGTAGCTGGGACTACAGGCGCCCACCACCACGCCTGGCTAATTTTTGTATTTTTAGTAGAGACGGGGTTTCACCGTGTTAATCAGGATGGTCTCGATCTCCTGACCCCGTGATCCGCCCGCCTCGGCCTACCAAAGTGCTGGGATTACAGATGTGAGCCACCACGCCCAGCCTCTCTCAATAGATATTTTACTTAGATTTATTGAGCTCAGAGAGATTTCAGGTTGCCCAAAGTATAATTTACCTCCCCTGAAAGTTGATAAAGAACAGTTGAAGTGTGAGTGGTGAATAAACTTACCTTCTCTTCTTTTGCCATCAGCAAATGGGGTTCTTTACAAATCTTCATTTCTTTTTACTAACTCTTCAGAGGAGCTCTTTTTTTTTTTTTTTTTTTTTTTTGAGACGGAGTCTCGCTCTGTCGCCCAGGTCGGACTGAGGACTGCAGTGGCGCAATCTCGGCTCACTGCAAGCTCCGCTTCCCGGGTTCACGCCATTCTCCTGCCTCAGCCTCCCGAGTAGCTGGGACTACAGGCGCCCGCCACCGCGCCCGGCTAATTTTTTGTATTTTTAGTAGAGACGGGGTTTCACCTTGTTAGCCAGGATGGTCTCGATCTCCTGACCTCATGATCCACCTGCCTCGGCCTCCCAAAGTGCTGGGATTACAGGCGTGAGCCACCGCGCCCGGCCTATGTTGCTTATTAGTATATTAGATGCCTTGAAAAATTTAGCTGGTGTGTACTCTTTGTAAACTTGTTTCTACACATGATCTTGTTTTATTTTAAAATGTAACAATTTAGATACTTTTTTTTTTGAGATGGAGTTTTGCTCTTGTCACCCAGGCTGGAGTGCAATGGCGCGATCTTGCAATCTCAGCTCACTGCAACCTCCGCCTCCCGGGTTCAAGCAATTCTCCTGCCTCAGCCTCCCGAGTAGCTGGAACTACAGGCACCCGCCACCAGGCCCAGCTAATTTTTTTGCATTTTTAGTAGAGATGGGGTTTCATCATGTTGGCCAGACTGGTCTTGAACTCCTGACCTCAGGTGATCCACCCACCTTGGGGCCTCCCAAAGTGCTGGGATTACATGTGTGAGCCATCAGGCCTGGCCAAAGAGTAGAATCTTATATAAACTATATGACAGTTATAAAACTGCTATTTGGTGAATTATCTAGTTTCCCTCCTAAATGTAGGAGTTTATTACTTTAGCCTGAGAGATAATAGTGATGGTAATAGTCTTCTAAATGGACTCTTTTTCCTCTTACATTATATCATCCTCCAGCTCCTGAAGGGGTGCCTTCAGGCCCACCCTGTGCCACCTTGCCGACTGAAACAGAATGATGTCTGTCCTCTTCCTAGCCTGGTTTTTGCAGTTTGAACTCAGTTTACCTTTCAGGCCTATGTATTCTTTCTCCCAATAAGCACCCTTTTCACGTAGACCAAGCTTGTGCAACCAGCGGCCCATGGGCCGCACGTGGCCCAGGACGGCTTTGAATGTGGCCCAACACAAATTTGTAAACTTTCTTAAGACTTTATGAGCTTTTGTAGTTGTGTGTGTGTGTGTGTGTGTGTGTATTTAACTCATCAGCTATCGTTAGTGTTAGTATATTTCATGTGTGGTCTAAGACAGTTCTTCCACTGTGGCCTGGAGAAGCCAAAAGATTGGACACCCCTGATGTAGATTAATCTTATCATTTATTTTCCCATGCACTTGTATGTTATGCTTATTTCCTCTTCTGTGCCTTTGCATACCTCCTTAGTTAACTTTTGCCTTGAAACAAAGCACCTCAAAATTTAGAGGCTAAAACAATAATTATTTATTAGTTAACTGTTCTGTGGGTTGGCAGTTTAGGCTCAGCTGAATAGTACTTGTTTTGGTCTTGTTTGTTCTCATTTATATGAGGCAGTTGGCTAGCTTGAGTTTCTTCTCATGAGTCTGGGCTCCAAAAGTAGCAAAAGAGGGCAAGTCCAGTGTATAAGTACTTTTCAGGGTTCTGGGTCATGTTTGCTAATGTCCCATTGGCCAAAACAAATCACATGGCCAACCCCAGTTTCAGAGAAGGAGAAAGGAACCAAAGGAATGTTCTACCTCTTTTGTTAGAGACAAGGTCTTGCTATGTTGCCCAGGCTGGATTTAAACTACTGGGCTCAAGCAATCTTCCTGCCTCAGCCTCTCTAGTAGCTGGGATTCTAGGCATGTGCCACAGTGCCCAGCACAGTCCTACCTCTCGATGGGATATGTATCAAGGACACATTGCAAAGTATCAAGGACACATTGCAAAGGAATGTATGTACGGGAATGGGAGAAATGTGTGGCTATTTTGCAATCGACCAGATGTCTTCTACAAATCATATCCACCTTTTGTAAGAAACTTTGTATGACAATCCTAGCTAGTATTAACCTCCCCGTTCAATTTTTTGTATGCATTTGGCCCTTACAAATTGATGTAGGTTAACTTTTTCTATTTTTTCACCGTTTTTTTTTTTTTTTGAGACGGAGTTTCACTCTTGTCACCGAGGCTGGAGTGCAATGGCACAATCTCAGCTCACTGCATCCTCCGCCTCCTGGGTTCAAGCAATTCTCCTGTTTCAGCCTCCCAAGTAGCTGGGATTACAGGCACCTGCCACCATGCCTGGCTAATTTTTATATTTTTGGTAGAGACAGGGTTTCACCATGTTGGCCAGGCTGGTCTCGAACTCCTCACCTCGTGATCTGCCTGTCTCGGCCTCCCAAAGTGCTGGGATTACAGGCATGAGCCACTGCGCCAGGCCCCTATTTTTTTACCTTTTACATCCAGATAGTTACTGTTAATTTCTGTTTTTGTATTATGTGTTCTCATTCAAAGACTATTTTGGAAATAATTATTTTTTGAAATAATAACTTTTCTTCTCCTGATTATTAACTCATTGAGGGCAAAGCTATGCATTATGCTTCTTTTTTCTCTTCCCTGTATTCGTGACAATTTATTGAATGAGCATATGTTAAATTTTCAAATCAACTGTCCAGTTATTTGCCAGAGGACTATTTAGTTTCATTCAGCTGTATGGGAGGTGAAAGATATTTCATTTAGTGAAAGGTTCAATGGTAGGTATTAGGCTAGATGCTAGATGAGTAGAAGTGAATGAGTAGATGCTCTTGACCTCAAGAAATGTGTACTCTATTAGGAGGACGTAAATTGTGTGCGTGCTTCTAAGGTTGTTTCTTTACTGCAAACCTATATTTCTGCTTCATGCTCAACTCACAGGTTAGCTGGCTTTTTTTTTTTTATTGTGTAGATGGGGCACTCTTCTACTCTCTCTCACACTGCTAGATTATTGTTGCCTAATCTATTCTATGTCTGGCTTTCTCTGTTTCTGGTTTATATAACTATTATCTGTTACTGTTCTTTTTATAAGATATATTAATCATGGTGTATATAAAACATACATGTGCAGTTTAAGGAATAATTATAAAGCCAGTGTTCAATAAATAAAATGTTGTCAGCATCTCAGAATCCCATTCCTGATCTCACCTGCCTTTTTTGTTTTGTTTTGTATTGTTTTGTTGAGATGGGATCTCCCTGTGTTGTTTAGGCTGGTCTCAAACTTCTGGGCTCAAGTGATCCTCAGCCTCCCTAGTAGCTGTGATTACTACAGGTGTAAGCTGCCTGGCTTTCACCTGCTTTCTTTACCCCAAAGGTAGCCATTCTTATGATATTTGTGATAATAATATTTTTGCTTTTCTTTATAGACTTACTATCTATGTTTGCATCTCCATTTAACGTAGTTTAGTTTTGCTTATTTTTGGACTTTATGTAAAAGGGCTCATATTGTGTATATTATTTTGTCTTGCTTAATTTTTTTCAGTGTAGTTTGTGAGATTCATTCATGTAGTTCAGTATAGCAATATTTTCTTCATTTTCTTTTTAGCGTAGTTTTGCGGTAAGTGCAATAATGGCCCCCCAAAATGTTCATGTCATAATCCCCAGCACATGAATATGTTAACTTATGTGGCAGAAGAGACTTTGCATATATGATTAAATTAAGGCTCTTGCGAGAGGAGGATTTTCCTTGATTATCTGGGTGGGTCTGATGTAATCACAAGGGGGTGCTCATAAGAGGGAGGCATATACTTTGTCAGAGAGAGATAAGGAGATGTGACAATGGAAGCAAAAGTCAGAGAGAGATTTGAAGATGCTATACTACTGACTTTGAAGGTGGGGGATGAGGCCATAAACCAAATAATTCAGGCAAGCTGGGCCTGGTGGTGCACTTGTATTCCCAGCTATTTGGAAGGCGAGGCAGGAGGATCGCTTAGGCGCAGGACTTTGAGACTGTAGTGTGTAAGAATTGAGCCTGTGAATAGCTAGCTACTGCGCTCCAGCCTGGAGAACATAGTGAGACCCTGTCTCTTAAAAAACAAAACAAAGCAAAGCAACAACAACAACAAAACAGAATTCAGGTGGGTTCTAGAAGCTAGAAAAGGTAAGGAAATAAATTCTCCCTAGAGCTTTAGCCCAGTAGAAGCACAGACTTCTGACCTCTAGAGCTATTAGATTATAAATTTGTGTTGTTTTTTGCCACTAAATTTGTCATATTTGTTACAGCAACAGTAAGAAGCTGCTATATGAATATATATACAGGACGAATATACTATAATTTATCCATTCTTCTCTTGCTGGACATTTGGGTTGTTTGTAGTTTTTACCATTTATGGACAATGTGACTATGAACATTCTTGTACCTGTTTGCTGGTGTACATGGGGAAAAAGTATTTCTAGGGTGTATACCTAGTAAAGGAGTTGCTGAGTCACAGGGTATGCATTATCTTCAGCTTTCTTTTATAATACAGTACAATACCATTTTCAAAGTACATTCCCTTGGCATGTACACTGGACGATTAGCAAGCAACAACAAGCAACAACAAAGTATATTCCTACTAGAGGTGTACAAAAGTCCTCACTTTTTAATTTAAATACTTTCTTCTTTGATATTAACTATGATAATGCTTCCTTTATATGGGTGAGTACTCAAAATTTGCTTCAAGTTAAAACATATTTGAGAACTAATCTATACTTTTTGTTTTGAGACAGGGTCTTGTTCTGTTACCCAGACTGGAATGCAGTGGCACAATCATGGCTCACTGCAGCTTTGAACTCCTAGGCTCAAGCAATACTCCGGCTTCAGCCTTCTGAATAGCTAGGACTATAGATGCACACCACCACACCTGACTAATTTTTAAAATTTTTACGGACGGCATCTTATGTTACCTAGGCTGGTCTTGAACTCCTGGCCTCAGGCAGTCTTCCCACCTCAACTTCCCAAAGTTCTGGGATTACAGGTATGAGCCACCTTGCCTCTCCTAATCTGTACTTTCGCCAGTCTAAAAATAGTAGGTGGCATTGGTTTATTTTTATTCCCTTTTTGATCAACTAATTCTATTAACTTTATTTTAAAAGCTTTGTTTTTTTGAGACAGGGTCTCACTTTGTCATCTAGGCTGGAGTGCAGTGGCATGATTTTGGCTCACCACAACTTCTGCCTCTTGGGCTCAAGGAATCTTCCCACCTCAGCCTCCTGAGTAGCTGGGACCACAGGCACATGCCACCATGCCAGGCTAATTATTATTATTATTATTTTTTTTTTTTTTGTAGAGATGGGGTTTTGCCATGTTGCCCAGGATGGTCTCATACTCCTGGGCTCAAGTCCATCTGCCTTGGCCTCTGAAAGTGCTGAATTTACAGTTGTGAGCCACCATGCCCAGCCAAAAAAATTTTTTAATTGAGGTAAAACGTGCAAATAAGATTTACCATCTTTACCATTTTATATGTACAGTTTAGTAACAATAAATACATTTATATTCTTTTTTTCCCATTTCTTCCCCCTTCCCCTCCCCTTTTCAGCCTCTGGTAACCACCAATCTACTCTCTATCTTCATGAGATTACTCTTTTAGCTCTGGCATATGAGTGAAAACATACAACATTTATTTTTCTGTACTTGGCTTATTTCACTTAATGTAATGGCCTTCATTTCCATCCATGTTACTGCAAATAACAGCATTTCATTCTTTTGAATGTGTATACACAGTGTATACCACATTTTCTTTATCCATTCATCTGGATAGACACTTAGGTTGATTCCATTTTGGCTGTTGTTAATAGTGCTGCAATAAACATGGGAGTGCAGATATCTCTTTGCTATATTGATTTCCTTTCTTTTGGATATATACCCAATAGTGGAATTGCTGGATAATATGGAAGTTCTATTTTTAGTTTTTTTGAGGAACCTCTATAGCGCCTCCATAGTGGCTGTACTAATTTCCATTCCTACCAGCAGTGTATGAGCGTTTCCCTTTCTCCATATCCTTGCCAGCATTTGTTATTGCCTTTTTCATATAAGCCATTTTAACTGGGGTGAGATGATATCATATTAATCTCTATTTTGTGAGGTTTTGATTTACATTTCTCTGATTAGTGATATTAAGCATTTTTTCATATATCTGTTGGCCATTTGTATTTCTTTTTTTTTTTCTTTTAATGAGACAGGGTCTCATTGTGTTGCTCAGGCTGGCCTCAAACTCCTGGGCTCAAGTGATCCTTCTGCTTTGGCCTCCCAGATTGCTGAGATTATAGGCATGAGCCACTGCTCTTGGCCCGAATGTCTTTTTTTTTTGAGAAATGTCCATTCAGATCTTTTGCCCATTTAAAAATCAGATTATTTAATTTTTTTTGCTATTGAGTTGTTTGCACTCCTTGTATATTCTGGTTAACTCCTTGTCAGATGGATAGTTTGCAAATATTTTCTCCCATTCTGTGGGTTGTCTACTTCGTTGATTGTTTCCTTTGCTGTGCGGAAGCTTTTTAGTTCGATATAATCCCAATTATCTATTTTTGCCTTGGTTGCCTGTGCTTTTGAGATTTTACACAAGAAATCTTTGCCTAGACCAGTGTACTGGTGTGTTTCCCCAGTGTTTTCTTCTAGTAGTTTCAGAGTTTCAGGTCTTAGATTCAAGAAGTCTTTAATCCATTTTGATTTGATTTTTGTATATGGTGAAAGATAGGGGTTTTTCTATTACTAATAACTTTAAAAGCAAAATTATAACAATGCAAATGGTATAATTTAATTTGTAATCATATTAGTATGGTAATTTTCTTTTGCTGACAAAAATATTTTTATATGAATTTGATAAGTAGTATTTGTATAATAGGTTTCAATTCTGGGCCTCCGTGCAAATATGGTAATTTTCTTTAATATTCAAGTGGTACAGGAACTGTTTTGGACAGTATTATGTCTGTGAATGTGACTGTTTCTCTTCTGTTGTTTAGGAAACATGCAGAATTACATAAGTAATGACTGCTTTTTTTTTTTGAGATGGAGTTTCGCTCTTGTTGCCTAGGCTGAAGTGCAATGGTGTGATCCTGGCTCACCACAACCTCCACCTCCCAGGTTCAAGTGATTCTCCTGCCTCAGCCTCCCGAATAGCTGGGATTACAGGCATGCACTACCACGCCCAGCTAATTTTGTATTTTTAGTAGAGACAGGGTTTCTCCATGTTGGTCTGGCTGGTCTCGAACTCCCGACCTCAGGTGATCGGCCTGTGTTGGCCTCCCAAAGTGCTGGGATTACAGGTGTGAGCCACCATGCCCGGCCAGTTTTATTGAGCACAGTCAGTATACTAGGCACTGTGATGAATAAACACTTTACATATATCTTAGCACTTTTAATGCTTAGTGATTGTCATTACCCTTTTTTTTAATAGATGAGGAAATTGAGGTACAGAGAAGTTAATTAATGGGCCCAATAGCCAGAATTTGAATCTAGGTACAGTGGTCTGGTCTTAATCTCTATTTTGTGAGGAGTTCCTGGAGTTAGAAGACAATAAACTTTAGTGTTATGTTAATATCTCAGATAATACTCTTTTAGGGAGTTCTTTTCATTAAGTCTTGTTTGGTCTGGCTTATGTTTCTTGAAGTTCCTATACAATTTAAAAGATATTTCCTGGCTGGGCATGGTGGCTCATGCCTGTAACCCCAGCACTTTGGGAAGCCGAGTTGGGAAGATCTCTTGAATTCAGGAGTTTGAGACCAGCCTGGGCAATATGGCAAAACCTGTATCTCCAAAAATTTAGCTAGGTGTGTGCCTGTGGTCCCAGCTACCTGGGAGGCTGAGACGGGGAGATCATCTGAGCCCAGGAGGTCAAGGCTGCAATGAGCTGGGATTATGCCACAGTATTCCAGCTTGGGTGACAGAGTGAGGCCCTGTCTCGAAACAAAACAAAAAACTTCCCTTTGTGCCTCTTATCATTCTTATTTTTGTTCTACTTTATCTTTTTTACTCTATTTGTATATGTGAATCTATATGACTTAAATTATATACAGTTTGGGGCCAAGTGTGGTGGCACAGGCCTGTAATCCCAGCACTTTAGGAGGCCAAGATGGGCGGATAGCACTTGAGTCCAGGAGTTCTAGACCAGCCTGGCCAACATGGCGAAATCCTGTGTCTACAAAAAATACAAAAATTAGGCGGGCATGGTGGCATGTTTCTGTAGTCCCAGCTACTTGGGAAGCTGAGGTGGGAGGATCACTTGAGCCCAGAAGGCTGAGGTTGCAGTGAGCCGAGATTGTACCACTGCCCTACAGCTTGGGCGACAGAGTAAGACCCTGCGTCAAAAAAAAAAAAAAATTATATACAGTTTGATGTCTCATTTTGAGCCCTTTAATTAACTTCGCCAAATATCTATTGATTAACTGCAAAGCTCAATACTTGGTTATGGCAGAGGATAATCATTATGATATGGGTCTTCATCTTCAAGGAGTTTATAATCTAGGTGATTGTCAGTGTTTACTTATTAATTTGTTGGCTATTTTCT
This sequence comes from Homo sapiens, assembly GCF_000001405.40. Lineage (NCBI taxonomy): Eukaryota > Metazoa > Chordata > Mammalia > Primates > Hominidae > Homo > Homo sapiens. The sequence goes on along the minus strand of NC_000015.10, from coordinate 42,904,687 downwards.
TAGTCTTTTTCTACCCAGCAAATTTTTTCAAATGACTTTTCACCACATGTTATTCTACATTTACAAGTTGAATCTCCATTTAGTATGTTCTGTCCATATTTTGATCTTCTTTGGGTCTGTTTGGCAACACCTCCAGAGTTAGCATCTTTGTCCGAATTCATTAGCATGCGATTTACTTCCTATGTTAGGTCATTAAGGATATTACCAAGGAGGAATTTATTTAATTTCTGTCTTACAGTATCTAGTGTTCTTGCACCAAGATTTTTTTTATTGTAAATCTTACTGAAAAAATAAATATAAAATAATTCTTGGCAATATTGGTACTGTAGCTAAGTTATTAATTTTTCAGGTATAATCCATAATCTAGAACAAAAAAGGAACCTGTGGTCATGCATAACTTTGAGAAACTATCACCCCATTACCAGTGAAGCCTGGTATATAGTTATCTATTGCTGCATAACAAATTATTCAAAACTTAGTGTTTTAAAACAACATTTATTATCTCACGATGTCTGTGGGTCAAGATTCTGGGTATGACTCGGGTGGATACTCTGTTTCAGGATCAGTCATAGGCTGCAATCAAGGTATGCTGCAGCAATCACAAGACCCAGCTTGGGAGGGTTCTATTTCCAAGCTCATTCTGATGATTGTTGGCAGGATTCAATTCCTGTAGTTTGTTTGAGAGCCTCAGTTCCTTGCTAGCTATTGGTCTATTATAAGCAGAATCATGTAATATTCTAGCAGAAGCTGCCTCAATTCTTTGCTATGTGGGCCTTTCTATAGGGTGATATGGCAGCTCGCTTAATCAGAGCAAGTAAGTGGAAAGAGCCAGAGAGAGAGAATGTGAGCAAGATAGATGTCACAGTCTTTCATAACCTATCTGGGAAGTAACATCCTATCACTTTTGCTGTATTCTGTTCATTAGCGGTAAGTCACTAAATACAGCCCACACTTAAGGGAAAGGATCAATAGCAGGAGATGAGGGTCATTGAGAGCCATTTTTAGAAGCAGTCAGCCAAACCTGGGTGTCTTATAGAATTCCTGGTCTTTCTTCTAGTGTTCGGTTCCTAATTGGGACAAGTCTATTCTTAGATTTATTTCAGTGTACTGAAGGACTCCACCCATTTGTCACATGATTTTTCCACTGGTAATTTAGAGTGAGATAGTGAAAATTATTTGGCTTTTATAGTTACATCTGAGGAGTGCCTAGTAGTCCTATTTAAAATTTAAACTTTCTTTTTATTATGGTAAAATATACATAAGATTTTCTTTTTAAGCATTTTTAAGTGTACAGTTCAGTGGCCTTAAGTACATTTCCATTGTTCTGAAACCATCATTACCATCTATCTGTAGGACTTTTTCATTTTTCTAAATGGAAACTCCATACCCGTTAAACACTAATTTTCAATACCTCCTCACCATGGCCCTTGGTAACCATCATTCTACTTTCTGTCTCTGAATTGATTACTCTAGATACCTATTATAAGTGGAATCATATAATATTCATCCATTTGTGCTGAATCATTTCACTTAGTGTGATGTCTTTAAGGTTTATCTGCATTTTAGCATGGGTAAGAATTCCCAGCCGGGCACGGTGGCTCATGGGCGACAGAGCCTGGGCAACAGAGCGAGACTGTCTCAAATAAAAAAAAAATTAAAAAGAATTCCCTTTCTTTCTTTCTTTCTTTTTTTTTTTTTTTTGAGAAACAGAGTGTCACTCTGTTGCCCAGGCTGGAGTGCAATGGCGCGATCTCTCTTCTCTGTAACATCCACCTTCTGGGTTCCAGCGATTCTCCTGCCTCCCAAGTAGCTGGGATTACAGGTGCATGGCACCATGCCTTGCTAATATTTGTATATTTTGTAGAGACAGTTTTGCCACGTTGCCCAGGCTGGTCTCAAACTTCTGAGCTCAAGCAATTCTCCCACCTCGGCCCTGCAAAGTGCTGGGATTACAGGCTTGAGCCACTGCGCCTGGCCCTGTTTGATTATTTGAGGAACTGCCGCACTGTTTTTCACAGTAACTGTCCCATATTATATTCCCACCAGCAATGCAGAATGGCTCTAATTTTTTCACATCCTCACCGGCACCTGCCATATTTATTTTTTATAATGGCCATATTAATGGAAGTGAACTGGTGTCTCATTGTGGTTTTTTTTTAATATACATAAGACGGAGTTTCACTCTTCTTGCCCAGGCTGGAGTGCAATGGCACAATCTCGGCTCACCGCAATCTCCGCCTCCTGGGTTCAAGAGATTCTCCTGCCTCAGCCTCCCAAGTAGCTGGGATTAGAGGCACCTGCCATCATGCCCGGCTAATTTTGTATTTTTAGTAGAGATGGGGTTTCACCATGTTGGTCAGGCTGGTCTCAAACTCCAGACCTGAGGTGATCCACCCACCTCGGCCTCCCGAAATGCTGGGATTACAGGCGTGAGCAACCGCGCCTGGCGGTGGTTGGTTTTTTTTTTTTTTGGAGATGGAGTCTCGCTCTGTTGCCCATGCTGGAGGGCAATGGCACGATCTTGGCTCACTGCAACCTCTCCCTCCTGGGTTCAGGCAGTTCTCCTGCCTCAGCCTCCCTAGTAGCTGGGACTACAGACGTGCTCTACCACGCCTGGCTAATTTTTGTATTTTTAGTAGAGATGGGGTTTCACCATGTTGGCCAGGATGGTCTCGAACTCCTGACCTCAGGTGATCTGCCGGCCTCAGCCTCCCAAAGTGCTGGGATTACAAGCGTGAGCCACCGCCCCTGGCCCTCATTGTGGTTTTGATTTGCATTTCCCCTAATGATTAGTGATGTTGGGGCTATCTTTTCATGTTTATTGACCATTTGTATATCTTCTTTGGACAAGTGTCTATTCAAGTCCTTTGTTCATTTCTTCCAGGTTGTTATTTTGTTGTTGATTGAGTTTTAGGAGTTCTTTATGTACTCTAGATGTTAATCCCTTATCAGATATATGATTTGTAAATATTTTTTCCCATTTTGTGGGTTGTCTTTTCACTCTGTTGATAGTATTCTTTGATGCACAAAAGTTTTAAATTTTTTTTAATTAAATTCTTTTTTTTTTTTTTTAGAGACGAGGTCTCGCTATTTTGCCCAGCTGGACTTGAACTTCTGGGCTCAAGAGATCCTCCCACCTCAGCCTCCCAAGTAGCTGGGACTACAGGCACATGCTACTGTGCCTGGCCAAAAGTTTTTAATTTTGATGAAGTCCAAATTTATTTTTTGTTTTGTTTTGTTTTGGTATTATATCCAAGAAATTATTGTCAAATCCATTGTCTGAATACATTACCCCTATGTTTTCCTCTAATAATTTTTTTTTTTTCAAGACGGAGTCTTGCTCTGTCGCCCAGGCTGGAGTGCAATGGTGTGATCTCAGCTCACTGCAACCTCCGCCTCCCAGGGTCAAGTAATTTTCCTGCCTCAGCCTTCCGAGTAGCTGGGATTACAGGCATGCACCACCACGCCCGGCTAATTTTTTGTATTTTTAGTAGAGATGGGGTTTCACCATGTTGGCCGGGCTGGTCTTGAACTCCTGACCTCAGGTGATCCACCTGCCTCGGCCTCCCAAAGTGCTGGGATCACAGGTGTGAGCCACTGTGCCCGGCCTTCCTCTAATAATTTTATAATTTTAGCTCTTAGGTTTAGTTCCTTGCTTCATTTTGAGTATGTTTTTGTATATGGTATGAGGTAGGAGTCCATCTTTTTTCTTTTACATGTGGATATCCAGTTTCCCCAACATCATTTGTTGAAAAGACTTTCCTTTCCCCATTGAGTGATCTTGGGACTCTTGTTGAAAATCATTTGACCATGTATGGGAGAGTTAAATATTTTAGCTTTTAAAAAGTTTTCCTTCTAATTGTAAAAATACATGTTTTCTGTAGTAAATTTACAAAAGAGGAATTCCCCCATCCACCAGAAAATAACCATACTACATAGAAATAACTACTGTTTTTTTTTGGTGGGGGGATGGAGTCTGGCTCTGTTTCCCATGGAGTGCTGTGCCACGATCTCGGCTCACTGCTGCAACCTCCACCTCCCGGGTTCAAGCGATTCTCCTGACTCAGTCTCCCGAGTAGCTGGGACTATAGGCACGCACCACCATGCCCAGCTAATTTTTGTATTTTTAGTAGAGACGGGGTTTTGCTGCTGTGTTGGCCAGGCTATTCTCAAACTAGTGACCTCAAGTGATCGGCCTGTGTCAGCCTCCTAAACTCCTGGGATTAAAGGCATGAGCCACCATGCCCAGCCCTATAACTACTGTTAATAGTTGGTAAATTTCAGTTCAGGTTTTTTCTGTGCATAATTTATTTATGTGTACACATTTTTAATAGAAATGGGATCATACATATGTACTGTTTTATGTTTTTAATTTAAAACATAAAGAACTTTTCTAGGCTGGGTGCGGTGGCTCATGCCTGTAATCCCAGCACTTTGGGAGGCTGAGGCAGGCAGATCATGAGGTCAGGAGTTTTGAGACAAGCCTGACCAACATGGTGAAACCCCGTCTCGACCAAAAACACAAAAATTGGCCGGGCGTGGTGGTGGGTGCCTGTAATCCCAGCTACTCAGGAGGCTGAGGCAGGAGAATCGCTTGAACCCGGGCGGTGGAGGTGCAGTGAGCCGAGATCATGCCATTGTACTCCAGCCTGGGCAACAAGAGTGAAACTCCATCTGAAAAAAGAGAAAATAAAAGTTTTATTTATTTATTTATTTATTTATTTTTTGAGACAGAGTCTTGCTCTGTCACCCAGGCTAGAGTGCACTTTTCTTTTCTTTTTTCTTGAGATGGAGTTTCGCTCTTGTTGCCCAGGCTGGAGTGCAGTGGCGTGATCTTGGCTCACTGCAACCTCCGCCTCCTGGATTCAAGCGATTCTCCTGCCTCAGCCTCCTGAGTAGCTGGGAACTACAGGCGCCCACCAGCACACCTGGCTAATTTTTTTCTTTTTTTGTATGGAGTCTTGCTCTGTCACTAGGCTGGAGTGCAGTGGCAGATCTCAGCTCACTGCAACCTCCGCCTCCTGGGTTCAAGTGATTCCCCTGCCTCAGCCTCCCAGGTAGCTGGGATTACAGGCACGTACCACCACGCCCGGCTAATTTCTTTGTATTTTAGTAGAGACAGGGTTTAACCATGTTGGCCAAGATGGTCTCGATCTCCTGACCTCGTGATCCGCCTGCCTCGGCCTCCCAAAGTGCTGGGATTACAGGCGTGAGCCACCGTGCCCGGCCACACCTGGCTAATTTTTGTATTTTTAGTTGAGATGGGGTTTCACCATGTTGGCCAGGCTGGTCTTGAACTCCTGACCTCAAGTGATCCGCCTACCCCGGTTTCCAAAAGTCCTGGGATTACAGGTGTGAGAAACTTTTTATGTTTAAATGTTTTATAAATTGGCCAGGCACAGTGGCTCTCACCTGTAATCCCAGCACTTTGGGAGTCTGAGGCAGGCAGATCACTTGAGCTCACGAGTTCGAGACCAGCCTGGGCAATATAGTAAAACCCATCTCTACAAAAAAAAATATGAAAAAAATTAGCCAGGCAAGGTGACATGTGCCTGTGGTTGCAGCTTCTCAGGAGGCTGAGGTAGGAGGAATGCTTTAGCCCAGGAGGTGGAGTTTTCAGAGAGCTGAGATCACACCACAGCACTCCAGCCTGGGTGACAGGGCGAGACCCTCTCTCTCTCCCCTGCCAAAAAAAATTCTACAAATTGCTTTTTAAAATTAGTTTTTATTATTAGAGTTTTAACAGCACATAATTTTAAAAGTTTAATGGTTATATACAAGTTGTTATTGAAAAAGGAGTCTTCTGGCTTCTCCACTGTGTCCCATTTTCATCCTTTGGGAAGTATTCACTTTCAGTACTTTTGGTATTTACCTCCACATCTCAAACTAAGATGCTTGTGTTACTGCTGATTAATTTTTCAGTTGTAGTCATTATCTACCAGCTTTCCACTATGGAAGATGATTTAACTTTTTCACTGCCCATCTCATTCCTACTACACATGCACAGTTAGATCCTTTTATTTTTCCAATAATGTTATATCTTAATTTTGGTTAGGCCAGTAGTCAGAGTTTAGGCCAGTACTCAGAGTTTAATTTTGGTTAGGCCAGTACTTAGAGTTTAAGTTATTATGACTCTGTCAATGCTTTTTTTTTCTTTTTCTTTTTTTTTTTCTTTTTGAGACAGAGTCTCACTCTGCCGCCCAGGCTGGAGTGCAGTGGCACGATTGGCTCTCTGCAACCTCTGCCTCCCGAGTAGCTGGGACTACAGGTGCATGCTACCGTAACTGGCTATTTTTTGTATTTTCTTTAGAGACGGAGTTTTGCCATGTTGGTCCCGAACTCCTGATCTCAGGTGATCTTCCTGCCTCAGCCTCCCAAAGTGCTGGATTACAGGTATCAGCCACTGCACCTGGCCAGAAGTACAGTATTTTCTGTTTGGTCTGGTCATGGATCAGTTATGGCAAAATGAGTGGTTTAAACGACCATTATCATGACAACTTGAACCTTGATTACTCATTTGAGGAGTTGTTTGTCATCCCCTTACCCATTTACTTGAGAAGGCCGTCATAAGCAGTTAGCCTCGACATCCCTGGCTCAGCCTCCTAAGTAGCTGGGACAACAGGCACGCACCATCACACCTGGCTAATTTTTTATACTTTTTATAGATATGGAGTTTCACCAAGTTTTCCAGGCTGATTTCAAACTCTTGGGCTCAATGGATCTGCCTGCCTTGGCCTCCCAAAGTGCTAGGATTACTGCCATGAGCCGCTGCGCCTGGATGGTTATCTCTTTTTTTGAGTAGTGAAGCTGATTGGAAGTTCCGTGTGTGTGTGTGTGTGTGTGTGTGTGTGTGTGTGTGTGTGTACCACTACTGGTATAAGTTCAGTTTTCTCAGATTCATTAAATCAGTTACCTCTTGTACATCTTCTGTCCAACTTGCAAATTTTTATCATTGTCTCCTGTCTTGTATGGGTTTTCCTTGTGAATTTATTCAAAGAAAAATGCCTAAAACACATCTTATGTTCTCAATAAATACTTGTCGAATGGATGAATGTTGCTATTGTCCTTCCAAGACCAGCTAATCAATAATGGCATCCTTTCCTTTTAGCCCAGACTTTGCTTCAGGATCCTTCTCAACTTAATGTGTCAGGCTGCCCTGGAGATCAGATCTTTTTCCCACCCTGTCTAAAAGGCTAGGGAGCATGACTTACTCATCTCGTATTTCCTTCAGCTATTGTCGGGGTTCTTGTCAAATGTTTGTTTATTGAAAGAATGATTGGTAAAATTTCAGATAGTAGAGTATTAAAAAGTGTTCACTCATTCAAATATATACCATAAATCAAGGTTATTAATAGTAAAAAAAATGATTATAGATCTCTGTTACATAATCTAGCCATTCCCAAACTCTCAGGACGTCTTACTAATCTTAAAAATTATTGGTACTCTAAATATTCTTTTTCTTTAACATAGATTTATATCTATTGATAGTTACTGTATTAAAAACTAAAAGTGGCCAGGTGCAGTGGCTCACACCTGTAATCCCAGCACTTTGGGAGGCCGAGGCGGGTGAATCACGAGGTCAAGAGTTCAAGACTAGCCTGGCCAACATGGCGAAACTCTATCTCTACTAAAAATACAAAAATTAGCCAGGTGTGGTGGCAGGCGCCTGTAATCCCAGGTACCCGGGAGGCTGAGGCAGGAGAATCGCTTGAACTCGGGAGGTGGAGGTTGCAGTAAAATGAGATCGTGCCACTGTACTCCAGCCTGGGCGACAAGAGCAAGAATGTCTCAAAAAAAAAAAAATCTAAAACTGAAAAATTAAAAAAATTTTAATAATAGTAAACCTATTACATGTTAAATCTTTTAGTTTTATTTATTTATTTTATTTTTTTGGAGACAGGGTCTCACTCTATTGCCCATGCTGGAGTGCAGTGGTGTGATCATGGCTCACTGCAGCCATTGACTTCCTGGCGTCTAAGTGATCCTCTTGCCTTAGCCTCCCAGTAGCTGGGACTACAGGCACGTACCACCATGCCTGGCTAATTGTTTTTATTTTAATCTTTTGTAGAAATGGGGTCTTGCTATGTTGCTTAGGCTGTTCTTAAACTCCTGGCCTCCAGCGATAGTCCTTCCTCAGCCTCCCAAAGTGCTGGGATTACAGGTGTGAGCCACCATGCCTGCCCTAAAAGTTGTATATTTACATTTAGGTCTGTGATACATTATGAGTTACATTTTGTGTAGAGTGTGAGATTTAGACAGGGGTTCTGTTTTTTACATATGGAAATACAATTGTTTCAACATAATTTGTTGAGAAGACTATCTTTTCTGTATTATTATTATTACTATTATTATTATTGTTTTGAGACAGAGTTTTGCTCTGTCACCAGGCTGGAGTGTAATGGCACGATCTCAGCTCACTGCAACCTCTGCCTCCCGGGTTCAAGCAATTCTCCTGCCTCAGCCTCCCGAGTAGCTGGGATTACAGGCATGTGCCACCATACCCAGCTAATTTTGTATTTTTAGTAGAGACAGGGTTTCTCCATGTTGGTCAGGGTGGTCTCGAACTCCTCACCTCAGGTTATCCACTTGAGGCCTCGGCCTCCCAAAGTGTTGGGATTACAGATGTGAGCCACCACACCCGGCCTGTCTTTTCTGTGTTGAATTGCCTTTGCATCTTTGTCAAATATCATTTGGCCCAGAATAGGCAAATCCATACAGACAGAAAGATTTAGTGATTTCCAGGGGCTGAGAGAAGAAGGGAATGGGGAGTGACTGCTAATGGGTATGGGGTTTTGTTTTGGGATGGTGAAAATGTTCTGGGATTAGATAGTGGTAATGGAATCTTTTTGATGGCCAGGTGTGGTGGCTCACACCTGTAATCCCAGCACTTTCGGAGGCTGAGGTGGGCAGATCACAAGGTCAGGAGATCGAGGCCATCCTGTCTAACACGGTGAAACCCCGTCTCTACTAAAAATACAAAAAATTAGCTGGGCGTGGTGGCAGGCGCCTGTAATCCCAGCTACTTGGGAGGCTGAGGCAGGAGAATGGCGTGAACCCGGGAGGCGGAACTTGCAGTGAGCTGAGATCCTGCCACTGCACTCCAGTCTGGGTGACAGAGCGAGACTCCATCTCAAAAAAAAAAAAAAAATCTTTTTGATGTATACATTCTATTTTTTTTCTTTCTAACTTTTATTTTAGGTCCAAGGGGTACATGTGTAGATTTGTTCCATGGGTAAATATGTGTCTTAGTGGTTTGGTGTACAGATTATTTTGTCACCCAGGTAATACACATAGTATCCAATAGGTAGTTTGTTGATCCTGACCCACTTCCTACCCTGTACCCTCAATGGACTGTTTTTCTGTTTCATGTGTTTATATTTCTGTCCTTTTGCAGATAGCTCACTGATCTGATTACTGTAGCTTTATACAGTAAGACTTAAAATCATGTAGTGTGTTTCCTCCAACTTTATTTTTTAATAAAGATTTTGGGTAATTTTTGCTTATCCACATAGATTTTAGAGTCAGCTTATTTATATGAAACATTCTGCTTAGATTTCAATTGGAATTGTGTTAAAACTGACAGTTTGTGTGAACTTTGTTTTTTTAGATGCCTTTTATTAGGTTTAGAAAATTCTCTTCTATTCCTAGTTTGCTGAGAGTTTTATACCATGAATGAATATTGAATTTTGTCAAATGCTTCTCCTGTATCAAATGATAGGTCATGTGGTTTTCATTTTTAGACTATTAATCTGCTGTACTGCATGAATTGATTTTTGAATATTGAGTCAGCCTTGCATCCCCAGGATAAACCATACCGGATTGTGGTGTATTATTCGTTTTATGTATTGCTGGATTCAGTTTGCTACTACTTTATGAGGAATTTTCATGTTTGTGTTTATAAGGGATATGGGTCTCTTATTTTTTGTTTTCTTTTTGAGACAGGTCTCACTCTGCTGCCCAGCCTGGAGTGCAGTGATGGTATCTTGGCTTACTGCAACCTTGACTTTCCTGGGCTCAGGTGATCTTCCCACTTTAGCCTCCTGAGTAGCTGAGGCTACAGGTGTGCATCACCATGTCCAGCTAATTTTTAGTATTTTTTGTAGAGATAGGGTTTCACCATGTTGCCTAGGCTGGTCTCAAACTCCTGGGCTCAAGAAATCCACCCGCCTTCGCCTCCCACAGTACTAAGATTACAAACATGAGCCACAATGCCCATCCTTTGACTAGTTTTAATATCAAGTTAATGCTGGACTCATAAAATGAGATGGGAAGTGTTTTTTCCTCTTCTTTTTTGGAGAGATTGTATAAAATTTGTTTCATTTTTTCTTTAAATGTTTAGTAGAATTTGCCATTGGAAAAAAAATCTAGGCCTGTATTAGTCCATTCTCACACTGCTAATAAAGACTTACCTGAGACTGGGTAATTTGTAAAGAAAAAGAGGTTTAATGGACTCATAGTTCCATATGACTGGGGAAGCCTCACAATCATAGTGAAAGGCAAAGGAGGAACAAAGGCACATCTTACATGGCAGCAGGCAAGAGAGCGTGTGCAGGGGAACTGCCTTTTATAAAACCATCAGATCTCATGAGACTCACTCACCATCATGAGAACAGCATCATGGCAGTAACTGCCCTCATGATTCAGTTACCTCCCACTAGATCCCTCCCATGACATGTGGGGGATTATGGGAACTACAAGATGAGATTTGGGTAGGGACACAGCCAAACCATATCATGCCCATATTTTTTTAGTAGGACTATTAAGGAGGTCCCTTTCACCTTGGGTGAATTGTGGTAGTTTGTAGTTTTTGATGGTTGTCTGTGTTCACTTTCTGTGTATAATGTTGTTCATTATGTTTCCTAATTATATATTTATGTCTGTGGAGTCTATAGTGATAACCCCTGTTTCATTCCTAATATTGATTATTTGTGAGTTCTTTTTTCCCAGATTTCCTAAAAGGTTATAAATTGTATTGATCTTTATAAAGAGCTGGCTTTTGGTCTCATTGATTTTTTTTTTTCTATGACGTTTCTGGTTTTAATTTCATTGTTATTATTTTGTCTTTTGTTTCCTCTGCTTGTTTTGGGTTTAGTTTGTTTGTCTTTTCCCCCTAGGTGGAAGCTTATAGTTTTAATTTGAAACTTCCGTGCTTATTTTCAATTTAAAAATTATTTTAATATTATATATATATTTTAAGAGACAGCATCTCTGTCACCTAGGCTGGAGTGCAATGGAGTGATCATACCTCATTGGAGCCTCAACCTTCTGTGCTTAAATTATCCTCCCGCCTCAGCCTCTTGAGTAGCTAGGACTACAGGCACCCACCACATGCAGTTAAGTTTTTTAAAAAAATTTTTGTAGTAACAGGGTCTTGATAGGTTGCCCAGGCTGGTCTTGAACTCCTGGCCTCAAGTCCTCCTGCCTTGGCCTCCCAAAGTGTTGGGATTATAGGCCTAAGTCACTGCACCTGGCCTCATTTTTCATATAAGCTTTCAGTGCTATAGTTTTTCCTCTAACCATTGCTTTAGCTGCATATCATATGTTTTATTTTCCTTTTTGTTCAATTCAAATATTTTCTAATTTGCCTGGGGACTTTGTCTTTAACCATGGCTTATTTGGAACAGGCATTGGCAAACATTTTGGTTTTTTTTCTTTCTTTCTTTTTTTTTTTTTTTTTGAGACAGAGTCTTGCTCTGTCACCCAGGCTGGAATGCAGTGGCATGATCTTGGCTGACTGCATACTCCGCCTCCCGGGTTCCAGAGATTTCTCCTGCCTCAGCCTCCCAGGTAGCTGGGATTGCAGGCACACACCACCACACCTGGCTAATTTTTGTATTTTTAGTAGAGACAGGGTTTTACCATGTTGACCAGGCTGGTCTTGAACTCCTGACCTCAGGTGATCCGCCTGCCTCAGCTTCCCAAAGTGCTGAAATTACAGGCGTGAGCCACCGTGCCCGGCTTTTTTTTTTTTTTTTTTTTTTTTGAGACAGGGTCTTGCTCTGTCATCCAGGCTAGAGTGCAGTCTTACAATCACAGCTCACTGCAGCCTCAACTTCCTGGCTCAAGAGATCCTCCCACCTCAGCCTTCTGAGTAGCTGGGACCACAGATGAGTGCCACACACCTGGCTAATTTTTATATTTTTTGTGGAGACAGTGTCTTGCCATGTTGCTTAGGTTGGTCTTGAACCCCTGAGCTCAATCAATCCACCTGCCTCGGCCTCCCAAAATGCTGGGACTACAGGTGTGAGCCCCCGTGCCCAGCCAAACATTTTATTAAAGGTCCAAATAATAAATATGTTAGGCCTAAGTGTAATACCGTCTGTGTTGCAGTTATTTAACTCTGCTCTAGTAGTATAAAATCAGCCATACACAACATATAAATGAATGAGCATGGCTTAGTTCCAATAAAGTGTTATTTATATAAAAATCAGGCACCTTGCCCTGTTGTTATAGTTTAATTTCCAAGTGTTTGTATTCTTGTTATCTTGCCGTTATTGATTTCTAGCTTAATAACATTAAGCTAGAATATACTAGCTTGTTATCAGAGAGCATAGTATGTATGATTTCCGTTCTTTTAAATTTGCAAAATTTGTTTTGTGACCTGGGATATTATATAGTCTTTTGGTGTACGTTCCTTGTGAGTTTGAATGTGTATTCCACTTTTGTTGGGTGGAGTGTTCTGTAAATGTCAGTTCCAGTTGTTTGATGGTTGTTTTTGATTAAGTTCACTGACATCATCTGGGTGTCCTATAATTCGCTTTAATTCTGTCACTAATTGCGTCAAGTTAATGCAGACCTCACAGGTTACAGGGCTCAGTCCCACAAAGCTGCCTTCACTTCAGACTGGAGCCACAAGCCACTCAAATTTTCCCTGGTTGAGTATAAGTTTGGGCCTTCCCACAATCCCCTTGGGTTTAATAATTTGCTTAGAATGACTCACAGAGTTCATGAAAGTGCTATACTTAAAATTACCTTTTTATTATAAAGGATACAAATGAACAATCAGATGAAGAGGACTATATGATAAGTTTGTAAGGCTCCCAAGCACGGGAGCTTCTCTACTTGTGGAGCCAGGGTACACCACCCTCTTGGTACATCAGTATGTTCACCAACCAGGAAGCTCCCTGAGCCTTGTAGTTCAGAGTTTGTTTTTTTTTTTCTTTTTTATCCAGCTGAATTTAAGATTTACAGAGTTTTTAATATACAGAGTTCAGGGCTGGGCACAGTGGCTCATGCCTGTAATCCCAGCACTTTAGGAGACTGAGGTGGGAGGATCGATTGAGTCTAGGAGTTCAAGACCAGCTTGGGCAACATACCCAGACTCTGTCTCTACAAAAAAGTAAAATGAGCTGGGTGTGGTGGCACATGCATGTAGTCTAGCTACTTGGGAAGCTGAGATGGGAGTACTGCTTGAGCCCAGGAGTTTGAGGCTGCAATGAGCTATGTTTGCACCACTGCACTCCAGCCGGGGCGACAGTGAGACCCCATCTCTTAAAAAAAAAAAAAAAAAAAAAAGTCGGGCATGGTGGCTCACGCCTGTAATCCCAGCACTTTGGGAGGCCGAGGTGGGTGGATCACCTGAGGTCAGGAGTTCAAGACCAGCCTGGCCAAACATGGTAAAACCCCCCGTCTCTACCAGAAATACAAAAAAATTAGCCGGGCGTGGTGGTGCACACCTGTAATCCCAGCTACTCACAAGGCTGAGGCAGGAGAATCGCTTGAACCCTGGAGGCAGAGGTTGCAGTGAGCCAAGATTGCGCCAGTGCACTCCATCCTGGGCAAAAGGAGTGAGACTCCATCTCAAAAAACAAACAAAAAGAGCTTATTACGTAGGCATGGTTGATTAAATCATTGGCCATGTGATTGAACTCAATCACTAGTAACTCTTTTCCTGGAAGTTGGGAGGTGGAGATGAAGGTTCTAGTCATGTAGTCATATGCTTTCAGGTGACAGCCCCCATCCTGAAGCTTGGAGTCACTTCATTAGCATAACAAAGGCATTCATATCACTTAGGAAATTCCAAGCACTGCCAGGAATTTGGAAATGAATACCAATCCTCTGACACAAAAATGTAAGATAGGAAAAAATAAACTGTTCTTACTACTATACTGAATACTTCTGGCAAATGACAGAGAAGTGCAATTTGCTAGAATGGCTCTCAGAACTCAGGAAAACACTTCATTTATGCTTACTGGTTTATTATCTAATAAGGATATAAATGAGGATACAGGTGAAGAGATACATAGGGCAAAGTCTGGAAGGATCCTCAGAGCAGGAGTTTCTTTCCTCATGAAGTTAGGATACACTACCCTCACAACATATGGATATGCTTATTGTCTCATGTCCATATGAAGAGGCCACCAAACAGGTTTGTGTGAGCAACAAGGCTGTTTATTTCACCTGGGTGCAGGTAGGCTGAGTCCGAAAAGAGAGTCAGCAAGGGTTGTGGGATTATCATTAGTTCTTACAGGTTTTGGGATAGGTGGTGGAGTTAGGAGCAATGTTTTGCAGGCAGGGGGTGGATCTCACAAAGTACATTCTCAAGGGTGGGGAGAATTACAAAGAACCTTCTTAAGGGTGGGGGAGAAACAAATCACAATGGTGGAATGTCATCATCTAAGGCAATTTTCACTTCTTTTGTGGATCTTCAGTTGCTTCAGGCCATCTGGATATATACGTGCAGGTCACAGGAGATATGGTGGCATAGCTTGGGCTCAGAGGCCTGACATTCCTGTCTTCTTATATTAATAAGAAAAATACAACAAAATAGTGAAGTGTTGGAGTGGCGAAAAATTTTGGGGGTGGTATGGAGAGATAATGGGCAATGTTTCTCAGGGCTGCTTTAAGTGGGATTGGGGTGGCGTGGGAACCTAGAGTGGGAGAGATTAAGTTGAAGGAAGATATTGGGGTAAGGAGTGATATTGTGGGGTTGTTAGAAGGAGCATTTGTCGTGTAGAATGATTGGTGATGGCTTGGATGCGGTTTTGTATCAATTGAGAAACTAAACGGAAGATACAAGGTCTGAATAAAAGAAGGAGAAAAATAGATATTAAAGGACTAAGAATTGGGAGGACCCAAGACATCCACTTAGAGACTGCCCAAGGGGGTTTAGCGTAATTACTTGCTTGGTTGGCGAGTTTTTGGGAAAAGACCATTAGTCCGTTTTACCTTTCCTGAAGATTGAGGACGGTAAGGGGTATGAAGATTCCACTGAATACCAAGAGCCTGAGAAACTGCTTGGGTGATTTGACTAATAAAGGCCGGTTTGTTATTGGACTGTATAGAGGTGGGAAGGCCAAACTGAGGAATTATGTCCAACAGAAGGGAAGAAATGACCACGGTGGCCTTCTCAGATCCTGTGGGAAAGGCCTCTATCCATCCAGTTAAAGTATCTACCCAGACCAAGAGGTATTTTAGTTTCCTGACTCAAGACATGTGAGTAAGGTCAATTTGCCAGTCCTGGGCAGGGGCAAATCCCTGAGCTTGATGTGTAGGGAAGGGAGGGGGCCTGAATAATTCCTGAGGAGTAGTAGAATAGCAGATGGAACACTGAGAAGTGATTTCCTTGAGGATAGATTTCCATGATGGAAAGGAAATGAGAGGTTCTAAGAGGTGGGCTAGTGGCTTATAACCTACATGGAAGAGATTATGAAATGAAGACAGAATAGAATGGGCCTGTGAGGCTGGAAAGAGATATTGTCCTTGGTCCAAGGACCATTTGTCTTGTGTGAGAAGAGATTGATAGGTGGAAACTTCAGTAGGAGAGTAAATAGGAGTGACCAATGAGAAGGAGAAAAACTGGCCATGAGGGACAGAAGTTGGAATGCTAGCTGCTTCTTTAGCTACCTTATCAGCATAAGTGTTGCCCTGAGCGATGGGATCTGATGCCTTTTGATGGCCGTTGCAGTGAATGACTCCAGCTTCCTTTGGAAGTAAAGAGGCCTTGAGAAGAGTTTCTATTAAAGAGACATCAATGATGGAGGACCCTTGTGTAGTGAGGAAACTTTTCAGCCCATAACAGCATGGTGGTGCAGGATATGGGGTCAGTATAAATATTGATGCATAGTCCCTTTGCAAGAGTGAGGGCCCGAGTTAAGGCAATGAGTTCGGCTTGCTGAGAGGTAGTGGAGGGGGCAGAGCAGTAGCCTCAATGATAGATATGGAAGCTACTATAGCATAGCCTGCCTTTGCTTGTGAGTGGCGATTAGGCTTGGTTGGACTGCCATCGATAAACCAAGTGTGTTCTGGGTGAGGAACAGGAAAGAAGGAAATATGGGGAAATGGAGTGAATGTCAGGTGTATCAGAGAGATACAGTCACGGGGGTCAGGTGTGGTATCAGGAATAATGTGGGAGGATGGATTGAAGTCCGGGCCAGGAATAATGGTAATTGTGGGAGACTCAACGAAGTGTGAGTATAGCTGAAGGAGCTGGGGAGCAGAAAGTATATGTGTCAGGTGGGAGGAAGAAAATAGATTTTGGAAGTTATGAGAACTGTAGAGAGTGAGCTGAGCATAGTTTGTGATTTTGAGGGCCTCTAAAAGTATTAAAGCAGTGGTGGTCACTGCACGCAGAGATGAGGGGTAGGCTAAAACAGTAAGGTCAAGTTGTTTGGACAGAAAGGCTACAGGGTGCAGTCCCGGCTCTTGTGTAAGAATTCTGACCGCACTAACCATGCCTAGGAAGGAAAGGAGTTGTTATTTCATAGAAGGGATTGGGGTTTGGGAGATTAGCTGGACACGATCAGCGGGAGAGCACGTGTGTTTTCATGAGAATTATGCCGAGGTAGGTAACAGATGAGGAAGAAATTTGGGCTTGACTGAAGTAATGGAGGCTGTCTGTGAAGCTTTGCGGCAGTACAGCCCAGGTAATTTGCTGAGCCTGATGGGTGTCAGGGTCAGTCTAAGTGAAAGTGAAGAGAGACTGTGATGAAGGGTGCAAAGGAATAGTGAAAAAAAAGCATGTTTGAGATCTAGAACAGAATAATGGGTTGTGGAGGGAGGTATTTAGGATAGGAGAGTGTATGGGTTTGGCACCACAGGGTGGATAGGCAAAACAATTTGGTTGATAAGGCGCAGATCCTGGACTAACCTGTAAGACTGGTCCAGTTTTTGGACAGGTAAAATGGGGGAATTATAAAGAGAGTTTATAGGCTTTAAAAGGCCATGCTGTAACAGGCAAGTGATAACAGGCTTTAATCCTTTTAAAGTGTGCTGTGGGATGGGATATTGGCGTTGAGCGGGGTAAGGGTGATTAGGTTT
The DNA here is from genome assembly GCF_000001405.40 of Homo sapiens. Classification (NCBI taxonomy): domain Eukaryota; kingdom Metazoa; phylum Chordata; class Mammalia; order Primates; family Hominidae; genus Homo; species Homo sapiens. The sequence continues at coordinate 42,887,428 of NC_000015.10, read as the reverse complement.
TAATGGGATGGCAAGGGGTGCATCATTTATTGCCAAGGAGGGAGTAGAGGTATCCTATACTTGTGGATTAAGGTGGGGAGATACAAGGAGAGGATGTGAAGGAGTCTTTGAACTGGGGAAAAAGGCAGCAATGAGGTGTGGCTATAGCCCGGGAATAGTCAGGGAAGCAGATAATTTAGTTAAAATGTCTTGACCTAATAAGGGAGCTGGGCAGGTGGGGATGACCAAAAAGGAGTGCATTAAAGAATGTTTTCCAAGTTGGCCCCAGTGTTGGGGAGTATAAAGAGGTTTAGAAGGCTGGCTGTCAATACCCACAACACTTATGAAGGCAAGGGAAACAGGCCCTTGAAAAGAAGGTAATGTGGAGTGGGTAGCGTCCGTATTGATTAAGAAGGGGACGGACTTACCCTCCATTGTAAGAGTTACCCAAAGCATCTGAGGCTTCCAAGGAGATTGGGCAGTGTGTCTTCAGCTGCTAAGCCAAGAAGATCTGGGAAGGAGTAAGTCAGAGCCTTGGGCCAGTTGGACAGTCCAATTTCCAGTGGCGTCCCTCACAGATGGGACACGACTTAAGAGGAATCCCAGGCTGTGGGCATTCCTTGGCCTAGTGGCCAGATTTCCGGCACTTGAAGCAAGATCCTGGGGGAGGAAGTCCTGAAGGAACGCCTGACCGCTGTGGCTTAGGCGTTTTGAAGTTTTTGTGTGCTGGAGATATGGCTGGGGTTTTCTCTCACAGCAGAGTCAAGTAGTTGCAACTCTTCTCTATTACTGTACACCTTGAAGGTGAGGTTAATTAGGTCCTGTTGTGGGGTTTGAGGGCCGGAATCTAATTTTTGGAGTTTTTCTAATGTCGGGAGCGGATTGGGTAATAAAATGCATATTAAGAATAAGGCAGCCTCTGGCCCGCCTGGGTCTAGGGCGGTAAAGCGTCTAAGAGTTGCTGCCAAACGGGCCATGAACTGGCCTGGGTTTTTGTATTTGATGAAAAAGAGCCTAAATGCTAACTGATTTGGGAGAGGTCAGATAAAGAAAAAAGGAGCATTAACCTTGAGTATGCCTTTAGCTCCAGCCACCTCTTTAAGAGGAAATTGTTGGGCAGGTGGGAGAGGGCTAGTCGCAGAACAAAACCATAAGCCAGACTGGGTGTGGGGAGGGGAGGTGATAGAAGGGTTATAGGGTGGGAGAGCAGAAGCTGAAGAAGAATTGGGACCTGGCTTGGCCTGGCGAGGAGCAGCCTGGGGAGAAGGGGAGAGGTCAGATGAGTCCGTAGAAAAGAAGGATTCAGAGGACTCAGAGCTTGGGGTGGAGACTGAAGGAACAGATAGGACAGAAAGAAGAAAGATTTGGAATGAGTCTCATTGGGAACAAATACTAGGGAGGGACCAATGTGTAAAAGATTGCCTGGACGTCAGGCACCTCAGACCATTTGCCCATTTTTTGACAAACATTATCTAGATCTTGCAGGATAGACAAATCAAAAGTGCCATTCTCTGGCCACTTGGAACTACTGTCGAGTTTGTATTGGGGCCAAGCGGTATTGCAGAAGGAAATAAAACGCTTAGATTTTAGGTCAGGCGAGAGTTGAAGAGGTTTTAAGTTCTTGAGAACACAGGCTAAGGGAGAAGAAGGAGGAATGGAGGGTGGAAGGTTGCCCATAGTGAAAGAGGCAAGTTTAAAGAGAAGGGTAGAGACATGGAGAGAAGGGGTGGGGAGTGCTTGCCCCCCAGGAAAGTGGAGAAGGGGTAGAGACACCAAAAGAAGAGGTCGGGGGGTACTTGCCCCCCAGAAAGGCGGTGCTTGCTGCTAAGGGTGAAGGACCAAGGCAGGTGACCCTGCATGGTCAGACACCTCTGAAACGTGGGTGAATAATCAGGCAGGCGTCCCTGCAATGATTAAACACCAAGGGAATGCTGCCTTCCTGAGTCCGTGACTGGTGCCGGAGTTTTGGGTCCACGGATAAAATGTGTCTCCTTTGTCTCTACCAGAAATGAAAGGAATTGAAATTAAGAGAAGGAGAGATTGAAGGGTGACGCCAAGATTGAAAGGAGAAAGAGGTTGAGGGGTAGTGAGAGAGGTTGGAGAGTAAAAAGGGCTGCTTACCCGATTTAAAATCGGTGAGATGTTCCTTGGGCTGGTTGGTCTGAGGACCTGAGGTGATAGGTAGATCTCTTCACGGAGTGAGGGTGAGGACAGGGGACTGGTCTCCCGAAGGAGTCCTGCTGACCCAGGTCTTTGGCACCAAATGTCTCACGTGTCTGTGTGAAGAGACCACCAAACAGCCTTTGTGTGAGCAACAAGGCTGTTTATTTCACCTAGGTGCAGGTGGGCTGAGCCCGAAAAGAGAGTCAGCAAGGGTGGTGGGATTATCATTAGTTCTTATAGGTTTTGGGATAGGTGGTGGAGTTAGGAGCAATGTTTTGTGGGCGGGGGATAGATCTCACAAAGTACATTCTCAAGGGTGGGAAGAATTACAAAGAATGTTCTTAAGCGTGGGGGAGATTACAAAGAACCTTATTAAGGGTGGGGGGAAACAAATCACAATGGTGGAATGTCATCAGCTAAGGCTATTTTCACTTCTTTTGTGGATCTTCAGTTGCTTCAGGCCATCTGGATGTATACGTGCAGGTCACAGGGGATATGATGGCTTAGCTTGGGCTCAGAGGCCTGACACTTATTAGTTTCCAAAACTTGTGCTTTTGTGTTTTTAATGGAGACTTCATTAAGGCCTGATTGATTAAACCATTAGCCATTGGAAATCTACTCAACCTTCAGCATCTCTCTCCTCCCCAGAGCTTGTGAGTGGGGCCGAAAGTTCCAGCCCTCTAATCACAGGGTTGGTTCCCCTGGCAACCAGCCGTCTATCTTTAAAGGTTTCCTAAAGTCACCTCATTAACAAAATCCCAGATGTGGTTGAAAGGGGCTTGTTATGAATAACAAAATTCACTCCTATCATCTTTTATCTATCTGGAGCTATTTCAGGAACCGAGTATAAAAACCAAATATTATACCAAAAGATGCTCCTAGCACCCCAGTCACTTCAGAAATTACAAGGGCTTTATGAGCGCTGAACAAGAACCAGGGACAAAGACCAAATATTTATATTTCTTATTATTAATATAAGCCACAATATCACAACCAAATATATTTTACAATTATACCCCAATGGTACTGTTTTAGCTTCTGTATTCTTGACAATTTTCTGTCTAGTTATTTATTTGGGAAAAGAGTGAAGTCTTCAGTTATAGCTATGGATTTGTCTACTCCAGTTATAACCACGGATTTGTCTGTTTCTCCTTTCAGTTCATTGATTTTTATTTCATGTGTTTTGATGGTCTTTTTAAGGTGCATACATGTTTATAATTTCTTTGTAAATTGGCTCTTCCATGGTTCTGTATCTCTTTTTATCTCCAGTGATTTTCTTTGCCCTGAAGTCAACACTGTCAGATATTATAATAGATACTCCAGCTTTTCTTTTGTTAATATTTGCATGGTATACTTTTTTCCCGTTTCTTTTAACCTACATAATAATAGTATTATTTTTGTTATTATTTTCAGTGGTATTTAAGTATATTCACTTTAACCTACATATTATTTTTGAAGTGAGTTTCTTATAGAATCATATTTATCCTGCTAATCTCTGTCTTTTCAGTGGTGTGTTTATGCCATTTATACTTAAGGTAATTACAGGTAAGTTTGGATTCAGGTCAACCATTCTATTATTTGTTTTATGTTTGTCCCTTTATTTTTGTTCTTCTGTTTCTTTCTGTCTACTTTTGGATTATCTTAACATGTTTTGGTATTCCACTTTATTTTTATTTTTTTTGCTTTTCCTGATATCTCTTTGTGTAGTTTTTAAAGCGGTTGCTATAGGGCTTACGATATATCTACTTTTTACCATCTACTTAGAGTTATTACATTAAATATTAAATGTTATATAAATATTACATAATATGAATATTACATTACCTAAAATAACGCAGAAACCTAACCGCAATCTTGAGTCCCTTTACATGAGTCCCTTTACCATTCTACTTTTTTTTTTTTTTTTTTTGAGGTGGAGTTTCGCTCTTGTCACCCAGGCTGTAGTGCAATGGCACAATTTCGGCTCACCGCAACCTCCACCTTCTGGGTTCAATTCTCCTGCCTCAGCCTCCCGAGTAGCTGGGATTACAGGCATGTGTCACCACACCTGGCTAATTTTGTATTTTTAGAAGAGACGGGGTTTCTCCATGTTGGTCAGGCTGGTCTCGAACTCCCGACCTCAGGTGATCCACCTGCCTCAGCCTCCCAAAGTGTTGGGATTACAGGTGTGAGCCACCGCGCCCAGCCCTCTACCTTTTTTTTGGAGTAGTGTTATATCTGTTTACATTGGAAATCCCTTCAGCCAGTTTTTAATTTTTGCCTTTAACTTGCAAGCATATTTTTGAGAACTCAAGAGGAGAAAATCAGGCTCTTATACTTCCCTGGATTTCTATTGCTCTTCCTCCATTGCTGTTATTCCAGATTTTTCTGTATTATAATTACCCTTTTCTCAGAAGAACTTTCCTTGACAATTCTTTAAGAGCAGGTCTGCTGACAACACATAGTCTTAATTTTCCTTTATCTGAGAATGTCCTTATCTCTGAAGGATATTTTCTCTGCATATAGAATTGTGGGTTGACAGTTCTTTACTTTTAGTACTTTAAATATGTGTTTCTATTTCTTGCTGGCCTTTATGATTTCTGATGAGAAATCCGCAGTCAGTCAAATCATTGTTACCCTATAAGTAATATATTATTTTTATCTAGTTATCATTATTATTGTTATTATTATTTTGAGATGAAGTCTCACTGTGTTGTCCAGGCTGGAGTGCAATGGCGCAATCTTGGCTCACTGCAACCTCCAACTCCTGGGTCCAAGTGATTCTTCTGCCTCAGACTCCTGAGTATCTGGGATTACAGACATGCACCACCACACCTGGCTAATATATATATATATATATTTTGTATTTTAAGTAGAGATGAGGTTTCACCATGCTAGCCAGGCTGGTCTCAAACTCCTGACCTCAGGTGATCTGCCTGCCTTGGCCTTACGAAGTGCTGGGATTATAGGTGTGAGCCACCGTGCCTGGCTGTTTTCTAGTTATTTTTAAGTATATATTTTTTTCTGTTTAATTTTCAGCAGTTTGGTTATGATATGTTTAAGAGTTGTTTTTGTGTGTGTGTGTGTGTTGTGCTTATTGTATTCAGTCAGCTTCCTCAATCTGTTGTTTTTTTCCTTCACAAAATTTGTGAAGTTTTAGCTATTTTTTATTTTTTTCTGTCCTAAACTGTTACCTCTTCTTTTTCAACTCTAATGGCACAAATATTAGAATTTTTGGTATTGTCCCACTAGTCCCTGGGGTCTATATTCATTTATAAAAATATTTTATCTTCACATTGTGTAATTGCTATAGATTTATCTTCCAGTTTACTGACTCTTTACTCTGACACTGCCATTTTTCTATTGACCCCATCCAGTGAAATTTTAAAATTTCATTTACTGTATTTTTCACTTCTAAATTTTTTATTTTTTTTTTTGAGACAGAGTCTCGTTCTGTTGCCTAGGCTAGAGTGCAATGGTGCGATCTTGGCTCATTGCAACCTCCACCTCCTGGGTTCAAGCGATTCTCCTGCCTCAGCTTCCCGAGTAGCTGGGATTACAGGCACCTACTACCACGCCCGCTAATTTTTGTATTTTTAGTAGAGATGGGGTTTCACCATGTTGGCCAGGCTGGTCTCGAACTCCTGACCTTGTGATCTGCCTGCCTCAGCCTCCCAAAGTGCTATGATTACAGGCATGAGCCACCGCGCCTGGCCTAAAATTTTAATTTCTTTCTTTATGTCTCATTTCTTTACTGAGACTTTATATCTTTCTATTCATTTCTAGGGTGTTCACCTTTATTTTTTGGAATATTTTTCCTGATAAGTCCTAAATCTGTGTCATCTTGGCATTTGCATCTATTGATTGTGCTTTCGTATGTAAATTGAGATATTCTTGGTTCTTTGTGTGCTTGGTAATTTTGGATTGTATGCTCAACATTAAAAGGTTTTTTTTTTTTTTTGAAATTTGAGTCTTATTTAAATTCTGTGGAAAATGTTGATTTTTTTTTTTTTTTTTTTTTTTTTGAGACGGAAGCTTGCTCTGTCATCCAGGCTGGAGTGCAGTGGCACAATCTTGGCTCACTGCAAGCTCCGCCTCCCGGGTTCACGCCATTCTCCTGCCTCAGCCTCCTGAGTAGCTGGGACTATAGGCACCTGCCACCACGCCTTGCCTAATTTTTGTATTTTTAGTAGAGACAGGGTCTTGCCATAATGCCCAGGCTGGTCTCGAACTCCTGACCTCAAGAGATCTGCCTGTCTTGGCCTCCCAAAGTGCTGGGATTACAGGTATGAGCCACCATGCCCAGCTGAAGTAATTGTTTTCTGTGTGACTATGGCACAAACTCAGTATGCAATGGATGCAATGGTTTATTTTATTTTTTTTTTAATTTTTTTAGTTCCATAGGTTTTTGGGGAACAGATTGCAGTAGATTACTGGTTTCAGTTTGTTTTGAATTTTTAGAGATTGTCCTTTATTTTTAGTGTTTTTTAAAAATTTTTGTCTCTTGAACATTCCATCATTCATTTTCTGAACAAAATGCTAAATTTATTGTGTGATATACAAGGGAGAGCCATAATTGTAGGACATAATTTCTGTGAATGAAACAAACTGCCCGACCAGGTGCAGTGGTTCATGCTTATGATCCCACCATTTTGGGAGGCTGAGGTGGGAGGATCACTCAAGGCCATGAATCTGAGACCAGCCTGGGCAACATAGTGAGACCCTGTCTATTAAAAATAAACAAACAAACAATGTTATCCAGGTATGGTAGTGCGTGCCTGTAGTCCCAGCTCCTTGGGAGGCTGAGATGGGAAGATTGCTTGAGCCCAGGAGTTCAAGGATATAATGAGCTATGATTGCACCACTGCACTCCAACCTGGGTGACAGAGCAAGACTTTGTTTCAAAAGAAAAAAGAAAAGAAAAGAAACTGCTGGTCTTAAATAGGATTTGAGGAATTATGGAGTTCAGGGATTGGTGAAGTAGGAGTATTTAGGAATTGATTGACCTTTTATTATGTAAATGTGGTTATGAATTGTGGCTGTTGCTGACTGGTGACTTGCTGAAGTGATATCATTCATTCAAAGCTTCCTTTGATGGGCTTAGGATGGGTTTAACACCAGTTCTGATGATTACTTGTTGTTACGGTCCTTTCTGGAATTTGGAGTTTAGAACTTTTTTTTAATCATATGTAAAACATTTACATGGTTCAAAAATCAAAACTATACCACGAGATGCATTCACAGAAGTCTGGCTTTCTTTCTTATCCCTTCCATCCTGTTTTTCTTTTCTTTTCTTTTTTTTTTTTTTTTTGAGACAGGATCTTCTTCTGTCACCCAGGCTGGAATGCAGTGGCACCTTCACAGCTCACTGCAACCTCAACCTTCCAGGCTTATGTGATCCTCCCCGCTCAGACTCCTGAGTAGCTGGGATTACGAGTACATGCAACCACATCTGCCTAATTTTTAAATTTGTTGTAGAGACGGGATCTCCCTATGTTGGCTAGGCTGGTCTCAAACTCCCGGGCTCAAGCAACCCTCTTGCCTTAGCCTCCCAAGATGCTGGGATTACAGGTGTGAGCTACCACTCCTGGCCTGTTTTTTTTGCTATTGAGTAAAGGTTGGTAAACAGTCTGCAGGCCAAATTTGGCCCACTTTTTTTTTTTTTTGTAAATAAGATTTTGTTGGAGCACAGCCATACTCATTCGTTTACATAATTGTGTATGGCTTTTGTGCTGCAGTGGCAGAATTGAGTAGCTATGACAGAGAATACAGTATGTGGCCTAGGGACCGAAATATTTACTCTCTAGACCTGTATTGAAAAAGTTTGCTGACTCCTGCTATAAAGAATCCATCATTTTCATTAAGTTTTGGCTTATTTCTTCTTTCTTTCTTTTTAAAAAACAAAAGCAGATACTTAAATATACTCAACATTTATCTCCTTTTTCTACAAAGTACAGCACCCTTTACTGTCTTGCCTTTTTCACTAAACAATGTATCTTGAAAGTCACTCTGTATCAGTATCTTTCTCATTCCTGGACTGGTTACAGTTTTCATCTCCTTTAGGCCATATTTTTCTGCTATATCTTCATTTTCTACAGGTATGCTGTTCATCTTATTAGTATCCTCTTTTTCTTACAATGTCCTTGAATGAGGTTTGGTCAACAACCCTTTTATTTGTTAGTATTTATTTCCTGTGCATTTTGTAACATTAAAATATTATTAGCTCTAATGATATTAAGCTCTAAGTTACAAACTATAAGCAGTTGTAAATTAGGTACTATGTCTTTTCAGCAGTATATTGTTCTCAGGATAGTTGTCTACCTAGTTCAAGTGCCATTGACATCATGCTTGCCCTATAATCTAACAATCTCAGTTATTATAAATAATATCTGTGTTTTAACGGTGTCTTTGTAATGCCTAGCTATTTCACTGGGCATCTGTAATAGAAAGATACGTGGTTTTAAAAATACGCATCAAACATTTCTAGGTCTTTTTCCCCTTCTTCCCAACAAAATAGCCTAATTAGTGTATAGTATTAGTAGTGCTTCCTGATGCTGGAATGTTATTTGTGTTGATTAGTTAACCCTAAATACTGCTACTATTTTTTGTTGTTGTTGTTTTAGGTTAAATGGAAACCACCCTTGGGAACTGGATGCCTGTGTAGCTGTTCTACCATATCAGTGTATTGCAATGAGTGGGGGAGGAGAGCAGCTGGATATCCTGAGTGTTGGAATCCTAGTGAAAGAAAGATGGAAAGTGGTGAGTGTACATCTCAGAGAGTGTGTGTGTGTGTGTGTGTGTGTGTGTGTGTGTGTATACATATCGGGGGGTAATTTTTGGTATCCTGATAAAAATAGCATTTCATTAGGAAATATTACATACATTACTTATATGCCTAAAGCAGTTATTTACAGTTATTTTTCTATGATTAAGCTCTGTTTATACCCTAATTCTTACTCTTGCTTCGTATAGTACTAAATTTTTGAACAGATGAAAAAAATACAGTGTTTGAAAGTACAATGAGCTGGCCGGGCGCAGTGGCTCTCGCCTATAATCCCAGCACTTTGGGAGGCCGAGGCGGGCGGATCACGAGGTCAGGAGATCAAGACCATCTTGGCTAACACGATGAAACCCCATCTCTACTAAAAAAAAAAAAAGCAAAAAAAATTAGCTGGGCGTGGTGCAGGCGCCTGTAGTCCCAGCTACTCAGGAGGTTGAGGCAGGAGAATGGCGTGAACCCGGGAAAAAAAAAGGAAGTACAATGAGCTGCTCTCTCTTTTTTTTTTTTTATTAAGGAAAATTGTAAGTATACATAAAAAATAGACTTATATAATGAACCTCCATGTTCTCATGACTCAAGTTAAATAGTCATCAATGTATGATTAATTTTGTTTCATCTCTCTCCCAGAATATTTTGAAGCGATATTTAACCTTAGCATTTCTTCTGTGTATACTTCAGTATGTATCTCTAAAAAATAAGGACTTACTTTTAAAAACATAATCATAATACCATTATCATACCTTAAAAATAATCATTTCTTCCCTGCTGACTCCTCCCCCAAGATTGTGTATCATTTTGTCTGTTAGCATGTAGTATTTTTCAGCTACTTTCTACTGTTATAAAATACTGTAGTAGTACTAAAAAAAAGTAATCATTTCTTAATATTACCAAATACAGTTTTAGTTTTCACATTCTCCTGATTGTAAAGTATTTTGAATAGCCTGAATCAAGATCCAAATAAAACCTGGATATTGTAATTAGTTGCCATTACTTTTCATTTCTAGGTTCCTTCCTCTTTATTGCTCTTTTTTTTTCCTTACAATTTATTTACTGAAGAAATTAGGTGATTTGTCTGTAGACTTTCCCATGGTTTGGATTTTGCTATTTGCTTCCATTTGGGGTTAACACATTTCTCTGTCTTGTGTATTTCATGTAAATTGGTAGTTGTATCTACAGGCTTGATTAGATCTGACTTTAGATTTGTTTTGAGATGGGGACATCTTTTTTTCATAAATGTTATTGTGAGCCTTCACTAGGAGGCATATAATATCTTATTGTCCGTCTGTCTATCTTTTTTGTGGTGTTAACACTATTGATGATCATTACCTAGGTCTGTTAGTTAGGGATTGCAGATTGGTGATATTCCATAATTCATTTATTAGTTGAAATGTATCTATAAGGACAAGTTTTTTATCATCAATTATTTGATTATCTTGAGGTACAATTTGATTAGGAAAACAAGATAAATACTTGCTTCTCTTTTTTAATTTACCAGTTTTCAAAACAATGAATTGGTTTCTTGCCATTCTCCAAAAGTGATCAATTAGATTTGTTTTTTAGTGTAATTAAGAATTCATGGATTTAATCAAATTTGATGTGTTTCGGTGAATGGTAGTTATCCTTATAAATGTTTAAATTGTCTTATTTGACTAAGGGGACACACTTCACATTGTCTTCTGAGTTCTTTTGACAGGATCCTAATCGTCTTTCAATGGCTTTCTTTTCCTAGACCTGGAATCTGCCATCTCTCTAATACTGCTTGTTTCTTAAAGGAACTATTTTTGTTTGGGATATATTTAAATATTTTTTTATTGCTACACAGTCCACCAAAGTTTTTTTCCATTAGTAGGTTTCACAAAGCTATTTTAATGGTTTCCTTAATCTATGAACAGATTGGAAAAAGAAGACCCTTTAGAAATAGAATTTTTATTTTTTATTTGTATGGTACAATGTGTTTTACTGATTAGGTAAGTCAGTAGGCTTTGAAAATTTACTTGACCAAATATAAGGAAACTATGTCATTATCATGGACTAGTGCAGGGAGATTCAGCAGTTGCTAATCTTTTATGTAAGTCAGACATGAGTGTTGCTTTGGTGAGAGGATTATAGTAAGCACTGTGTTAAGGCTGGTTTGTTCTCCAGTGGACATATCAAAAGGTGACAAGTGAAACTCTTGATTGGCATGGTTCCCTTGTCCTGGTAATTAGAACTAATATATCTGAGCAACTTATCTCCAAAATTTGGGAGGGCATAGTGGCATTTTTAGTTAAAAAAAAAATGACAAGCTCACTGTTATGGATGGTGTTTTAGTTATTTATTGTTATATAACAAACTACATCAAAATTTAGAGGCTTATTTTGCTTACAGTTTTGTGACGTAGGAATTTGGGAAGAGTTTGCCTGGGTGATTTGTCTCTTAACCATGTGGCACTAGGAAGATTGTTTTGGTTAGAGGATCCATTTATACATGGTTTCTTCACTCACTTGTCCGGTATCTTGAGGTCCTTAGCTCTTCACCCCCAACCCCCAACCCCCAACCTGGTGGCTCATTTTCTAGGGCATCTCCATGTGGCTGTGGCTTCTCAGGATGGTCCCATTTCTTTTTTTTTTTTTTTTTTTTTTGAGACGGAGTCTTGCTCTGTCGCCCAGGCTGGAGTGCAGAGGCGTGATCTCAGCTCACTGCAGCCTGCGCCTCCCGGGTTCAAGCGACTCTCCTGCCTCAGCCTCCCAAGTAGCTGGGATTACAGGCACGCGCCATCACACTGGCTAATTTTTGTATTTTTAGTAGAGACGGGGTTTTGCCATGTTGGCCAGTCTGGTCTGGAACTCCCGACCTCAGGTGATTCACCTGACTCGACCTCCCAAAGTGCTGGGATTACAGATGTGAGCCACTGTGCCTGGCCAGATGGTCCCATTTCTTACATGGTAGCTAGCTTTCAAGAGACAGGAAATGGAAGCTCCCAGGCTGGTTAAGGGCAATCCTCAGAGCTGGCACAGTGTCACTTTGCCCTATTCTGTTGATGAAAACAGTTAAGGGGAAAATGGACTCTACCTCTTGGTGGGGGAGTAGCAAGGTCACATTGTTTTCATCAGTGTGAAAGGTTTTCTTCACATTGAAGAAGAGCAGGAATGGATGATATTGTTGTGCCTATCGTTGGAAAATACAATCTTCCACAGACCTTACCTCTATTCTTCTTGTAATCTGTGTACCCCAATCATACTAAACTGCCTCTGTCTCTTTGCCTCATAAACCTTGATAATTTCTTAGGGCTTTGTCAGGCCAATTAAAAAATGCTGTATTAATGTTTAAATGGCATTATAGGAATAGAAATAGACTAAGAAGCAAGAACATTTACTTCAGCCTAGATGTTTTATTCTGTCATTTGGTAAGGTTTTTTGTGAGGTAAAACGTGAAGCTACCTCTACCAGTCCTTAGTTAGAAAGGAATCTGTTTGGTACTGTTTATGAGTTTTTAAACCTACACTAGGTTTTATTTAATGGACAAAATATAAAGAATCATAAGTATCAATTTTTTTTTTTTTTTGAGGCAGTCTCACACTGTTGCCCAGGCTGGAGTGCAATGGTGTGATCTTGGCTCACTGCAACCTCTGCCTCCCAGGTTCAAGCGATTCTCCTGTCTCAGCCTCCTGAGTAGCTGGGATTACAGGCACATGCCACCACGCCCGGCTAATTTTTATAATTTTAGTAGAGACGGGCTTTCACGATGTTGGTCAGGCTGCTCTCAAACTCCTGACTTCATGATCCGCCCGCCTCGGCCTCCCAAAGTGCTGGGATTACAGGTGTGAGCCACCGCGCCCGGCCACTTCTGGAACTTTAAAAAAATCTTGAACTCATCCTGTAGTTTCAAGTAGTATTCCTTTCCCATCACCAAATGAAAATAAAGCAGGATCGGCCGGGTGTGGTGGCTCACGCCTGGAATCCCAGCACTTTGGGAGGCAGAGGTGGGTGGATCACCTGTGATCAGGAGTTTGAGACCAGCCTGGCCAACATGGTGAGACCCCATCTCTACTAAAAATACAAAAATTAGCCAAGCGTGGTGGTGCACACCTGTAATCCCAGTTACTGGGGAGGCTGAGGCAGGAGAATTGCTTGAACCCAGGAGGCGGAGGTTGCAGTGGGCCAAGATCATGCCACTGCACTCCAGCCCTGGCAACAGTGTGAGACTACCAACTCAAAAAATAAAAAAATAAAAAAAATAAAAAAATAAAGAAGGATTATGGCTCACATGTGCAAAGTAATAAATATAGGATTATATTTATAAGTTAGCACTTTGCCAAATGCTATGGGGGACACAAGGAAATAGAATAGAACAAATGGCCATCTCTTTGAAAAGGCTTAGTTTCTCTGTAGCAGGATAGGACATTGACAATGGAAAGTTAAGCAACATGACAGTTTGAAAACAAGTTATTTCATGGACAGGTCTTTAATTTAAAAAATACAAGGCAATAATACAAGTGCTATCTGAGGTATGGCCTGGTAAAGTGATTAATTGAATGATTAAATAAATAATTACTGTAGAAATTCAGAAGATAAAGAAATTAACCTAGATATAGTAATCAGTGAAGATCAAGTGGAGAAAGAGGTAGAACATGGAGCTGGGGTGTCTTGAGCTGGTTATGATTTAGGACCCTGTGCCTATGATGACTTCCTACATTATATCACATCCTGGATGTTGGATAATGTGATAAGGAGACAACCTAGTTTCAGGAAATGGAAAAAAATTGCTGTATCTAGCTTGAAGTATCTACCCCCACAACCCAGCTTTCAGACACTACAGGTGCACTTGCCACTGACTCTTCAGAACTTGCTTATGATACTCACACCAGCATCCTGATATTCCCCAGTTAAGCTAACATATTTATTTTATCAGAGAGAATAGTGCTTGTTGAACTTGCTTAAATTGATTTTTTTTTACTCTTATTTGAATAAATAGATGTATAGTGAATTCTGGGATAGTTTGGTACTAGAGTTCTCTGCCTGCTCTGTGGACCCTGTTAGGTACCTCAGAGAGAATGGTAAGTGGTGGTGAGAGGGCTGGGTGATTTTGTAGTGTTTTTTGTTTTTTTCGTTTTTGAGATGGAGTCTCTCTCTGTCACCCAGGTTGGAATGCAGTGGCAGGATCTTGGCTTACTTCTGCCTCTGCCTCCTGGGTTCAAGCAATTCTCCTGCCTCAGCCTCCTAAGTAGCTGGGATTACAGGCATGTACCACCACGCCTGGCTAATTTTTGTATTTTTTAGTAGAGATGGGGGTTTCACCATGTTGGCCAGGCTGGTCTCGAACTCCTGACTTCAAGTGAGCCGCCCGCCTTGGCCTCCCAAAGTGCTAGGTTTACAGGTGTGAGCCACTGCACTCAGCCAGGATTTCATAGTTTAAAAAGTTTAAAAAGTCTTCCTTAAAATTAAAACAACAAATCTGGTTGTAGACTGGCATTTGTGGGAAGTGATTCTTTCAAATACTGTATTGTTGGTGACATTTCTGATGCTGGCTGTTGACCAAATTTTAAAATTGTTTGTGAGTGAAATAATTTCATTACTTTGTTGTGGATAAACCTGTGGGGAAAGGTTTTGATGTTATTTTCAGGCATATGTTTTCTTCTTGGCATATACATAGTTAATTTAACAATATTTAAATATTTTATCAAAAAACAGATTATAAAATTATACATTTTCTAAATATAAGAGATCAATTGCTTTCAAGTTAGAATCTTCTAGTAATTTAGAGTGTGTGTGTTCTTATTTTCTGTGCAGTTGAGAAAGATTGGGGGTGGGGGCTTTGGAGAAATTTACGATGCCTTGGACATGCTCACCAGGGAAAATGTTGCACTGAAGGTGGAATCAGCTCAACAACCAAAACAAGTTCTGAAAATGGAAGTTGCTGTTTTGAAAAAGCTGCAAGGTAAGCCCTTTGTAGAATATACAATTTATGATTTGTATGTTAATTTATAATTTATTTGTATCTTCCTGAACCTTAATTACATTCTTTAAGTACTAATTGAATGTACTGGTGTCAGCCGGGTATAAATACGCTGAGCATTTTTCTCTTGGAAATTTTATAATGAGTTAGTAGTAGTAGAAGTATGTAATTACTTAGAATAATTGGGCTTTGGGAGTTCTTTTTCATGGAGTAAGGATAAGAGAGTGTGAATTAGCAGAATTTTTACTGCTTCGGAAAGTATTGTCATAAGTCTGCTATTTGCCTTTCTTTTTTAAACTACCAATAACAGATACCTCTGAGTTGTCTCTACTCAAGTCTTTGGATGTTAAATATGTTTTAATCACAGTAAGGAAGCTGCCTTCAAATCACACTGCAGGATGGATTAAAAATAATACTGTTGATTATATGTTGATTCATATTAGCTTCAGTTTCAGAGAATAACTGTTTCTGGCCCTGTCGTCATTTTTGAAGTCCGTTTTACTACTTGGGCCCTATTTGTTTTTATTACAAGAATGAATAATTTTTTTTCTGACATGAATCCAGTGGTATAAAACCCTGAATATATTGCTAGTTTGTGTTCACCTTTGTATTCTCAGCTTAATGACATACTCTCTGATATTACTGATGTTTAAATGTTTGATCTGAAACAAAATTAAATAGGGATGATCATTTTCCTTTGCCCCAAGCGTATCCAAGTTTCTCTACCAGTTGGCTCATTTGATTAGAGAATGATGCCAGTAAAATTATAGATCTGTTTTTATAGTAATTTTTAGCTCAAACTTAGCATCTCCACAACATGGTAAATCAGGAAAACAGTGGATAGATTAACACCTATTGTCAATACTGGAAAAATAAATAATTGGAGAAGAAAGAATAGGTAAAAGGATGGCTCTTTCTTTTTCTGACCTTTTCTATTTTCTCCACATTTCTCTTGAGTTGTTGTTCTCAACTCAGTGGTGTAGAGGCTACAAACAGGTACAGCCAGAGCTACATCTTCCTGGGTTGCACAGATCCCAGGATACCTGTTTTACTATCAGCCAAGCCCATGAAGGGTATGTCAGCATCAGCTTGGTGTGGATAGTGCCACTTCACCTTTCTCCTACTTGGCTCCAAGGAGATGCTTCCAGGTGAGGCAGGATACAGCTTTGCCACCCCTTCAGGAGGTTCTCCTGCTTATTTTGTGTATGGTTTACTCAGGATTCTATTTGATAAAACTTGAAGATCAGTTTAGTACCTTTTATGAATGAGTTAGAGACCCTTGGATGCTAGCTGTCTCCTTTTCTTGTATTTTATTTTTCACGTTATTAACTAATATATTTTTCCTATCTGCTTATAACCACATGACATCCCATTCTTAAGAACCCTTCATTTTCCAAAAATAAATTGATTTTTAATCTTCTGGTCCCTATTTCAGTGAGGTAGTCCTTGACTCTCTTCTCTTGGCTTCCTAACTTATGCCTTCTGCATACTTATTCCTCACAGCTTCATTTTGTTGGGGGTGCTTTGTAATCTGGACCGTTCTGATAACATTTTTATGGAGCTGCTCTTGCTGTCATGTTGGCCTAATGACTTCTTACTGAATGATCCCAATGAAAAGGCTGAATGTAAGGAAAAGGTATTTAACCAGATGCTAACCCTTTATAGGATTTGTTGATTTTTAAATTGATGTTCAATTTTTGATAGCTGGGATAAGGATTTTTTTTTTTTTTTTTGAGACGGAGTCTTGTTCTGTCACCACACTGGAGTACAGTGGCATGATCTCGGCTCACTGCAGCCTCCACCTCTGGGGTTCAAGCGATTCTCCTGCCTCAGCCTCCTGAGTAGCTGGGACTACAGGCATACACCACCACACCCAGCTAATTTTTGTATATTTAGTAGAGATGGGGTTTCACCATGTTGGCCAGGATGGTCTCGATCTCTTGACCTCATGATCTTCCCACCTCGGTCTCCCAAAGTACTGGGATTACAGACATGAGCCACTGCACCTGGCTGCGATTTTTTTTTTTAACAAGATGAAAAGATATTTTATGATGAATTAGCCCACCCCTAATTTTGTTCCTTTTAATAGACCAATTCCTCTTCTCAAAATTCAGATATTGTCTGTTCTCACATTCCCTCAGTTCTCAATTTTCTTTCTCGTAGTCTTTTCTGTACTTAACAACCCTAGATTTTCTCAGTTCAGGCAAAACTCTCATTACTAGTATTTTCCTTTCTCTTTGACCCTAAAGTGTGAAGCCCTTAGCATTTCACCCCATATTTTCTGAGTGACCTTCCCCCATGCTGCTGTGTCAGATTACTCTCTTTTCAAAGTTTTCAGAAATATTCTGGATGTAACCTGCAATTCTCTAATGAATCAAGCTAGACTCTCGAATTTTATTATTATTATTATTTTTTTTTTGTGATGGAGTCTTGCTCTGTTGCCCAGGCTGGAGTGCAGTGGCACAATATCGGCTCACTGCAACCTCCGCCTCCTGGGTTCAAGTGATTCTCCTGCCTCAGCCTCCCAAGTAGCTGGGACTACGGGTGGGTGCCACCATGCCCAGCTAATTTTTTGTATTTTTAGTAGAGATGGGGTTTCACCATGTTGGCCAGGCGAGTAACTCCAGACTTCAGACTGTCCTCCTGTCCTGGCTTTCCAAAGTGTTGGGATTACAGGTGTGAGCCACTACACCTGGCCAAGACTCTTGAATTTTACTTGGTTTTTACAAATGTATTTGAATGTTTTAGCTACTTATAAACTAAATTATCTATTTATAAGCCTATTAGATAGTACTTCTATACCTTATTATTATTATTCTCTAAAGTATTCCTAATAAGTATAGCCCTAAAATTTATTAGGCCTATCCTTTGATTCACAGCATTTTTCAGAGATACATCTCTGAATAAACATTTATGTGTGTCTCTTCGCCCTCTCCATTTGCAGCTCTACTATCTTCATCCTTTGTTTTTCAGTTTATTTGCTTTGAAACTGCAAAGGTGGTCATTGCCATTCTAATCTGTTAGATTCCTTTTTCCTCAACTTTAAATGAATGTTTTGTAATGATATCTACATATCTTCACTTCTCCATTTTCTTTTTTTATTACAAAATTATTTTGTTGTTTTTTTCTCAGTTTTCATGATCTCTTATGCTGTATCTCAACACACCAGGTTTTTTTTTTTTTCTTTTTAATAAGTATAGTTTAGGCCAGGCGTGGTGGCTCATGCCTGTAATCCCAGCACTTCGGGAGGCCAAGGTGGGTGGATCGCCTGAGGTCGGGAATTTGAGACCAGTCTGGGCGACATGGTAAAACCCCATCTCTACTAAAAAATTCAAAATTTAGCCAAGCGTGGTGGCGTGCGCCTGTCATCTCAGCTACCCTGGAGGCTGAGGTATGAGAATCGCTTGAGCCCAGAAGGCGGAGGTTGCAGTGAGCCAAGAAGGCGCCATTGTACTCTAGCTTGGGCAATGGAGCCAGACCCTGTCTCAAATAAAAAAGTATAGATTTGCAGTGCCATTGTAAGAGAAAAAACACTTCTCTCCTTTGATTTCAAATCTGATCACTAGTAATTTCTACAGTAAAATGATGGTTCCTCAGGAACCATCAGTACTTCTGAAAAAGTTAGATTTCCATTCTAGTCTTAATAGAATTTGGTACACATGTAGAATCCTGAAGTAAGACAGGCACATCTTTTATTTATTTATTTATTTATTTATTTATTTATTTATTTTTGAGACAAGGTCTCACTCTGTCGTCCAGGCTGTAGTGCAGTGGCCCAAACACAGCTCACTGCAGCCTCGATCCTGTGGCTCAACCAGTCCTCTGGCCTCAGCCTCCAGAGTAGCTGGGACCACAGGTGTGTGCCACCACACTCAGCTAATTTTTTTTTTTTTTTTTGTAGAGATGTAGAGTCTGGCTTTGTTGCCCAGGCTGGTCTCAAATTCCTGGGCTCAAGCAGTCCTCTTGCCTCGGCCTCCCAGAATGTTGGGATTAAAGGTGTGAACCACCACACCCAGCCTGAGACAGGCAAATATTAAATTTACTTTTTTCCCTAATTTTTAAAAGACTTTTTTAAAAAGAGCAGTTTTAGGTTCACAGCAAAATTGAGAGGAAAGTATAGAGGTATCCTATATATTGCCTGCCCTCACACATGCATGTACTCCCTCAGTATCATCATCCCCACAGCTGTACATTTGTTACAATTGATGAACCTACATTGATACATCATTATCACCCAGATCCCATAGTTTACAATAGGGTTCACTCTTATTGAACATTCTGTGGGCCTGGACGAATGTGTAATGACATATATCCACCATTATGTGTATATAGGTGCTCCTCAACTTATGATGGGGTTATGTCCTGATAAACCCATTTAAGTTGAAAAATTGTAAGTTGAACCATCGTATGTCAGGAACCATCTCTCTCTATTTTTACTGCCCTAAAAATCCTCTGTGCACTGTTTCCCTGCCTCCTAAACTCTGGTAATGACTAATCTTTTTACTTTCTCTTTAATTTTACCTTCTCCAGGTGTCATATATTTAGAATCATACACTATTGGCTTCTTTCACTTAGTAATATGCACTTAAGTTTCCTCCACATCTTTTCATGGCTTGATAGGTCATTTCTTTTTAACATTTAATAATATTCCATTGTCTAGAGGTACCACAGTTCATTTATCCATTCACCTACTGAGGGATATCTTGGTTGCTGTGCAGATTTTTGTGTGGATATAAGTTTTCTACTTGTTTGGGTAAATACCAAAGAGCATTATTGCTGGATTTGATAATAAGAGTATGTTTAGTTTTGTAAGTAACTGCCAAATTTTCTTCCAAAGTGGCTGTATCATTTTGCGTTCTCATCAGCTCATGAATGAGAGTTCCTGTTGTTCCACATCCTCACCAGCATTTGGTATTGTCAGTGTTCTGGATTTTGGCCATCAGATAGGTGTGTAGTGACATCTCATTGTCATTAATTTGCATTTATCTAGTGATGTGTGATATGGAGCGCTTTTTCATGTGCTTATTTGCCATCTGTATATCTTCTTTGGTGGGGTGTCAGAAGTTTTTGGCCCATTTTAAAATCAGGTTATTTGTTTTCTTACTGTTGAGTTTTTAGAATTCTTCAAATATTTGGATATCAGTCTTTTATCATATAGGTCTTTTGCAAATATTTTGAATTTTCTCTATTGATTTTCTATGTTTAATTTGATTGATTTCTGCTCTAATTTTTATTATTTCTTCTCTTCTGCTTTAATTTGCTTTCTGTTTTCTAGTTTCCTAAAGTAAAAACTTTGGTTATTGATTTTAGATCTTTCTTTTCTTTTCTTTTCTTTTTTTTTTTTTTTGAGACGGAGTCTCCCTCTGTCACCCAGGCTGGAGTGCAGTGGTGCGATGTCTCGGCTCACTGCAAGCTCCGCCTCCCAGGTTCACGCCATTCTCTTGCCTCAGCCTCCCTAGTAGCTGGGACTACAGGCGCCTGCCACCATGCCCGGCTAATTTTTTGTATTTTTAGTAGAGACGGGGTTTCACCGTGTTAGCCAGGATGGTCTCGATCTCCTGACCTCGTGATCCGCCCGCCTCGGCCTCTCAAAGTGCTGGGATTACAGGCGTGAGCCACTGCGCCCGGCCTAGATCTTTCTTTTCTAATACATGCACTCAGTGCTATAAATTCCCCTTCAAGCACCTTTTTCAGTGCATCCCAGAAATTTTGATGTTATGTTTTTATTTAGTGTGAAATAGTTTAAAACTTCTTATGATAGTTCTTTGACTCCTGTGTTATTTAGAAGTGCATTGTATTAATCTCCATGTATTTCAGAATTTTTCCAGTTGTCTTTCTAATATGATCTCTAGTTTAATTCCACTGTGTTCTGAGAGCAGACATTGTATGATTTCTATTTTTTTAAGTTTGTTAGGGTATGTTTTATAGCACTCAGAATGTGATCTGTCTTGGTGAATATTCTGTGTGAGCATGAGAATGTGTATTCTGCTGTCATTGGTTTAAGTAGTCTATAGATGTCAGTTATATCTAGTTAATTGATGATATTGTTTAGTTCAGCTGTGTCTTTACTGATTTTCCGGCTGCTGGGTCTGTTCATTTCTGATAGAAGAGTTTTGAAGTCTCCAGCTATAATAGTGCATTCATCTTTCTCCTTACAGTTCTATTGTTTTTTACCTCATGTAGTTTGAAGCTCTGTTGTTAGATGCATGCATGTTTCTAGATATTATGAGACACATAGTATATGGCCTCTTAGAGAATTGACCCCTTTATCATTATGTAATACTCTTCTTTTATTATTATTACTATTATTATTAATTTTCTTGGAGATGTACTCACTAGGTTGTTCAGGCTGGTCCTGAACCCCTGACTTCAGTGATCCTCCTGCCTCAGCCTCCCGAATAGCTGGGGTTACAGGTGCAAGCTACTGTGCTTGGCTATGATGCCCTTCTTTATACTTGTTCATTTTTCTTGACATACAGCCTGCTCTGTCAAATTAATATAGCAATATTTACTTTCTTTTGAGTATTAGTATGGTATATAATTTACATCCATTTACTTTATTTGTATTTACATACTTAAAGTGAGTTTGTTGTAGACAACATACAATTGGGTTTTGTTTTTTGATTTAGTCTGTCCAGTCTCTTTTATTTGGTACATTTAGACCATTGATGTTTGAAGTGATTGTTTGTATAGGTAGATTAATATCTACCATTTTTGTTAATTGTTTTCTATCTGTTGTCTTGTTCTTTGTTTCTTTTCTTTTCTTTTTTGAAATGGAGTCTCACTCTGTCACCCAGGCTAGAGTACAGCGGTGTGATCATAGCTAACTGCAGCTTTGAACTCCTGGGCTCAAGTGATCCTCTTGCTTTGGCTTCCTGAGTAACTGGGACTACAGGTCTGTGCTGCCATGCCTAGCTAAGTTTTAAAAAGTTGATGGATACAGAGTCTCGCTATGTTGCCCAGACCGGCCCCCAACTCCTGGCCTCAGGTGATCCTCCTGCCTCAGCCTCACAAAGTGCTGGGATTACAAGGGTGTGCACGACTGTGCCCAGCCTGTTGTTGGTTTTTTTTTTTTTTTTAGTATTATTATTTTTGTCTTCCATTCTTTTTCTGTCTTTTGTAGTTTTTGTTTTTAGATAGAGTCTCACTCTGTCGCCCAGGCTGGAGTGCCAGTGACGCAGTCTCGGCTCACTGCAACCTCTCCTCCTGGGCTCAAGTGATCCTCCCACCTCAGCCTCCCAAGTAGTTGAGACTACAGATGCGTGCCACTGTGCCCATCTAATTTTTGTGTTTTTAGTAGAGACAGGGTTTCACCATGTTGGCTAGGCTGGTTTCATGTTGGCCAGGCTGGTCTAACTCCTGACCTCCATCAATTGACCCACCTCGACCGTCCATAGTACTGGGATTACAGCCACTGTGCCTGGCCTTCTCTCCTTTCTTAACATATCAATTATACTTCTGTTTTTACTTTTTTTAGTGATTGCCCTAGATTTTGCAATACAGATTTATAACTAATCCAAGTCCACTTTCAAATAACATTATACCACTTCAAAGGTAATGTGAAGATATTTTCTCGTAATAAAATGATCCTAATTTCTCCCTCCTGTCCTTTATATCATTGTAGTCATCATATATATTCAGCATACATAAGCATGTATATATATTTATATGCACAAAATATATACATAAGCATACATAATTAAGTACATTGTTGCTATTGTTATTTTGAGCAAACTGTTATCTCTTAGATCAATTAAGCATAAGAAAAATAATTTATTATGTTGCCTTCACTTTTTCCTTCTTCACATCTGGGTTTCTACCCTATATTACTTTCCTTCTCTCCAAAGAACTTTTAACATGTCTTGTAAGAGAAGTCTACTGCCAAAAAATTACCTCAATTTTTGTCTGAGAAAGTCTATTTCTCCTTCATTTCTGAAGGATAATTTTGGGGGGTACAGAATCTATGTTGGTGAGTTTTTCTCTGAACACTTTTTTTTTCTTTTTTTTTGAGATGGAGTTTCGTTCTTATTGCCTAGGCTGGGGTGCAGTGGCGCTATCTCAGCTCACTGCAAGCTTTGCCTCCCGGGTTCAAGGGATTCTCCTGCCTCAGCCTCCCGAGTATTTGCGATTACAGGCATGTGCCACCATGCCTGGCTAATTTTGTATTTTTAGCAGATATGGGGTTTTTCCATGTTGGTCAGGCTGGTTTTGAACTCCTGACTTCAGGTGATCTGCCTGCTTTGGCCTCCCAAAGTGCTGGGATTATAGGCGTTAGCCACCACGCCTGGCCTTCTCTGAACACTTTAATATTTCACTTTGTCCTTTGCCTGTTTTAAAATAGGGTGATTTGTTTTTTATTGTTCATTTGTTTAAGTTTCTTATAAATTCTGATTATTAGACCTTTGGAGGATACATAGTTTGCAAATAATTTCTCCCATTCTGTAGGTTGTCTATTTACTCTGTTGGTAGTTTCTAGGTTGCTTTGTGGAAGTTCTTTAGTTCAAATAGGTCCCACCTGTCAATTTTTGTTATCGTTGCGTTACTTCTGGGGACTTAGCCAAAATGCCTTTGCCAAGGCCAATGTCAACAAAGGTATTTCCTAGGTTTTCTTTTAGGATTTTTTACTTTGAAGGCTTACATTTAAGTCTTTAATTCATCTTGAGTTAATTTTTGTATGTGGTGAAAGATAGGGGTCTAGTTTCAATTTTCTGCATATGGCCAGCAAGTTATCCCAGCACCATTTATTGAATAGGGAGGCCTTTCCACATTTCTTGCTCTTGTTGACTTTTGTCAAAGATCAGTTGGTTATAGGTGTGTGGTTTTATTTCTGGGTTCTCTAACCTGTTCCATTGGTCTGTGTGTCTGTTTTTGTGCCAGTACCATGCTGTTTTGTTTGTATTGTTGCTTTATACTATAGTTTTAAGTTGGGTAATGTGATGCTTTGTTCTTTTTTGCTTAAGACTGCTTTGGATATTTGGGTTCTTTTTTGGTTCCATATGAATTTTAGAATTTTAGAATTTTTTTTTCTAATTCTGTGAAAAATGACATTGGTAGTTTGATAGGAGTAGTGTTGAATCTGCAAATTGCTTTGGGTAGTATGGCCATTTTAACAATACTGATTCTTCCAGTCCATGAGCATGGAATGTTTTAACATTTATTTATGTCATTCCTGATTTCTTTCAGCAATGTTTTATAGTTCTCCTTGTAGAGATCTTTTACCTCCTGGCTTAGCTGTATTCCTAGGTGTTTCATTTATTTTTCATTCTTTTTTTGGTGGCTATTTAAACAGGCTTGTGTTCTTGATTTGACTCTCAGCAAGAACATTATTGGTCTATAGAAATGCTACTGATTTTTGTACGTTGGTTTTGTATACTGAAACTTCACTGAAGTTTATCAGTTCTAGGGGCCTTTTGGTGGAATCTTTAGGGTGTTCTAGGTGTAGAATCATGTTGTTAGTGAAGAGAGATAGTTTGACTTCTTCTTTTCCTATTTGGATGCTTTTTATTTCTTTCTGTTGCCTGATTCCTCTTGCTGGGATTTCCAATACTATGTTGAGTAGGAGTGGTAAGAGTAGGCATCCTTGTCTTATTCCAGTTCTCATGGGAAATGATTCTAGCTTTTACCCATTCAGTATGATGTTGGCTGTGGGTTTGTCATAGATGGCTATTATTTTTATTAATTAATTAATTTATTTGTTTATTTTTGCAACAGAGTTTTGCTCCTGTTGCCCAGGCTGGAGTGTAATGGTGCGATCTCGGATTACTGCAACCTCTGCCTCCTTGGTTCAAGCGATTCTCCAGCTTCAGCCTCCCGAGTAGCTGGGATTACAGGCATGCGCCACCACGCCTGGCTAATTTTGTATTTTTAGTAGAGACAGGGTTTCTTCATGTTGGTCAGGCTGATCTGGAACTCCCGACTTCAGGTCATCTGCCTGCTTCCGCCTCCCAAAGTGCTGGGATTACAGGTGTGAGCCACCGCGCCTGGCCATAGATGGCTATTATTTTGAGATATGTTCTTTTGATGCCTAGTCTGTTGAGGGTATTTATCATGAAGGAATGTTGGATTTTATTGAAAAATTTTTTTTGCATCTAATTGAGATGACTATATGGTTTTTGTTTTTAATTCTGTTTATGTGGTGAATCACATTTTTTTATTTGCATGTGTTGAACCAACTGTGCATCCCAAGAATAAAGCCTACTTGATCATGGTGAATTAACTTTTGGATGTGCTGCTGGATTTGGTTTGCTAGTATTTTGTTGAGGATTTTTGTGTCTGTGTTCATCATGGATATTGGCCCGAAGTTTTCTCTTTTTATTGTGTTTCTGCCAAATTTTGGTATCAGGCTAATGCAGGTTTCATAGAATGAATTAGGGAGGAGCCACTCATCCTCATTTTTTTTTTAAATAGTTTCAGTCGGATTGATACCAGTTCTTTGTGCAGCTGGTAGAATTGGGCTGTGAATCTGTCTGGTTCAGAGCTTTTTTTGGTTGGTAGGTTTTTTATTACTGATTCAATTTTGAGTCTTGTTGTTGGTCTGTTCAGGTTTTCACTTTCTTCCTGGTTTAATATTAGGAGTTTGTGTGTTTCCAGGAATGTATCCATGTCCTCTAGATTTTCTAGTTTGTGTGCTTAGAGGTGTTCATAATAACTTCGGAGGATCTTTTGTACTTCCGTGGGATCAGTTATCATCCTTGTCATTTCTGATTGTGCTTATTTGGATCTTCTCTTTTTCCCCCTTTGGTAATGTAGCTAGTGCTGTCAATCTTGTTTATTCTTTTGACAAATTAGCTCTTTATTTCATTGATCATTTGTATGGATTTTTGTGTCTCAATTTTGTTCAATTCTTCTCTGATTTTATTTATTTATTTTCTTTTGCTAGCTTTGGGATTAGTTTGTTCTCTTTTTTTTTCTATTCTATGCAAGATATTAGATTGTTAATTTTAGATCTTTCTGACTTCTTGATAAAGGCATTTAGTGCTACAAACTTTCCTCTTAACATTGCTTTAACTGCATCCCAAATATTTTGGTAAGTTGTGTCTCTATTTTTATTAATTTCAATGATTTTTTTATTTCTGCCTTAATTTCATTGTTCACACATGAGTTATTCAGGACTAGGTTAACTTCCATGTATTTTTGTAGTTTTGATAGATCTTTTTGGTATTGATTTCTATTTTTATTGCACTGTGGTCTGAGAGTGCTAGGTTTTGATTTTTTGAATTTATTGAGACTTGCTGTATGACCTAGCATGTGGCCAATCTTAGAATATGTTCCATGTGCAGATAAGAAGAATGTATATTCTGTGGTTATTGGGTGGAGTATTCTGTAGATGTCTATTAGGTCTAATTGGTTGAGTGTCGAGTTTAAGTCCAGAATTTCTTTGTTAGTTTTCTGCCTTGATGATTTGTCTAATGCTGTCAATGGGCTGTTGAAGTCTCCCACTATTATTGTGGG
Source organism: Homo sapiens (assembly GCF_000001405.40). Classification (NCBI taxonomy): domain Eukaryota; kingdom Metazoa; phylum Chordata; class Mammalia; order Primates; family Hominidae; genus Homo; species Homo sapiens. The sequence continues at coordinate 42,861,141 of NC_000015.10, read as the reverse complement.
GCTAAGTCTTTTCATAGGTCAAGAAGAACTTGTTTTATGAATTTGGATGCTTCAATATTGGGTGCATATGTATTTAGGATAGTTAAGTCTTACTGCATTGAACCTGTTATCATTATATAATACCCTTCTTTGTCCTTCTTGATTGTTGTTGGTTTAAATTCTGTTTTGTCTGATATAAGAATACCCAGCTTTAGGCCAGGCTCAGTGGCTCATCCCTGTAATCCCAGCACTTTGGGAGGCTGAGGTGGGTGGATCACCTGAGGTCAGGACTTCAAGACCAGCCTGGCCAACGTGGTGAAACCCCATCTCTACTAGAAATACAAAAAGTTAGCCAGGCATGGTGGTGCACTTGGGAGGCTGAGGCAGGAGAATCGCTTGAACCTGGGAAGCGGAGGTTGCAGTGAGCTGAGATCCGCCATTACACTCCAGCCTGGGCAACAGGAGTGTAAAGGCATTTAGTGTAGCACTAAATGCCATCTCAAAAAAAAAAAAAAAAAAAAAGAAAGAATACCCCAGCTAAGGTTTAATTTTTTGTGGAGATGGGGTCTCACTATTGCCTGAACTGAACTCCTGGGCTCAAGGAGTTCAGTTGGTCTTGAGCTCCTGGGCTCAAGCGATCCAACCCCCTTGACTTCCCAAAGTGTTGGGATACAGGGATGAGCTACTGTGCCTGGCTAATTTTTGTTGTTGTTGTTGTTGTTCCTCTATAGGTAAGGCTTGTTTTTCTTTTCCCTCTAGCTTCATTCAGAATTTTTTCTTTTTTTTCAAACTGCTTCTTCAGAGTCAGAATTGTTTCTTTATCTTTGATTTTTGATAGCTAGAAAATAGTATGTTTAGATGTAGGTTTTTGGGGTTTTTTGTTTGTTTGTTTGTTTTGCATTTATCCCACTTGGCGTTTTCTGAATTTCCTGGATTTGTGGTTTGGTGTTTGATATTAACTTGGGGAAATTCTTAGTCATTGATTCATATAGTTACCTGTTCCTTTCTCTCTTTCCTTTCTGGTGTTCCCTTTGTGTATGGTTGTGTTATGTCTTTTATAGTTGTTCCTTAATCCTTTCTTCTGTTTCTTTGTTTTCTTTTTTTGTCTTTGTCCTCTTTGATTTTCTCTTTTGGAGGTTTCTGTAGATACATCCTCAAGCTCAGATACTTTTTTTTTTCTCCTCAGCTGTGTCCAGTCTACTAATAAGCCTATAAAAGGCATTCATCATTTCTGTTACAGTGTTCTTGATCTTTAGTGTTTTCTTTTCGTTCTTTCTTAGGATTTTCATCTCTGCTTACATTACCCACCTCTTCTTGCATGCTGTCTACCTTATCCATTAGAGCCCTCAGCATATTAATCAGTGTTGTTTTAAATTCCTGATCTGATTGTTTCAACATCCCTGCCATGTTTGGTTCTGATATTTATTTGCTTTTTCTATTCAAATTGTGTTTTTTTTGCCTTCTAGTATTCCTTGTATATTTTTCTTGATGGCTAGACATAATGTACTGCATAAAAGCAAATGCCAAAAATAGACTGTTAGTAATGTGGTAATGGGTGGAGAGAGGGGAGGCATTCCATAGTCCTATTATTAGTTCTCAGTTTTTTAGTGTGCCTATACTTCTGGACTGTGAAGCACCTCCTAAGTGCTTCTAGTCCCCCCGCACCCCATTAGGTGAGACAGGATAGTTAGAATGGGTTGCATTTGGGTATTTCCTCTCCGCCAGATCCATTAAGCTTCAGTAAAACCCCAGGCCAGGTATGGTGCACTGCTCATGCCTGTAATCCCAGCACTTTGGGAGGCTGAGGTGGGTGGATTGCTTGAGCCCAGGAGATTGAGATCAGCCTGGGCAATGTGGTGAAATCCCACCTATACAAAACATACAAAAAATTATCTGGACATGGTGGTGTGCACCTGTAGTCCCAGCTACTCAGGAGGCTGAGAGGTGGGAAGATCACTTGAGCCCAGAAGGTCAAGGCTGCAGTGAGCTGTGATTATGCCACTGCACTCCAGCCTGGGCAACAGAGTAACACCCTGCCTGATAAAATACAAAAATTAAAATTAAAATTAAATAAAAAATAAATAAATAAAACAAACTCCAGCAGGTTAGGTGTAGTTAACTTATTTCTCCTGAGGGCAGACCTTGTTAGGAAGAACAGAATGCTGTGGCATATTTAAAAATGGTTCCTTTTCTCTTCTCCCTGCTGGAAGCATGAGGGAATTTTTCTCCTATATATACTGTAAAAAACTAGTTGAACTCCTGGAGATAAAACTCACAAAAGCATGACTTCTGTCTAATATTTCTGTAAATTTCAGGGAACATACCTATGACTAGGTACCCCTGAAGTTTTAAAGTATTGGGCTTGTTGACACCTAGCCTCCAGCAATCTGTCAGTTGCAATTCAGGTTTTTCTACTCTGGCACTGGTTCCCGTGTATGATTCTGCTCTGGTATGTCATAACTCTCTGTGTCTGCCCATCTCTCTTTCCAATTTTGGAGGCAGCAGTTTGCTCTAAGAAGAGTTGGTGATTTTTTCACTTGTTCGGCTTTGTACTTGTTGATAGAATGGCATGGCAGCTTCCATGTTCCTCACTTGTGGAACTGGAAATGAAGTCCCTTACTCTAATTTTTTATTATGAAAAATTTAAATATGTACCAAAATAGAATTATATAATGAACATTCATGTATCCAAAACTCAGCTCAGTCTTAATAAGCATCAGCATTTTGGCCAATATTGTTGCAAATATATCCTACCCCTTCAACATTTTTTCCCCACGTTTCTGGAGTACTTTAAAATAAATTATAGACGTCATATAATTTTTTGAGTATGTATCTCTGTCTAACAAATGGGGGCTCCTTTGTTTTTGTAATGAAAATATTCTTTATAGATAAATATACTTTGTTTTATAGATTTGTGTTCCTAGTTTCTAGTCAGAGAATCTGTGGAGATGGGGTAGGGGGTGTTTGGAGATGTATCAAAATTTGGCAGACATTACTTTGCCTGTGAGAGCTTAGTTGATGATTGGTGATTTTGTGAATCCATTAACTTTGGTTTTGTTGTTGTTGTTGTTGTTGTTGTTTTGGGTTTTTTTTTGAGACAAGGTCTTGCTCTGTCGCTGGACTGTGAGCTCGGCTCACTGCTGCCTCCACCTCCCAGGTTCAAGTGATCCTTGTGCCTCAGCCTCCCTAGTAGCTGGGACGACAGGCATGTGCCACCATGCCTGGCTAATTTTTGTATTTTTAGTAGAGACAGAGTTTCACCATGTTGGCCAGGCTGGTCTTGAACTCGTGATCTCAGGTGATCCACCTGCCTCAGCCTCCTAAATTACTGGGATTACAGATGTGAGCCACAGAGCCTGGCCCCATTAACTTGTACTTACTAGAGCATAGAAAGTTTTTGCCACTTATCCATTGCCAAAAAAAAAAATTGTATGAAAGTTTTTATGTAAGAACGTATTAGAAGTAGCTGTGTTAAGCATTAGGGAAATTTGAGGGATCTGTATTGTTGAAAAGTAAAATAATAGGCTGTAGAATTTCCTCAGGTGACCAGTTTTAAGAATGGATTAGAGACTCATTGGAGAGGAAACCCACGTTCTCAGTTTTTCTTTCTTTTAATGAATGGACTTTTTTTTTTTCTTTATTTTAGACAGGTTCTCATTCTGTTGCTTAGGCTGGAGTACAGTGGCACAATCATGGCTAACTGCAGTCTTGAACTCCTGGGCTCAGGCAATCCTTCTGTCTCAGCCTCTTCAGAAGCTGGGACTTCAGGTACATGCCACTATGCACAACTAATTTTTTAAAAAAATTTTTGTAGATATGGGGTTTTGCTATATTGCCCAGGCTGGTCTTGAACTCCTGGCCTCACACAATCCTCCTGCCTTGGCCTCCCAAAGTGCTGAGATTACAGGCATGAGCCACTGCACCTGGCCCTGGACTTTACTTTTTAGAACTGTTTTAGGTTTACACAAAATTGAGTAGAAAGTACAAAGTTCCTGTATACAGACTTCCCATCCAGTTTTCCCTATTATTAACATCTTGCATTCTTGTGATACAGTTGTTACAACTGATGAACCAATATTGATAGATTTTTTTTTTTTTTTGTGAGACAGAGTCTAACTCTGTTGCCCAGGCTGGAGTGCAGTGGCGTGATCTCAGCTCACTGCAACCTCTGCCTCCAAGGTTCAAGAGATTCTCCTTCCTCAGTTTCCTGAATAGCTGGGATTACAGGTGTGTGCCACCACATCCGGCTGATTTTTATAGTTTTAGTAGAGGCAGGGTTTTGCCATGTTGGCCAGGCTGGTCTTGAATGCCTGACCTCAGGTGATCCCCCGCCTCAGTCTCCCAAAGTGTTGGGATCACAGGTGTGAGCCATCACGCCTGGCATTAGATTTTTATTAACTGAAGTCCACAGTTTACATTAGGGGATTCTTTTTCTTTTTTCATAAAAAAAATTTTTTTTTAAGTAGAGACAAGGTCTCACTATGTTGAGAACTTGAACTGCTGGCCTCAAATGATCTTTTTGTTTCGGCCTCCCAAAGTGATTCTTTTCTTAATAATGTGAACACAGTGGTATTGAAAACCTAACAAAATTAACCGTTATTTTACAATACCATCTCATATCTATCCAGTATTTAATTTCTCCCATTGTCTCAAAAATATCATTTTACAGGTGGCTTTGTTCAAATTAGGATTTATATACAAGGCAGGCACATTGCATTATATTTTGTTGCCATGTCACAGTTTGTTCTCACCTACTTTTTTTTTTCCCTTGCCTTCACATTTTTTTTGTTGAAGGAATGAAGTTCTTAGTTTGATAAAATAGTCCGAAATCTGGATATGGCTGATTGCATCCTTGTGGTGTCTTTTAATGTGTTCTTCCATCCTTCATATTTCTTGTGAACTCCTAATTAGATCTAGAGGATTAATGAGATTCATGCTGTTATTATTGTTGGGAAGAATTTATCACCTACATTCATTGTTTTCATTAGGGATTGCAAAATGGTGGTTTTCCTAATTCTCTGATTCCTTCTAAATTCCTTAACTGGAATTATTCTACAAAGTAGAATGTTATTCCATCATTTGTTTCCCTTGAAATATAGTTAGTATAGGAAGGACAGGATAAAGGGATTGAGTTTTCTTCTCTTTTGTTTATCAATTTTCAGAATAATAAGTTGTGGTCTTGGCTGGGCATGGTGGCTCACGCCTGTAATCCTAGCACTTTGGGAGGCTGAGGTGGGCAGATCACAAGGTCAGGAGATCGAGACCATCCTGGCTAACACGGTGAAACCCCGTCTCTACTAATACAAAAAAATTAGCCGGGCGAGGTGGCGGGCGCCTGTAGTCCCAGCTGCTCGGGAGGCTGAGGCAGGAGAATGGCGTGAACCCGGGAGGCGGAGCCTGCGGTGAGCCGAAATCGCACCACTGCACTCCAGCCTGGGCGACAGCAAGACTCCGTCTCTAAATAAATAAATCAATATATAATAAATAAATAAATAAGTTGTGGCCTTATATGACCAGTGATTTGTTTTTCGTTTTGAGTATCATTATGAACTCATGCCTTTTTCTGTATTTTATTTCAAACCATTGAAATCATTATCCTTTTGAAGCTTAAATTTCGTATCTTTCACCAGTAGAAGCTCTTTTGCATTGGCTTCTGTGTTCTTCTTGTATAACTCCAGTATTCTTTGATGTCATCCTTGTTTTCTGGCACAGCAGAGTATTTCAGATGTTCCTTAAACTTTTTCTGTGCCATATTCAGAATCAGGAGCCTTGTTTCTCCTAGTAACTCTGTTTCCTTGTATTGGGAAACAATTGAGACCACAGTATGACCACTAGGGTACTAATTGCTATTGGGCTAACACACTTCTCTCAATAGGTTTTAATAAGGACTGTATTTTGCCTTGTTTATTATCTTGTGCACTTTTCAACTTGTGTTATGATACTTAAAAAAATAAATTTTCAGGAGGCTGAGGCAGGAGAATCACTTGAACCCGAGAGGCCTGAGGTTGCTGTGAGCCGAGATTGCGCCATTGGACTCCAGCCTGGGTAACAGAGTGAGACTCTATCTCAAAAATAAATAAAGAAATAAATTTGTATTTTCTTTTAAATTGTAGGCCTCTTAAAAAGCAGAGATTATGTATATTTAAACTTGACTTTTATATTATGCTTAGTGGCAAAATAACAGCACAAAGTATCTTTATATTCAATTATAGCATACATTTGTAAATTGATGTGGGAAGATAGGATAACATACCTATTCCATTTCTGGTTATTTACTTCATAAACTTTATTGTTGATTTTTTTTCTGAGTAAGAAAAATAAATACTGAGGTTCTGTAATAATTTGCTGAAGAGTGCTATAAATACTCGTTGACAGTTACCTTTGGATGACTAAGGCTCCGAGTCCCAAGACCGTGTCATATAGACAGTCAACTCTTTATTATAATGGAAGCCAGTCCCTTGGATCTTCCAGGAAATTTTCATTTGGTTTAAGGATTTGAGGTTTTTTTTTTTTTTCTCTTGCATATAGGTTGGTCTAATGTTTTAGGAATTCAGAATATTGTAAAATTCCTATTACAGTAAGTCCTCACTTAAGTCTCAGTAGGTTCTTGGAAACTGCAACTTTAAGCAAAACAACGTATAACAAAACCAATTGTTTTTCCTCACCAACGTTATGACAGAATGACTTTGAACTCAATAAGGTTTTTCAAGGACTGAATTACGTTACATGTTGTTTTGCTTAAAGCCCAGAACCTCTCAATGACATTAAATGAGGACTTGCTGTATTTATATTTAGTGTATCTTTTTATCAAAGGAAATCTTCTTAGGATCTTTAAAAGTTTATACATCATTTACTGGCTTCTAATTGGTATATAAATATTTACTTGAGCATAACAAAATGTTTTTCTTTTAAAAGTATTCTGTAGGCCAGGTGCAGTAACTCATGCCTCTAATCCTAGCACTTTGGGAGGCCAAGGCAGGAGGATCACTTGAGGCCCAGGAGTATGAGATCGGCCTGGGCAGCATAGCGAGAGACCCTGTCTCTACAAAAAATAAAAAAATTAGCCAGCTGTAATCATGTGCGCCGGTGGACCCAGCTACTTGAGAGGCTAAGGTAGGAGGATCACTTGAGCCCAGGAGATCAAGGCTGCAGTGAGCCATAATTATGCCACTGTGTTCCAACCTGGGTGACAGAGTGAGACCCCGTGTCTAAGTAAATAAATAAAAAAAAAATATTCTGTAGATCTGATTTCTCATTTATTTTTTATTTTTTATTTTTTTTTGAGACGGAGCCTTCAACTGTTGCCCAGGCTGGAGTGCAGTGGTGCCATCTCGGCTCCCTGCAACCTCCACCTCCCAGGTTCAAGTAATTCTTCTGCCTCAGCCTCCTGAGTAGCTGGGATTACAGGTGTGCTCGTTTATTCTTATGTGTGTTCGCTCCATAGTATGTTCAATCTGACGATGTTGGTTATATTTAAAAATCACTACTTAAGTCAGTGATGAATAGAAAGTTGTTTGGCCCTTCTTTTCCATGTTAGCTCTTTATGCTGCGAGTGATCAGCATCATCTCTTGTACTTTTTCATTTTTCAGTGTACCATCCTGAGTAGAACTGATGTTTTTCTGTTTTTTCCCTTGGATGAGAAGGTAATTAATTGAAGGATTATTTAATTATTTTAAATTTTTCTCCTTTCCATCATCTAAAGTGAGTGGAGGTCCAACTAATACCAAAAAATAACAGAATAAATGTCATTGTTTGATAATGAAACAATTTTATTCTCAGTTGAGATATTTGGGAATTAATTTGTCTTGCCTCATATAAATTCAGGAAAAACTACATTTTTCTTTATAGGTCATGAAGAGGAAATGCTTTTGCTTTGATTTTCAGGGATTTTTTTTTTTACCCTGAAATACTGGTCCTGGATTTTATTTTTGCCTTTTAGGCTACAGAGCACAAGCTGAGAGTTGGTTACTGTTACAGGAGAAGTAACTATTACTGTTACTGTTATAGGAGAGGAACTGCACCTGTTCTGCCTTCCCTGGAGACTTCCCTGAAGTCTCCAGCTACTGCTGCAAAGTATGACTGCTCCTTTTTCCCAGTCATAAGAATAGAAGAAATATGTAATTTCTGGATTAGACAACTGGTTTATCCAGTATAGAAGACTGTGAAAATTGCTCCACAGGGACCTTTTGTGGGAGGGCATAATAGTTACATACTGGGACCTGAAAGATTAGGGATACATCCTTACCCTTCATTCTATCCTTTAACCTTATGTAAACATATAATCTACTCTTTTGTTTATTTCATCCTCTGCATTTTTCTTCTCCTAAAGTAACTTTTTGCTTGTCCTTGTTGATGTTCATTGTTCCACCAAAGGGTGTATGGAGGTCTCTGAGAACTATCTGTTGAATACGTTCATTTTCACGTTTTTCTCCTTGGAAGATGTAACATTATCTGTAGGCTTGAGGATTCGTTTACTCATTACTCTGCTTTCATTTAGAAAAATGACATGTAGAGAATAGGTCTAGATTATTTTAAGGAGCAGAGGTCTATTTCCTTGAAATGGAATAGAATATGTGTGTCTTTGCCTGAAAACACACGTACATATTTATATATGCTCCATATGCACAAAGAACATTTGGAATCACATATAACTCAAGAAGCCCCTGAGGTGATTAGAATCAGAGGAGTCAGAAAAGGAGAAGATATTTTACTTTTTCCCTTTATACCCATTGTATTGTAATGTAATTAAAAGCTATTTTGTGTTGTGAACTTAATGTATACATAGTTGGTAATGGCTGGGTACAGTGGCTCACGCCTGTAATCCCAGCACTTTGGGAGGTTGAGGTGGGTGGATCACTTGAGGTCAGGAGTTCAAGACCAGTCTGGCCAACATGGTAAAACCCCGTCTCTACTAACAATACAAAAATTAGCTGGGCCCGGTGGTGCATACCTGTAGTCTAGCTACTCAGGTGGCTAAGGCAGGAGAATCACTTGAACCTGGGAGGCAGAGGTTGCAGTGAGCCGAGATCGCGTGACTGCACTCCCGCCTGGGTGACAGAGTAAGACTCCATCTAAAAAAAAAAAAAAAAGTTGGTAATATCTTATGTGTCGGGACATCTATACTACTTGTTTGAGTGCTAACGATATGGTAGAACAGTGCTACTGAATGTTAGGCTCGTTGATACTTTATCTTGTTTTAGTATCATTCATATATAACTAATATCCAGTTCGTGCATAAACCCTTCCTCCATTTCACTAATAAACATTTTTAAGAGTGTAAATGGTCACAATAAGAAACTTGAAAATCAACACAACAGAATAAAGTGAGAAGTAAGTTTCCTTTAAGCCCCTCACTTTCTTCCCCACTGTTATCTACTGTTACCGGTTTCCTGTGTATCTTCCAGAAATGTTCTATGCATATTATAATCAGCTCTATATATCTATGTATAGATATATATATACACATATATACGCACACATATAGAAAATCATATATCTAAAATAATATATAATCATCCATATGTTTATATATGTATGTATATATAAAATCCCCCTCCATTACCCACCTTCCACAACAACATATGGAATCAAACTATATATGCTGTTCTGCAACTCACTGTGTCCCTTAAATTCAGTCACTAAGATTTATTTTCTATTCACCTGAATGTTTTGCTGCAAGAGTGATCCTTCTAACATACTAAACAGTTATGTCACTCCCCAGCCTTTAGTAGAAACTATTCATAATCTTCTTTTTCTCATGTAAAGTCCACACACTGTAACATGGCATACAAAACACTGAACCGACCCCTGCCTGCTTCTTCTGCTTTTTCTGTCGAAAATGTTGGGCTTATACCCAGAGTGCTGGTCATCCTGAACTATTTTCAGTTTCTTTTCTTTCTTTTTTTTTTTTTTCTGAGACAGAGTTTTGCTCTGTCGCCGAGGCTGGAGTGCAGTGGCATGATCTCTGCTCACTGCAAGCTCCGCCTCCCGGGTTCATGCCATTCTCCTGCCTCAGCCTCCCAAGTAGCTGGGACTACAGGCGCCCACCACCACGACCGGCTAATTTTTTTATTTTTTTATTTTTTTATTTTTTTATTTTTAGTAGAGACGGGGTCTCACTGTGTTAGCCAGGATGGTCTCAATTTCCTGACCTCGTGATCCACCCTCCTCAGCCTCCCAAAGTGTTGGGATTACAGGCATGAGCCACCGCGCCTGGCCATATTTTCAGTTTCTTAAGGCTTACAGCCTCTCACCTGCAAACTGCTTCTTTTTTCTCACACTTTGGGTAATTCCTGCTTTTTTTTCTTCTTTTAAAAAATGTATAATAGTCCTAATATTTATAAAAGTCCACAGGTCATACAAGATTCAAAGACAAGAAGCAAAGTACAATTAAGAACTTCACTTTTTTTCACATAGATATAATGTCCAAAAGTGTATATGCTTTAAAAAAATTGTGATTCTACTAACTTGCTTTTTCCCTCTTCCTCAATAAGATTATTACAGGATTTATTTTTAATTTTTAATTAAGATCCAGGTTATACAAGTAGTTTAAAATAATGAGTTCTACAAAGTTTGTTAAGAAAAACAGTAGTCCAGGTTCTGGTTCCAGATAAGATGGAGTAAGCGCACTTCACTCTGTCTCTCCCACTGAATGCAGCTAAAAACCTGGGCAAAATTCTTGGAGTGGCTATTTGAGGACTCTGAAAAGTAAATTGTAGGAGACAGACTGGGGAAGAAGACCAAAATTCAAAGTACCATTGAACCAGCAGTGGGTTTACCATTTTTTTCTTCCAGTATACCCCAGCCTGAACTTAATGTATCCTGCAACTTGGAAGTGAGCATTGACATGGACAGAAAATGCGTCGAGAGAAGTCTTCTAGTTCTGACTCAAGGAGGAGGAAAGGGGTCTCCTAATGCCCAGAGAAAGCATGGAAATCCTACATCTTTCTCTCTTTTTTTCTTTTCTTTATTCTCTTATACCCGGGCCTCAAACAGTCCTTGACAGTGGCTGCAGTGGCCTCAATGGGGGCAGGCAAGAGCCTAAAATAGAGGGAGAGGATCCTTCTTCTCAGATGGGAGGAACTGTGGTCTGAAGAGAGTTGGGAAAATCCCCACTGCTTTTTTTCTCCCTCTGCCGTTCTGTTGCTTGGCCCTGCCTGATGTGGGCACAGTCATGGGAAGTACTCTGCAGAGTGGTGTTAGTAAAGCCCCAGAGTTCTGCTGGAAGACTGGAAAAGGGGAGCCCCAGTGAAATGAAAGATTGTAGAAGAGGGAAGAACTTGGAACACTGACCACCTAAAGTTGCTTTTGGACTCCTGAGCTGACCTCCAATCTGTGCATGCATGGGTCCAATCCTAAACAGCATATATGGACTTTGAGAATTGAATTATGGGATAGACCACTGCCCACATCCCAAATGGGAAACCACGTGGGGTACTTATGGAACACATTAAATATAACTGCAAAGGCTTTGAAAACTGAATTGACATTAGAAATACAACCTACAGAAGGCCAGTCAGAACTTGAAGCATGAACTCAACTTGGTCAATTACTGGCTAAAGCAAAAATACCAACATTCTTGGTGGAACTTGAATAAGACCTAGAGTCTCATAACATAATATTCAAAATGTCCAGAATACAACCTAGAATCACTCAGCTTAGAAAGAATCAGACAAATCTGAATTCATATAGAAAAAGATAGAACATAGATGCCAATGCTAGGATCATACAGATGTTAAAATTATATTAAAAAGACTTTAAATCAGCCATTATGACTTTGCTACAAGAATGAGCAGGAAGATAGACAATCTTAGCAAGGGAATAGAAGATATAAAGAACAACTAAATGGAACATTTAGACCCAAGATGTACAATTACAGACATAAAAAACTCACTGAATGGGCTCAATAGCAGAATGGACATGATAGATGAAAGATTCAGTGAACTTGAAAACAGATCAGTAGAAATGATCTAATCTGAACAACAAAGAAAAAACATGTAAAAAAAAAAACAGAGCCTCAGTGACCTATGAGATAATATCAAAACATCTTACATTTGTGTCATCAGCAATCCAGAATGAGACTGAGTTTGGTGCAGCAAAGATATATAAAGAAATAATGACATACAGGCTGAAAAGGAGGAAATAAAACTGTTCCTGTTTGTGGATGACATGATTGTCTATATAGAAAATCCCAAGAATCATAAAAACTTCCTAGAATAAGTGAGTTTAGCAAGTGATACAAGATCAGGCCACAAAAAGCAACCATATTTCTGTGTACTAGCAATGAACAATTGAGAACTGAATTTTAAAAAGTTCAGTAACTCCAAAAGAAGTACATAGTGTATAAATGTAACAAAATATATGCCAGATCTGGGCTGGGCACAGTGGCTCACGCCTGTGATCCCAGCACTTTGGGAGGCTTAGGTGGGCGGATCACCTGAGGTCAGGAGTTCGAGACCAGCCTGACCAACATGGAGAAACCCCGTCTCTACTAAAAATACAAAATTAGCCGAGCATGGTGGTGCATTCCTGTAATCCCAGCTACCTGGGAGGCTGAGGCAGGATAATCGCTTTAACCCGGGAGGTGGAGGTTGCAGTGAGCTGAGATCGCACCATTGTACTCCAGCCTGGGCAACAAGAGTGAAACTCTGTCTCAAAAAAAAAAAAAAGTATATGTATATATTCTGTATGCTGAAAACTATAAAACCCTGATTAAAGAAATAAAAGAAGATTTAAATAAATGGAGAGGCATACCATATTCATTAATTGGAAGGTTCACTATAGTAAAGATGTTGATTCTCCCCAATTGATCTATAGATTTAATGAAATAATAATAAAAATCCCAGCAGTACTTTTTGTAGTTATAGAGAAGCTGATTCTAAAGTTAATATAGAAGGGCAAAGGACCTAGAGTAGCCAAAACAATGTTGAAAAAGAAGAAGAATGTTGGAAAAAAAATCAAATCACATAGAGAATAGATTTTAAGTATTCTTATTAAAAATGTCTTTGTGAGGCATGTTATTAGTTTGAGCCATTCCATCATGTATACATGTCTTCAAAACATCATGTTTATACAATAAAAATGTATAATTTCTGTCAATTAAAAAACACCTAGTGAGACCCGCATCTCTATAAACTAAGAAAAAAAAATAAACTCAACATGGTTGTACATGTCTGTAGTCCCCCGCTGCTCGGGAGGCTGAAATGGGAGGATTGCCAGAGCCCAGGAGTTTGAGTGCACTATGATTGTGCCACCATACTCCAACCTAGGTGACAAAGTGAGATCCTGTCTAAAAATATAAAATATAAGCAAAGAAACTATATGATTTTAAAACGTAGTACAGAACTAGGATAATCAAGACTGTGGTATTGGCAAAGGGATAGACATATAGATCAAGTGGAATAAAATAGAGATTTTGGACATAGGCTGACCCACACAAAGAAGGCCAATAATAATCTACAAAGTTGCAAAGGCAATTTGGTGGAAAACGAACAGTCTTGGTGTTGGAACTATCAGGCATCCTTTTACAAAAGTAATGAACCTCCGCCTAAACTACACACATTATGCAAAAATTTACTTAAGATGTGCCACACATCTAAATGTGAGATATAAAGCTGTGTAACTTTTAGAAGAAAACATGGAGAAGATCTTTGTAACTTGAGTTTAGGCAAGAAGCTTGTCAAATGACAACAAAAGCATGATTCATAAAATTAAAAAATTGATAATTTGGATTTCATTAAATTAAAAACTTTGCTTCCAAAAGACATTATGAAGAGAATGAAAAGACAAGTTACAGAGTGGAAGAAAAATATTTGCAAATCACCTGCAAAGGACTTATTTTCAGAATATATAAAGCACTCTGAAAACTCAACAATAAGAAAACAAACAATTAAAAATATTTAATAAGCTTTTACAGGTACTTCAAAGAAGATATAGAGTGTTAAATCAGTTCATGAAAAGATGTTTAACATGACTAAACATTAGGAGAATGCACAGTGAGATACCACTGCACACCATTAGAATGGCTTAAACTGTACTTCTGACTGGCTGCAACCTGGGGCTCCCTTGATTCCCCCCTCCTTGGGTTTGATTAACGTGCTAGGATGGCTCACAGAACTCAGGGAAACATGTTTACCAGTTTATTAAAAAGGATATTGCAAAAGATACAGATGAACAGCTGGATGAAGAGATGGATAAGTGTGAGGTATGGGGGAGTGGGGAGCTTCTGTGCCCTCTCTGGGTAGGCCACCCCCCCAGCACTTCCACTTATTCAGCAAACCAGAAGCTCACACATCTCATTGTTCAAGAGTCTTTATAGAGCTTAATCTCTAGCCCCTCCCACTCACCTTTCCTGGAGGTTGGTGGGTGAGGCTGAAAGTTCCAATCCTCTCCTCTAAGCACTTTGTCTTTCTGGTGACTGCCCCTGTCCTGATTATATAGGGGCTTCGTCCAAGTTACCTGATTAACATAAACTCAGGTGTTATCAAAAGAGTAATAAATAACAAAGACATTTCTATCACTCAGAAAATTCCACAAGTTTTAGAAACCAGGTGACAAGTACCAGGGACAGAGACTAAATATATTTCATATTATAGTTGGTTGTTCCTGTCAGTGGGTTCCACATCCATGCATTCCACATCTGTGGATGCAACCAACCACAGATTGAAACTATTAGGAAAAAGGCTGGGCATGGTGGCTCACATCTGTAATCTCAGCACTTTGGGAGGCCTAGGTGGGGGTATTATTTGAGATCAGGAGTTTGAGACCAGCCTGGCCATCAGCCTGTCTCTACTAAAAATACAAAAATTAGCCGGGCATGGTGGTGCACGCCTGTAATCCCAGCTTCTTGGGAGGCTGAGGCACGAGAATTGCTTGAACCTGGGAGGCAGAGGTTACAGTGAGATGAGATCAGTCCACTGCACTCCAGCCTGGGTGACAGAGCAGACTGTCTCAAAAAAAAAAAGAAAGAAAAAAGAAAAAAAATTAGGAAAAAAATATTGCGTCTGTACTAAATATGTATAGACTTTTTTTTTTTCCTGTAATTATTTCCTAAACAATCAGTATGGCAACTATTTGCATAGCATTTACATTGTATTAGGTATCATAAGTAATCTAGAGATTATATATAGTCATGCATCACACAACAGCATTTTGTTCAGTGACAGACGGTGGTCCTATAAGATTATAATACTATGTTTTTAGTGTACCTTTTGCACGTTTAGGTACATAAATACTTAACCGTTGTGGTATAACTGTCTATAGTATGCAATACAGTAACATGCCATACAGGTTTCTAGCCTAGGAGCAATAGGCTGTACCATATAGGCCTAGGCATGTAGTAGGCTAGACCATCTAGGTTTTTGTAAGCACACCCTATGATGTTTGCACAGTGACTAAATCACCCAAGGATGCATTTCTCAGCACATATCCCTGTTGTTTTGCAAAGCCTGACTGTATATGGGAGGATGTGCCTAGCTTACATGGAAAATAGTACCCCATCTTTTTTTTTTTTTTTTTTTTTTTTTTTTTGAGATGCAGCCTTGCTCTGTCGCCCAGGCTGGAGTGCAATTGTGCGATCTCGGCCCACTGCAACCCCCGCCTCCCAGGTTCAAGTGATTCTCCTGCCTTAGCCTCCTGAGTAGCTGGGATTATAGGTGCCTACTGCGATGGGGTTTCACCAGGTTGGCCAGGCTGGTCTTGAACTCCTGACCTCAGGTGATCCACCCACCTCGGCCTCCCAAAGTGCAGGGATTACAGGCGTGAGCTACTGTGCCTGGCAGGTACCCCATTTTTTATCAGAGACTTGAGCATTGGTGGATTTTGGTATCCAAGGAAGGTCTTGGAACCAGTCCTCCATGGATACCAAGGGACAACTGTATACCACAGTGGCATATAAGGTTTTAGCTTACTTTTCTTGTCTGATCCTACTTCCCACCTCAGCCCACCTTAACTCGTATCAAGTCCTCTAGCCTGTCAGCTCTATTAATTATTTATCACATGTACTTAGATCCTTTATGACTTTGTGGGTGACCTTTTAGAATACTCTTCTCAAAAACTTGTAAAATCTAGTGATTTAATGCTTATGTGAAGCCTCATAAGCCAAATTTTTGAATCTTCTTTATATCCATAGCAGTTTATGTATAATATTATAGAACTCATACTGTATTACTTTTTTTGTTTACGTATCTTGGCTGTGAACTCTTTGAGGGCATGGATCTTACTTAATTTATCTTGTATTTCTAGTGCCTAGTTTAGTGCTTGGCATATAGTAGGTCGTCCTGTTTCTGTTCTGTCACAGTCTTTCTTTCCCTTTTAGTTTTAATACTTATAGACAAGGTGTTACATGATTTTAAAATCTGTTTCTGTCATTTCTGGGCATAATGGTTAAGAGCAAAGGCTCTGGAATTAAACTGCTTCATGTTCTGGTTGTAATTTTGGACAAAGTAACCTCCCTAGGCCTCTATTTCTGTATTTGAAAAATGGAGAATATAATAATACTTACATTATTGGCAGGATTAAATGCATGTAACATGCTTGATATAGAGACTGGCATAAAATGCTTGCATATTATGTGTGCATATCATGCTTATTTATTTATGTATTTAGAGACAGGGTCTCACTCTGTCACCCAGGCTGGAGTCAGTGGCATGATCACAGCTCACTGCAGCCTTGACCTCCCAGACTCAACTGAGCCTTCCACTGCAGCTTCCTGAGTAGCTGGGACTACAGGCATGTGCCCCCACACCTGGCTAATTTTTGTATTTTTTGTAGAGTTGGGGCCTTGCCATGTTGTCCAGGCTGGTAACTCCTGGACTGAAATAATCCTCCCACCTCAGCCTTCCAAAGTGTTGGGATTACAGGCATGAGCCACTACTCCTGGCCCATATTATGCATGTTTTATTAGCCATTATTCTATTCATTTATTTACACATATTCATTGAGCATTTAAATCACTCTTTACTGTGCCAGGTATTGTGGGTATTGTGCCAGGTACTGTTACAGCCTAGCAGGTTCTTCTTGCCTGCTGCACAGAAAAAGCCAATACACTGAGACTGGTGTTGCAGCAGAGAGTTTAATAATTGCAGTGTGGCTCATTGAGGATGATGTGTGATATTTCTCAAATCTGCCTCCCTGAGAATTTGACAACTGGGTTTTTAAGGATAGTTTGGTGGGCAGGGGGCTAGGGAATGGGCACTGCTGATTGGTTGAGTTGGGGATGAAATCACAGGGGTATTGAAACTATCTTCATGTGCTGAGTCATTCCCTGGGTGGGGGACGCCTGGGTGGTGTCAGTTGGTCCACTAAAAAATATCTCAAACACCAGTCTTAGGTTTCACAATAGCAATGTTATCAGTAGGGGCAATTGAGAAGTTACAAATCTTTTTTTTTTTTTTTTTTTTTTTTGAGACCAAGTCTCTCTCTGTCGCCCAGGCTGGAGTGCAGCGGCGCAATCTTGGCTCACTGCAGCCTCCTCCTCCCGGGTTCAAGCGATTCTTCTGCCTCGGCCTCTTGAGTAGCTGGGACTACAGGCATGCGCTACCATGCCCGGCTGATTTTTGTATCTTTAGTAGAGATGGGGTTTCACCATATTGGCCAGCCTGGTCTCAAACTCCTGAACTCATGATCTGCCCGCCTCAGCCTCCCAAAGTGCTGGGATTACAGGCGTGAGCCACTGCGCCCAGCCAGAAGTTACAAATCTTATCACCACCAGCTAGTGACTCCTGAGTAGTAGGCAATTACAAAAAGGCAAGTTAGGAAACAATGACTAGTTATTATTTATACCTAAACCTTAACAGAATTCAGGCCCCTACCGTAATCCCGTTTTTGGCCTTTCATTAGTTTTATAAAAGCAGTTTCTGTCGCCAGAGAGTGGGTTTGTTTTGAGAAGGGGCCATTGTCATCCTTGCTTTAAAGTTAAACTGTAAACTAAATTCCTCCCATAGCCAGCTTGGCCTGTGTGTAGGGATGAGCAAAGGCAGTTAGCTTGTGATGTTAGAAGCAAGATAGAGTCAGCTATGTTGGATGTCTCTCACTGTTACAGTTTTTGCAAAAGTGTTTTTAGTACCAGAACAAGATAGATACGGTCCCTGTACATGACAGAAAAGTAGTCTTAAGGGATGGATAATACAAGGAAAACACTATTTAACTTATTTTTTATTGTTTCTTTGAAGCTGGAGGACAAGAGTAAGTTGCTAATGACCATCATTTTATCCTTTCATTCTTACTACAATGTAATAGATAACACTATTTTGCAAATATATGTAAAATACATGTTAAGTGATCAACATGTACTGTGTACATTGTGAATTATTGTGTTCTCCATTGCACCCATTCTTGCTAGCTTATACCCCCTTTATAAACAAAAACATAGAGAATGAGAGAACAGTCTTGTAACTGGTTGATAACACAGGTGCAAAAAAATGAGTCTTTTTTTTTTTTTTAGGGGAAGGGGTCTTGCTATGTTGCCCAGGCTGGTCTCAAACTCCTGGCCTCACGCAATCCTCCCACCTTAGCTTCCCAAGTAGCTGGGATTATAGGCAAAGCCACTGCACCTGGCTTTGCTGAGTCTTAATTGTATTTATGTTTTAAGTCAGTTAGGAGGCAAATTTTTTTTAGTGTTTCATCAGTCCACCAAATCTTCATCTTCAAGCTTTGGCCTGTTACTCTTCCTTACTTTCAAGCAAGCTCCTTCAAAGGCTGTCTGCCCTCATATTTCATATTCTCTTTACTCTTTAACCCATTATAAACTGGCTTCTGCCCCTTGACTCACTAATGACTTCCGGTTTATGTTAGTATTTCTCAGCCTTTCTATGTACTTGTCAATGTCCACTTCTGCCCTCATAAAGTGTTCTTCTCCCTTGGTTTCTGTGATACGGCTCTCTCAGTTTCCTCCTATCTTTCAGGCTATTCCTCTATTTCCTTGAGGGACTCTTATTTTTGCTCATGCTTTGAATGTTGCATTTTCTAGGGCAGGCATTGTGGCTCATGCCTGTAATCCCAGCACTTTGGGAGGCTGAGGTGGGAGGATTGCTTAAGCCCAGAGTTTGAGACCAGCCTGGGCAAGATATTGAGACCCTGTCTTTAAAATAATAATAATAATTAATGTTTCATTTTCCAAATTATGTGCTTAAGTTTCTTTTCCTCTTATATTACATTCTTTTACTTGTCAACCTTCCACGTATTGTCCATGAACTAATGGTTCCTCAGTGTACATCTGGAGCTCTGCCTTTTGGTCTTAGCACCAGGCCTGAACTTACAATGTCTACTGAATTCACTTGATTGTCCTAAAATTCAACATTTTAGTATCCCTTAAAATCTATACAGCCTACTATATTCTCATATTTTGATACAACTTTTCATTTAATTTTGCCAATTCTAGTAAAAAACTACATCTTTAATATTGGTCAGATTTATCTTATTTTATCTATCTCTAATCCCCTTATTCTTTCTCGTGGATATTGTAACTATCCCCCAGAGTGACCTTCTCCGCTAGAATTGACACCCTTGTGGTCTACCCGCCTCATTGCCGCCACAGTGTTTTAGTAGTTATTCTTTATCTTAAAATCTTTTCGATACTTCTCATTACCCTGCAGTAGTTTTCAAATCTCTATCCATGCCCTACCTGCTTTAGGATCATTTAAAGAACTTTTGAGGCCCGGTGCAGTGGCTTATGCCTGTAATCTCAGCACTTTGGGAGGCTGAGGCGGGCAGATCGCTTGAGCCCCGGAGTTTGAGACCAGCCTGGGCAATATGGTAAAACCCCATCTCTACAAAAAAATACAAAAATCAGCCAGGTGTGGTGGCACACACCTCTAGTCCCAGCTACTCGGGAGGCTGAGGTGGGAGGATCAGTTGAGCCCTCCAGGAGGCAGAGGTTGCAGTGAGCCAAGATCTTGCCACTGCACTTCAGCCTGGGCAGCAAAGTGAGACCCTGTCTCAAAAAAATAAAAAATAACAACGAACTTTTGAAAAGCTCATATTCTTTATCTTTCTCCACAGATTCTGAATCAATATAGAACTGAGGAATCTTTAAAAAGTTTTCCACTGCCTTCGGGTCAGTGGTGTCAAAAAACAAAAATAAAGTTTTCCGGCTGGTTTTCATAAGTAGCCAGGGTTGAAAAACACTAACCAATATATGTGGCTCAATTCTTTTGGGGGGTCTTTGCATGCTTTTCTTTAATGAGATTTCTGCTGTACCCCTGCTCCCCTCTATGCCCCAGCCAGCACATTTTTGGGTTTCTCAGATGGAACTCAGGTTGAAAATCACTGGGCTAATCCACATCAGTGAGGCCCAGAAAGATTGTTTGTCTTGCTGAAGTCATAACAATGAGTACCATAACATATCTGAAATTCAGGGTTTATATTCCTAACATAGTTCTTTTTTATTGCTCTTCTGTGGCTTCATATGTATTGTATCTGGGCAGGTTGATCTGAATTGACCACTTAATCTTTTCCTCCCTAAATAAGTTACCATACATTTGTTTCCTCATTCATATATTGTTTATTTATTCATTCAAATAGTCATTTATTTGACCACACAAAGGAATAGTACAGTGCCTGGGAGGAGAAGAGGTAGGTAGAAAATTTGAATAATATAAGTTTTCTATCCTTAAGGTTCTCAAGATGTATTTTATATTCAATCATAAAACACTATACAGAAAAGCAAATTATTAATTTTTTAAGAGAAACCATAGTATATTCTTTTCCACTGTTTTCTTTTTTTATCCAGGGAAAGACCATGTTTGTAGATTTATTGGCTGTGGGAGGAATGATCGATTCAACTATGTGGTCATGCAGTTGCAGGTAGGTTACCTTGAAAACGTATCTTTAAATTCTTCAGTTTTGATCAAAGTATACAATTACAGTGAATATGAATAAAAAGTAACAACAATCTTAGTACCATGTGAGAATGTTTTATACTATGCAGATGGAACTGTATTTAAACAGACTTGATACAGATTTTCCAAAAATGAAATAATTGTCTTTGTCCGCTATTTGAGTTGACCTGTATCTTTACTGATTGTCATCTTTGCAGTTTTCGATCCCTGCATGGATGAGGGGATATAATGTGAATCTTGCCCCTTCCACCCTTCATTACCTTAGGGGTTCCAGTTTTCCATTTGTATTCTAAAGTATTGTCTTAGTCTGTTTTGTGCTGCTGCAGAATACCCAAGACTGAGTAATGCATAAAGAACAGAGATTTATTTCTTACCATTCTGGAGGTTGGAAAATCCAAGATCTAGGGACCCATATCTTGCAAGGGACTTCTTGCTGCATCATTCCATAGTAGAAGTTGGAAGTGCAAGTAAGTATGCACATTAGCAAGGAAGGTGAAGAAGGGGTCCCAGCTCATCCTTTTTATCAGGAACCTACTTCCAAGATTACCCCACTTCCACACCAAAATATGTCTCAAAATAAGACATATATATGGCCAAAAAGCATATGAAAGAATGTTCAACATCACTAATCTTTAGAGAAATGCAAATCAAAACCACAGTAAGACACCAGCTCACACCAGTCAGAATGACTATTATTAAAAAGTCAGAAAATAACAGATGCTGGTGAGATGGTGGTGAAAAGGAAACACTTATACACTGCTGGTGGGAATATAAATTAGTTCAGCTACTGTGGAAAGCAGTCTAGAGATTTCTCAGAGGACTTAAAACAGAACTACCATTCAACCTAGCAATCCCATTACAGGGTATATACCCAAAGGAATAAAATCATTCTACCAGAAAGACACATGCACTTATGTGTTCATTGCAGCACTATTCACAATAGCAAACAAGTGGAATTAACCTTACATGCCCATCAATGGTGAACTGGATAAAGAAAATGTGGTACGTGTATACCATGAAATACTACACAGCTATAAAAATGAATGAAATCATGTTCTTTGCAGCAACATGGATGCAGCTGGAGGCCATTATCCTAAGCAAATTAATGCAGGAATAGAAAACCAAATACTGCATGTTCTTACTGATAAGTGGGAGCTAAACATTGAGTACACATGGATACAAAGAGGGGGACAATAGACACCAGGGCCTACTTTGAGGGTGGAGCAAAGAAGGAGGATGAGGGTCGAAAAACTACCTGTTGGATACTGTGCTCACTACCTGTGTGACAAAATCGTTTCCACACCAAACCCCAGCAACACACAATTTGCCCATGTGTCAAACCTGCACATATACCCCCGAACCTAAAATAAATATTGAAAAAGAAAAAAACCATAGCAAGTCTTGTCTACTTGAAACTTAAGCAGTAGTTGAGATAGAGGAGAAATGCCATTCCTTTTTCTTTTTCTTTTCATCAGTAACATAACTCTGTTCCCTGTATATTTTTTTTTTGAGATGGAGTCTTGGTCTGTCACCCAGGCTGGAGTGTAGTAGTGCAGTCTTGGCTCACTGAAACCTCCGTCTCCCAGGTTCAAGCGATTCTTCTGCCTCAGCCTCCCAAGTAGCTGGGAGTACAGCTGTGCTCCACCATGCCCGGCTAATTTCTGTATTTTTAGTAGAGATGGGATTTCATCATGTTGGCCAGGCTGGCGTTGAACTCCTGACCTCAGGTGGTCTGCCTGCCTTGGCTTCCCAAAGCGTTAGGATTACAGGTGTGAGCCACTGCCCCCAGCCTGTTCCCTGTTCTTTAGATGGTAGTGGAGTTAGGTCGAGGGAGCAGAGGAAAGAAATTCAGAAAAGGAATATTGGAATAATGGCTATAGTGGGGAGAAGAGGGAAACCTTTCTATTTTTTCTGACACTACCTCTGACCCTGAAAACACACACATACACACACACACACACACACACACACCCTGAATTATAGTCACCCTCAAAGTTTAAAAACCATGGTTCATCTTGATCTTGCTGCCTAGATCTAGAATTCTCAGTATTTCTTTTCATCTTAAGCAAACGTTGTTTTGGGCATTTGGTTTCTTTATTTTATTTTATTTTATTTTTTGAGACAGAGTCTCGCTCTATCACCCAGGCTGAGTGCAATGGCGCGATCTCGGCTCACTGCAACCTCCGCCTCCCGGGTTCAAGCGATTCTCCTGCCTCAGCTTCTGGAATAGCTGGGATTACAGGTAGTCGCCACCACGCCTCGCTACTTTTTGTATTTTTAGTAGAGACAGGGTTTCACCATGCTGGCCAGGCTGGCATTAAACTCCTAACCTCAGGCGATCCGCCTGCCTCAGCCTCCCAAAGTGCTGGGATTACAGGTGTGAGCCACCGCGCCCAGCAGGTTTCTTTATTTTCTTTCAAGTTATCTAAATAACAGTGATTCTAGAGACATAGATCCTGGCCTAAATGCTTCCTTTTCTCATCAGGAGGCTTTTCTTGTTTCCCTCAGCCATCCTTCAGATTTCATTTAGATTTAAAGATACTAACGTCTGTAGACTATAATCTTAAGGTCTTTCTGAGTCATGTGATTCACTAACTCTTGAGCCAGCCTAGTTTTATTTCCTTAAGCAGCTATCCCTGAACCTTTTTTTTTTTTTTTTTTTTTTTTGAGACAGAGTCTCACTCTGTCACCGGGCAGGAGTGCAGTGGCACAATCTCGGCTCACTGCAACTTCCACCTCCTGGGTTCAAGTGATTATTGTGCCTCAGTCTCTCAAGTAGTTGGGATTACAGGCACACGCCACCACACTTGGCTAATTTTTATGTTTTTAATTAGAGACTGGGTTTCACCATTTTGCCCAGGCTGGTCTCGAACTCCTGACCTCAAGTGATCCACCTACCTCGGCCTCCCAAAGTGCTGGGATTACAGGCGTAAGCCACCATGCCTGGCCTTTTTTTTTTTTTTTTTTGAGATGGAGTCTCGCTTTGTCACCCAGGCTGGAGTGCAGTGGCGTGATCTCAGCTCACTGCAACCTTCGCCTCCCAGGTTCAAGTGATTCTCCTGCCTCAGCCTCCGGTGTAGCTGGGACTGCAGGTGCGCGCCGCCACACCTGTCTAATTTTTGTATTTTTAGTAGGGACGGTTTCACCATGTTGGCCAGGCTGGTCTTGAACCCCTGACCTAAGGTGATCTGCCCACCTCGGTCTCCCAAAGCCCTGGGATTCTAGACGTAAGCCACCGCGCCCAGCCTCTGAACCTTTTTAGATCATTAATTTGGATCCTGCTTTCTCTCATTTTGGCTAGTAATAATATAACTTTTTGTGTGACATTTTATAGTTTTCATCTGGATTTATCATCTTATTTGATCCTCATTATACCCCCATGGGGAGGAGAGAACAAGTTTTATCCCTCTTTTGTACATGGAGAAGCTGAGTCTCAAGGAGGTTTGTGATTTGTCTGGTACTAGCCTACTTGATGGGTATTAAAGCTTGGTGGAAGCCTGAACCCAGTATTCTTTAGGCAGTAATAAGAGAAAACTGTTTTGTCTCAGGTTACTATTGACTGGAGAATTATATAAAGCAGCTTTTTTTCTTTAGTCTGCAGAGTCTTTCTGAGTCTTAGCATATATTCATTTTCATTCTTGTACTTACCTAAATCTGACTTTCTGTAAATGGGAAGGCTCCTGGTACTGGGAAACCTAAGAGACTGGTGTATATTAGGCAATGATGACCTTTGTGGCCTTTGGCAAGTTCCTATGGATTTGTCTAAGAACTTTTCCATTTGAATTGCATGCTATATTTTTTTCCTGTCACAAGAAAGTTAACCCATTTAAACTCCCATCTGTACAGTTTGTGGCTGACTTGATTTGGGATTAGGCTAAAGCTGGTATAACCGCTAGAGCATATTTTCTCTTATTTGACATATGGAAGATAACTACTGGGTCTCCTCCATGTATTCAGCTTCCCACAGAGAGTCCTAATTTATTCTAAAAACCATAAATTCATTATTCTTAAGATAAACTTGTTCTTTTCCTCCTGCTGATTCAATTACATAATATCTGCCTTAAAAATTTTTAAGGAACAACCTTATCTCTGTTGTAGAAATTCTATTTGCCATTAAAATGTTTTTTAAAATCTTACAGAGCTCAAGCAGTTGTACACATTTTTTTTTTCTGAATTCCCCTTACAAGACCTTAGCCAGGTCTCACCTAGTATTTTGTCACCACTGAAGCTTTATATGAGCATCTTTAGTATAACCAAAGTGTGATATATTGTGATAAGTACATCAACTACAGAGGTGCAAAACATTTTTTCAAGTGCTGTAACCAGTACAACTGTAGGTCTAGATTGCCTAACACCTACTACCTTTTAAAAGCTTTTTATTATGGGAAAAATTAAACATACACAAAGTAGAGAGAATAGTATAATTTACACCCATCTACTCATTACCCAACTTCAACAACTATCAGTATATGGCTAATCTTGTTTCAAGTATTTTCTCTTTCTCCTGTCCCTCCCGAAATTAATAGCTAATCCAAGGCATATTTTATCTATATATACATTTCTAGAAGACAAGAACTCTTTTTTTTCTTAAAGTAACCACAATACCTAATAATAATTCCTTAATAATAACACAAATATCAAACCAATCTTCAGTTTCAATGATCGTCCATCTCTTTAATAAATATTTTTTTTTTTACATTTGGTTTATTTGAATTGAGTTCCAAATAGGGTTCACACATTGCTTATCTCTTAAGCCTCTTTTAATCAATTGGTTCACCCTCTGTCTTTTATTTTCTTGCAATTTTCTTTTCATTGTGTTTATTGTTGTTGATAAAAATGGAGGAATTTGACATGCACACATTACCATATTCTGGATTTTGCTGGTTGTTTCCCTGTGGTTGTCTTTAATATGTATTTCTGTCCCCTGTATTTTCTATAAATTGATGATTATATAAGATTCCAGTTTTACTTTGCAAGGATACTTCAGAGGTGGGTTGTATGCTTCCTCTTGAATCACATCAGGAGGCAGTATCTGGTTGTCTGTCTTTCAGTGAGGTTAAGATTGGTCAGTGAGTTCAGCATTGTCAGTCTGATCCATCCATTTTAAAGTTACCAGTGGTTTTTCTCCTAATGGTTTTATCAACCCATTTGTAATCATCATCCATTATTTTAATGGGGGTTGCAAATACAGTGTTCTATCATTTTATTCTTCTTTTGTTTACTAGAATTCTTCTTCAAAACCACTACATTCACTATTAGGTTATCCTCAAGTATATTTTATATAGGAAAGGCAGGACTACTACTTGATTATTTTATTTATCAGTTTTTAGAATAATGAATTGGTTCCCTAATATAAACACATAATAAATATATAACTATATAATAAATCCATAAATTCATGGATTTAACATGTTTGATGTCTTTCAATTATTGCAGTTTTATTTTTTTGAGACGGAATCTCACTCTGTTGCCCAGTCTGGAGTGCAGTGGCACGATCTTGGCTCCCTGCAACCTCTACCTCCTGGGTTCTAGCGATTCTCCTGCCTCAACCTCCCAAGTAGCTAGGATTACAGGCTCATGCCACCATACCCAGCGAATTTTTTTATTTTTAGTAGAGATGGGGTTTCCCCATGTTGGCCAGGCTAATCTCAAACCCCCAAAGTGCTAGGATTACAGGTACCTGGCCTACGGTTTTTTTAATATTCAAATTGTCTCATCTTTTGCTACAGGGGCTTCTTTCATGTTGGATCTGGATTCATTTTGTTAGGACTAGGCTGCAGCAGTCTTTGATAGCATCCTTATTTTTTGGTGCCACACTGAGTACCAGACTCATTCTGTATATTTCATACTCCAGATCTGGAATCAGCCATTTCTCCGTTAAGCCTTGGCTCCTTTTAATGGGAAATGATGTTTAGAGACCAAATTCTAGATGATGTGGGTGTCTGTTGAAAGTGAGTTGGTCATTATTTTTAATTCTTTTCAAGTGGATGGATTTAAGAAATACATTTTAAAAAATGAGAAATTATGCCATGGTTCATATCGATGTTTCTAATTCAAATTTACAATGATATAATTGCTAATAACTTCTACTTACATTTTTATCTCTTTCCTTTTATACACCCCCCCCCTTTTTTTTTTTTTGAGATGGGGTCTTGCTCTGGTTGGAGCACAGTGGAGTGATCACAGCTCGCTTCCGCCTCTACCTCCTGGGGTCAAGTGATCCTCTTACCACACCTTCCTGAGTAGCTGGGACTACAAGTGTCTGCTACCATGCCCAGCTAATTTTGTTTTGTTTTGTTTTGTTTTGTTTTTTTGAGACAGAGTCTCTCTCTGTCGCCCAGGCTGCAGTGCAATGGCGTGATCTCGGCTCACTGCAACCTCCACCTCCCGGGTTTAAGTGATTCTCCTGCCTCAGCCTCCCGAGTAGCCTGGACTACAGGCACGCGCTGCCAACACGCCCAGCTAATTTTTGTATTTTTAGTAGAGACGGGGTTTTACCATGTTGGCCAGGATGGTCTCGATATCTTGATCTCGTGATCCGCCTGCCTTGGCCTCTTAAAGTGCTGGGATTGCAGATGTGAGCCACCATGCCTGGCCCTAACTTTTTAATATTTTGTAGTGATGAGGTCTCAGTATGTTGCCCAGGCTGGTCTTGAACTCCTGGGCTCAAGTGATCCTCCTGCCTTGGCTTCCCAAAGTGTTGGGATTATAGATGTGAGCCACCACACCTGGCCGACAATTTTTAATGTATATAGATGAAATTATATGGTTAGAATTTACATGAAAATAATTCAGTACATGTGGGTGGGAGGGGAGAGGATATGGATGGGGAGGTGAATAATAATGAAACAAGACTGGCCATGAATTGATAATTATTAATTCTGGGTGACCAGTAGATACATGAAGGTTCATTATATTATTTTTTCTCCTTTTGGGTATGTTTCATGTCTTCAATTTAGCA
This sequence comes from Homo sapiens, assembly GCF_000001405.40. Lineage (NCBI taxonomy): Eukaryota > Metazoa > Chordata > Mammalia > Primates > Hominidae > Homo > Homo sapiens. The sequence goes on along the minus strand of NC_000015.10, from coordinate 42,833,363 downwards.
ATTCACTTGCATTTTTATTGAGATCTTGTAAATTTATAGAGAAATGAACTTGCTTCTTTTATTCATTCCACATTACTATATATAGTCCTCTTCCTTTTTTTTTTTTTTTTTTTTTTACAAAATTTGGTGGCTTGTGACATTTTATTTTATTTAAAAGATTTTTATTTTAGGTTTGGGGGTACATGTGAAGGTTTGTTACATAGATAAACATGTGTCATGGGTTTTTTTTTGTATGTAATATTACATCACCCAGGTATTAAGCTCAGTACCCACTAGTTATCTTTTCTGCTCCTCTCCCTCCTTCAATCCTCCCCGTCCAGTAGACCCCAGTGTCTGATGTTTTCTTCTTTGTGTTCATAAGTTCTTGATTCTTCATTTTTTGAATGACTGCATATCAGTCAGTAAGATGACTGTACTATTATTTATGTAACTATTCACTTATTAATGTACTTACAATAGTACCCCCTTATCTGAGGAGATACTTTCTAAGGCCCCAAGTGGATGCCTAAAACCACAGATCATACTGAACCCTGGACATCTGGGTAACTGATTGGGCCACTAAGTGATTAATGGGCAGGTAACAACATGTGGATACGCTGGACTAAAGGGGTGATTCACGTCCTGGGCCTGACGGAGCAGGATGGTATGAGATTTCATCACACTACTCAGAATGGCCTGTAAAGTAAAACTTATTAACTGCTTATTTCTGGCATATTCCATTTAATATATTCGGACCACGGTTGACTGTGGGTAACTGAAACCAGCAAAGTAAAACCATGGATAAAGTAAAACCATGTATAACCATGGACTATTGTATAGGGTGTTTTCGGTTTTTCTTTGTAACAAATAATAATTCATTAGCAGTATTTAAAGTATAATTTAGTGCGTACCTGCATGTTTTTACCATGTTAATAACACTTTACCCCATACTCTTATCAGTTTTGTGTTTACCTTCTCAGATTTTGTGAGTTGATATGTTAGGCTTATATTTTAAAATATTTAAATCTTTTAAAGTATTACTAATGTCATAAATAAAATTTAATTGATTTCCTTTTGAAAGTTTTTGTGGTGAAAGCTGTTTACAAATAAAATTTCAATTTTAGGTATATTTTCGGCATCACAATTTTGATTTTTGAAGAAAAAACTATTGGAATGCTAATAAAAGTTATTAGGTACTCTCATGTGGTTATACAGTTCACTGCTGTAGACTGTCACTTATTTAACGTTCGCTACAGGTGCAGGGAACAACAAATTTCCATTAAAAATAATAACTATGGTAAATCCCAATTAATTTATATTATGAGAAAGCTGCATTTAAAAAAGAAGGTACGAAGTATGAAAGGATCCTGACTTTACTGTAACTTTTAAACTGTTACTTGAGGAGTACTTCGTATTTTATTTTGAATAATATTAATCTAAGAGTTTATTACTTTTCAAAAGTGAATCAATTGTCTTTAGATGAAGTGATGATATTAGTCACATAGTACCCCTAAAGATATATTATAAAATTGTGGGAATAGATTGGGATATTTAAATCCCCTTGCGATAGGAGAGCCAGTCTTTGGGAGGTAGTGCTGCAGGGCCATGGTCCTGCTCTCCTTTTCAGATTACTGGTTTGTTACCTAAGCAGCAAGGAACCTTGGTGGAGCAGCATCATGAAAAAGTCTGTAGAAAAGCTCTGTGAAAGAGGACTGTAAAAGAAGAGCACTTTGGGGTCAGAGTTAGATTTGGAAAACAGCTTTACATTAACAGATTAACATTATTTAACCTCTTTGAACCTCAGTTTCCTTATCTGTAAAACAGACACAGGAACAGCTTCTATTTAGGGTACTGTGAAGCTTCAGTGCAATCATGAATGGCAGACGCTGGATGTATTCATTGCTTTTATATACTTCTACAAGTAAATTGAATGTTTGTCATATAATGTTTGGTCATAATAACAATAGTTAGCATATGTTGAGTACCTGTTGTGTACCACACAGTATTCTAAAAACTTTATATGGGGCCAGGCATGGTGGCTCACACCTGTAATCCCAGCATGTCAGGAGGCTGAGATGGGAGACAAGGAGTTTGAGACCAGCCTGATCAACATAGCGAGACTCCATCTCTATTTAAAAAACAAAAAACACACAAAAAAACTTTAAATATAGGTCTTGTTTAATCCTCACAGAGCTCTGTGAGGTAGGTTTTATTAGCTTGTTTTTATGAGGAAACTGATTGAAGAAAGTTAAGTAGCTTGTATGAGAATATATGTTAGGCAGTAATGAGGAATTAGTGCCCTTTGTATGTATATGCATTCTATATACTTGATCACACACACACACACACACACACACACACATATATACATTTTTTTTTTGAGATGGAGTCTCGCTCTGTTGCCCAGGCTGTAGTGCGGTGGCGTGATCTTGGCTCACTGCAACCTCCGCCTCCCTGGTTCAAGTGATTCTTCTGCCTCAGCCTCCCGAGTAGCTGGGACTACAGGCGCGTACCACCACACCCGGCTAAATTTTTGTATTTTTGGTAGAGACAGGGTTTCACCGTGTTAGCCAGGATAGTCTCAATCTCCTGACCTCATGATCCGCCCACCTCAGCCTGCCAAAGTGCTGGGATTACAGGCGTGAGCCACTGCTCCTGGCCTGATCACATATTTTAAATAAATAAATATAAATGTAAATAATATAAATTATATATTTGATTACTTATATTTTAAATAATCAAGACTTTTTTGTTATGACTTCAGAGATAAAGGGAAACATGAATCAGAAACATGATATGCTAAAAATCTGGTTTTTCTAAAACTTGTCTGAAACATTCGTGTGATTAAGAGATCTGTTGAGTGAGAGGATCACAATTTGGGTAAAATTCTTGCTATTGGCTGGGTGCAGTGGTTCATGCCTGTAATCCCAGCACTTTGGGAGGCTGAGGCAGGTGGATCACCTGAGGTCAGGAGTTCGAGACCAGCCTGACCAACATGGTGAAACCCTGTCTCTACTAAAAATAGAAAAATTTGCTGGGCATGATGGCATGCACCTGTAACCCCAGCTACTCGGGAGGCTGAAGCAGGAGAATCGCTTGAACCCGGGAGGTGGAGGTTGCAGTGAGCCGACATCGCACCATTGCACTCCAGCCTGGGCAACAAGAGTGAAACTCCCTCTCAAAAAAAAAAAAAATTCTTGCTATTTTGCTGAAAACATCTTTTAATGGTAAGTGAGTAGTTTCCCAGTCTTCTCTTATACTATAGTTTTAGTACTGTATTTGAAAGTGTTTATTTGATTTCCATAGGGTCGGAATCTGGCAGATCTTCGCCGTAGCCAGTCCCGAGGCACATTCACCATTAGTACCACTCTCCGGCTGGGTAGACAGATTTTGGAGTCTATTGAAAGCATTCATTCTGTGGGATTCTTGCATCGAGACATCAAACCGGTAGGGACCTTTTCTATCCAGAGCACAGAATGAGTTTGATACTTTTAATGTTATGATGGGACACAATAAATTACAAATGTAGCTTTGTGTATTTGCTGTGGTAAAATACAAGGTAATATTTTCATTCCAATAGAGACCTGGAAGCAAAAATATAACTTACCTGTTAATTTTTTTAAGTGATAATTACAACTACAACTTATTTTCAGGAGTTTTTCTCATACAGTGAAAATAAAAACTGAGACTGGGGCAGTGGCACATGCCCATAGTCCCAGCTACTCAGGAGGCTGAAGCAGGAGGATTCCTTGAGTACAGGAGAGGGAGAGTACAGTGAGCTATGATCGCTCCTGTGGATAGCCACTGCACTCCAGCCTGGGCAGCATAGTGAGACCCTGTCTCTTAAAAAGCTTTATGTTTGACTATTATTATGTGTGCTAACATTGCCAGTTACTTAACCTTATGCCTAAATTGGCATTATTCCCTGGTTTCTTTTATAGATATATTGGTTAAGAAACTATATATGTTGCTTTTAGTTGTTCATACTGTGTTCTTGAACTATTTGTTAAGTCAAAAATTATAAGAAATCATCAGTTGTGAAAGACCTTATTTTTCTCCTGACTGCTACTGTGGAAATATAGTGGGGTTTTTATTTGCTAATCTGTTTGTCTTAGAAATTGTCATTTCCATAAGTGTGAAATAGGCTTTTTTGTCCTTTTTGGTGTTTGATTGTTCATTAGGTGAAATGACCGATTTCTGATATACCATATTTACTATAAATGTATCATATGTTGGTACAGTTGAAAAGTATAACCGTCAGTTGTTACATGACTTCTAAAATTAGCTTACATGAAAATGCTAACTAAATTTAACGTAGTAGAGTCAGTCTATTTCTATGCATCATTATTTGAGAACTATGGTACTTGGAAGAGTTTCTATTTTTATCAGAAAGCCCCTAAGTAGAACAATATTAAAACAAAACAAAAAAAACTAACAATTCTGGTAACAATTTGGCTTTTACCGTCACAAGTCCTCTTACTTACATACTCATCTTTGCATTTGTGGTCATTTAATATCACACTGATTTTCATTAGGGGAAGAATACAAAGTGTATTTTCCTTAAGTCTGTTTTGAAATGTTTCTATAGATTGTATTTTAATTTTGGACTTAGTGAAATTCAGCTTTATGATGCTTATAGGAAAATCTTTTTTTTTTTTTTTTGTGACAGAGTCTCACTCTGTCACCCAGGCTGGAGTGCCGTGGCGCAATCTCAACTCACTGTAATCTCCGCCTCCTGGATTCAAGCAATTCTCCTGCCTCAGCTTCCTGAGTAGCTGGAATAACAGGCGCGCGCCACCGCACCCGGTTAATTTTTGTATTTTTTTTTTTTTTAGTAGAAACGGGGTTTCACCATGTTGGTCAGGATGGTCTCAAACTCCTGACCTCGTGATCCACCCACCTCGGCCTCCCAAAATGCTGGGAGTATAGGCGTGAGTCACCGCACCTGGCTGCTTATAGGAAATTCTTTTAAATTTCTACGGGGTTTTTTTTTTTTTTGGTCCATCTCTGATTTCTCCTATTTTAAAAAGTAGGGATTGGGCTGTCATTTAAGCATTAACTTAGACTAGAATTTCAAGAACTTAGAGTTCCAAGTCTAGTTAATGTTGTCTTGTGTGTAACCTTAGTCATTTACATCCTTTTTTGCTCAAAGTTTACCTGATATTAGGCACTAATAGAACCCAAAACTAAATCATATTTTAATACCACTAAACATCATTTACTAGAATAGTATATTTGGAACATGTGTGTTATATAGAGCTTAAATAGAAGAAGACTTAAAATGTAAGAATGATAAAATGTAAGGACTAAGTATTATAAGAATGTATATATTTTCCTTCTTTATTTTTCTAGTCGAACTTCGCTATGGGTCGCTTTCCTAGTACATGTAGGAAATGTTACATGCTTGATTTTGGCTTGGCTCGACAATTTACCAATTCCTGTGGTGACGTCAGACCAGTAAGATTTTTCATATTATTATCAAATATTTGATAATTACCCTGGTATTTATAGTATCACACTTTTTAAACAATGCTAATTATTTATCCTAATGGATGTTATCTAAGAAGTGGCATATACATTTAATGATTAAATTATAGAATGACAATAAATTTTATTGTTGAAATTTGTGGCTTCAAAAAATGTATATTAGAGGGAGATTTAGAGTGGTCTTATAGTAAGAACACACATTGACCCTTTGAGATTAGGGGTCATTTTTGCAGTATGAGACCCTTTCTACATGCTATAATTCTATTTCGGTTATTGTACTTTTTAATCCACTCCCAAATATCCACTTCACTGATATTCTCTATTTGGTGCCACACTGTCATCACATTTTCTTTTACTTGTTTAATCAAGCTGTCCTTTATTTCTGAAAACATATCTATAATGGCTACTTTGAAATCTTTTTCTGTTAAATCCAATATCTGGTCACTCTCACAGGCAGTTTCTGTTGCCTGCCTTTTTCCCCCTATGTGTAAGTCATACTTTCCTGTTTCTTTGCATGCCTCATGATTTTTTGTTGGAAACTGGGCATTTTAGGTAATATATTACAGCAACTCTGGGTACTGGTCTCCCCCTTCTAGGGCTTGTTGTTATTTTTTGTTTAGTGTCCGACAGGATCATTTTAGTGAAATCTATTCCGTTCTTCCTCCCTCCCTGCCAACCATACACACAGTATTAAGACTCTGCTGTTGCTCTTCAGGGTGGTGCGTCTTTGGGTATGACCACAATTACACTGTGATGGTAGTGGTACCAGTAAGGCTCACTTCTGCTCTTTCCTTGGCCACATCCAGCTGTTGAACTTCACTAATTGCAAGCCAGTTACTTTATTGTTTATGACAATATCTTGGGGGCATAAATACCTTGACTAATTTAATCAAATTGTGGCTTCTAAAATGGAATCATTTCTGAAGTCAGTGTTTGATCATTGTTCTGACGTCAGGTCCTTCAGCTATCTTTTCCCCCTAGTTCTCTCCTGCCCAGCTATTCTCTAAGCTGTATGTTCAGTGAATTTCCTCCCAGTTCCCTTTACCACAACCTCTATTTTTGATAGGGCTTTTAGGTTTGTTAAAAAGAAAACATTAGGCAAACTAAATTGAACAGAGTTTAGTTGAGCAAAGAATGATTCATGAATCAGGTAGCCCCGAGAATAAGAATAGGTTCAGAATGACTCCGGGGCTGTCACATGGTCAGATAACATGTCTGAACATAAAAAGTAAAATGAGTACAGAAAATTTGAGGTACAGAAACAGCTGGATTGGTTATAGCTGGGCATTTGCTTTATTTGAATCTGTTTTGAACAGTTGGCTGATGTGGTTGGCTGAGACTTGGCTATTTGTTACAAGAGTAGTTTACAGTCTATTTACACATCAAGTTAGGTTACCATCAGTACCTGTAGGCCAGCCATAAAACATGTACAGAGGCAGTTTTAGGCCAAACTTAATTTAGCAATAAAACCGTAAGGCATTGATGTCACTCTGTCAATATCGTAAATGGACTTATTTGGTCTCCTTATGGGATTCAAATGAGACCAAGTCTTATTTGGTCTCAGCTCCTGTCTGTTTTGGGATCTGTCTCCTTCTTTAAAGTTTTGGTTTGATGAAATTAATAATAAATCTAAAATAAAAAATAAATATAAAAATAAAAGTTAATGTCATACTTTTTTGGATTGTGGTTGAAATAATTTTCTCATATTCTACTAATGTAAAATCAAAAGTTCCCATTGTAGATTTGTTTCATATGTACAATTATTTATTTATTGCTAGGAAACTTGAATTGGTTGTTTGGACTGTCTAAGTATACCGTCATGTTATCTGCAGAAATCTGTATTTTGATTTTGTTTATTTTGTCTTGCTATATATATATATATTCCAAAAGAGTGTAAAAAACATTAAAAAATTAAGGAAGAATAACAAAACATCACTGGCCTCCATCTAGGTTAAGAAATGGCATGTTACCGTCTTAGAAGCATGCTGTGGGTCCTTTCCTGATCATATCCCTTTTTCTTCCTCAAGCAGCACTGACAAATACAGCTTACTATGATGATAGCAATGTTCTGTATCTGTACTGTCTTATATGGTAGCCACTAGCTACATGTGGCTATAGAGCACTTGGATTGTAGCCAGAGCAAATGAGGAACTGAATTTTATTTTATTTTATTTTATTTTTTCGAGATGGAGTCTCGCTCTGTCGCCCAGGCCAGAGTGCGATGGCGCCATCTCGACTCACTGCTACCTCCGCCTCCTAGGTTCAAGTGATTCTCTTGCCTCAGCCTCCCCAGTAGCTGGGACTACAGGCGCCCGCCACCACACCCAGCTAATTTCTTTTTGCGTTTTTAGTAGACATGGGGTTTCACCATGTTGGCCAGGCTGGTCTTGAACTCCTCACCTCAAGGGATCCACCCTCTTTGGCCTCCTGAAGTGCTGGGATTACAGGCATGAGCCACCACACCTGAACTCAGGCCCAGGAACTGAATTTTAAATTCAATTAATTTTAAGTGGCTATCATATTACCCAGTGCAGCCCTTGACATACTCTCCATTCTATATTTTGTGTTAACTAATTTCTTTGTTTTCTTTCTTCTCTCTTCTGCAGATCTTGAGGGTACTTGTTTTGGAGTTAGGGAGCAGATGCAGATAGCTGCCATGACAGGCCTTCATGTTTAGCTTATAAATTTAACCCAATCTACTTCTAATTTTTTTATCCAGTGCCTCTCTCCCTCTTCCCTCTCATATTCCTTTCCCTCTGCTTTTTACATTTATTATTATTATTTAAAGAGACAGGGTCTTGTTCTGTTGCACAGGCGGGAGTGCAGTGGTAAAATCAAACCCATTGTAGCCTCAAACTACTGGGCTCAGGTGATCTTCCTGCCTCAGCTTCTCAAAGTTCTAAAATTACAGGTGTGAGCCACCGTACCTGGCCTCCTCTGCTTTTTTATTATTTTATTATTATTATTATTTGCTTTTTCCCCTGATTTGATGTATATTGTTGTCATTTTTTATTATTATTTTTCATTTCTATTTTGGGTTTGGGGCACCTGTGCAAGTTTGTTATATAGGTAAACTCATGCCATGAGGGTTTGTTATATAGAGTATTTCATCACCTGGTTACTAAGCCTAGTACCCAATAGTTATTTTTTCTGCTCCTTTCTTTCCTCCCACCCTCCATCCTGAAGTAGTCCCCAGTGTACATCGTTCCCTTTGTGTCTACGAGTTCTCATCATAACAGATACTGTTTTATTATCACAGTAAATACCCTGTTGGCTGATCAATATGTAATAGTAGTTGGTCTGTTAATTGAAAAGATTCATTAAGGATGAAGAATCATGACATATTACTTTAAGCATTTTTTATATTTTTCTTTGTTTTCTAAGTCTTTTTGTTTTCAAGTAGTTAAGACTCATAAGAAGTTACAAAAATAGTACAGTTACCGTGTACCTTCATCCAGCTTCCTCCAGTGATAATACCTTACATAATCATAGTACATTGTCAAAACTGGGAAATTGATGTTGGTATAATATTATTAACTCAAGTACAGACTTAGATTTTACCAGGTTCAACATGCACGTTTTGGTGGGGGAGGGGTGGTATATGAAATTTTATCACATGTATAGATTCATATAACCAACTGCTATAGTTTGAATATTTGTCCCATCCAAATCTGATGTTGAAATTTGATTCCAGTGCTGGAAGTGAGGCCTAATGGGCAGGGTTTGGGTCGTGGGATGGATCACGCATGAATAGATCACTCCCCTCCCTTGGGAGCGGAGGGGTCGTGAGTTCTCACTCTGTTAGTTCTTATGAGAGCTGATTGTTAAAAAGAGCCTGGCACCTTCCCCCACCTTCTTGCTTCCTTTCACACCATGTGACCTCTGCACATGCCTCCTCTGCTTTGCCTTCTACCATGAATGGAAGCAGCCTGAAGCCCTCACCAGAAGCAGATGCTGGTGCCATGTTTCTTGTACAACCTGCATGCAGAACTGCGAACCAAACAGACCTCTTCTTTATAAATTTTCAGCCTCAGGTATTCCTTTATAGCAAGGATGCCCAATCTTTTGGCTTCCCTGGGCCACATTGGAAGAAGAAGAATTGTCTTGGGCCACACATAAAATATACTAACAATAGCTGATGAGCTAAAAAAAAAAAAAATCACACAAAAAAAATAATGTTTAGGAAAGTTTGTGAATTTGTGTTGTGTTGTGTTCAAAGCCATCCTGGGCCACATGTTGGGCAAGCTTGTTTTGTAGCAGTACAAATGGACTAAGACATCAACACCATAATCCAGATACAAAACTATTCTATCACCACGAAAGAACTTCCTCAAAACATAAATGTATATTTATTTACCAATCTTGTGGTATAGGACCATCAGTCAGAAGGCATTACAGAGGGAATGATGGAGTGTATCTGTTATACCAGTGTGGTGTTTACGAAGTTGGTTTTGACAGCCTCTACTCTTTATCACCTTTAAGATGTATTAGTTACATTAAGTAGGGTTGTGAGGGGCAAAGAAGTCCTAAACTATATATATATATGCAACACTTTGATTCATAATTTCATAGTTGAACTTCTGTTTACCTAATGATTTGAATCTGCCTGTTCATTTTTTGTATGTATCCTGCTTTTAAGGCATTCCCCAGTTTCAGCCCTTCAGCTGGCATCTCACACTGGCCCTTTGTGTCTAAGCTCTTGGAGTGACATGTTTTCTCGTTGCTCCCTTCCTAACCATTCACCTGAAACTTCCAGTGCCTAGGATTGTAGTAACTTACATAAGAAAAATGTTTAAAGTCTTTTTTCTCTGTTAGTATTTCAGAATTTAGCTGAATTTGAGATATTTTCTTAATTCCATTGGGAGTAGTTGTATTACATAGTTCTCCTTGAATTTTTTCCCCTGATCCTTTCCCTTTTGTTAGCAATAGGCCAGGGCTCATTCCTAGAGTCATTCTCTTCTTTCTTGATTTATTCTCCTAGGAGTTCATCCCATCTCTAACATACATTCCCTCCTTTACATTCACACTGCTTCTGTCCTTGTACTAATTTTGTTGTTTCTTGTTTTAATTGTTAAAATAGTTTCCTCACTCATCTCTCTGTCTTCTCCTTTCAGGCTATCTGTTATACTTCCACCAGAGTCAACATCCATCCAGAGCATTTTCTCAATTGTTACTTTCCAGCTTAAAAATATTTTATGAATTCCAATTACCTACTGTTATAAGCCAAATTAAAGAAGACCTTAATTTGACATTTAAGTCCTTCCTTAATCTGACTTCAACCTATTTTTCTGTTTTTTTTTCTCTCATGGTCTGCTGCAGTCATATCAGATTTGTTTCTCTAACACCAACAGTACTTTCCTCCCTCTTTGCATTGTTCACTATGTTCTTTTTACTTAAAATGCATCTCATTTTTTCTGTTGTAATTCTGTCAGCCCTTCAAGGCCCGGTTTATTTTTTCTTTTTTGTTTTCATTTGAATATCTAGGTATCAAATAAAATATGCTCATAGATTGTTAAATACTTTCACTTTTTTACTTTCTTTTTCTTTCAAAATGTTTTTAAATATAAATTTCAAATAGATAATATATTCATGTGATGCAGAAATTAAAGAATTAAAAATATATCAAAACTAAACACTTATACTCTTTGAAAGACATTGTTAAGCAAATGAAAAGACAAGTCACAGATGGGGAAAAATATTTGCAGAACGCACATCTGATAAAGGTTTTATATCCAAGATCTGTAAACAACTCATACAACTCAATAAAAAGAAAACAACACAATAAAAATGGACTAAAGATTTGAATAGACATTTTATCAAAGAAGAGATACAAATGGCAAATAAGCATGTTAAGAGATGGTCAATATCATTAGTTATTAGGGAAATGCAAATTAAAACCCTGGCAAGAGGCTGGGCATGGTGGCTCACACCTGTAATCCCAGCACTTTGGGAGGCCAAGGCAGGCAGATCACGAGATCAGAAGATTGAGACCATCCTGGCTAACACGGTGGAACTCCGTCTCTACTAAAAATACAAAAAATTAGCTGGGTGTGGTGGCGGGCACCCTGTAGTCCCAGCTACTTGGGAGGCTGAGGCAGGAGAATGGGGTGAACCCGGGAGGTGGAGCTTGCAGTGAGCCAAGATCACGCCACCGCACTCCAGCCTGGAGACAGAGTGAGACTCTGTCTCAAAAAAAAAAACAAAAAAAAAACAAAAAACAAAAACCCTGGCAAGATACCACTGCCTACCAGTTAGAATGGTTAAAACAAAAACCAGACAATGCTAAGTGCTGACAAGGGACAGAAATCATTGGTTGTCAGAGACTAGGGGTGGGAGGGATTGACTCAAAGGGGCATTAAGGAAACTTACTGGAGTGATGGAAATATTTGATATCTTAGTTGTGATGGTAGTTATATGACTTTATGTCAGTCAAAACTCATAGAACTGTATACATAAAGTATGAATTTTACTGTAAGTAAATGATACCTCAATAATTAAAAGTAAAGCAAATTAAACCTGACTTGAAAATAAATTAAAAAGTTAACAGTGAAATAAATCTCCATTTCACCTCTGCCTATTCCAAATCTACTCATTTCCTATACTGTCTCTGATTCTTCCCCCTGCTCCCTACATTCACCTTTAGGTAGCTGTACTGTTATTAGTTTCTTTAATATATTCTTCCAGAATTTCTTTATTCACATACAATAAATACAAATGAACATTCTTAATTTTCCCTTTTTGATTCAAAAGGTAGCATGATATACATTCTATACCTTTCTTTTTTTCACTTGTCAGTGTATGTAGACGATCTTTCCATGTTAGTATATAGAACTTCCTCATTCTTTTTTTTTTTCTTTTAGACAAAGTCTCACTCTGTTACCCAAGCTGGAGTGGAGTGGCACGATCTCAGCTCACTACAGCCATGGCTCAGCAGTCCTCCTGCCACATCCTCCTAAATAGCTGGGGGATTCTCCCATCTCAGCCTCCCAAGTAGCTGGTAGCTGGGGCTATAGGTGTGTGCCACCATGCCCAGCTAATTCTTTAATTCTTTTTTTTTTAGAGACGGGGGTCTCACTATGATGTTGCCCAGGTTGGTCTTGAACTCCTGGCCTCAAGTGAGCCTCCTGCCTTACACTCCCCAAATTCTGGAATTATAGCCATGAACTACTGTGCCTGGCCCGACCCCTTTTTTTTTTTGCAGCTTCAGAGTGTATTCCATTATTTGGGCATACTATAATTTATTTAATCAGTGTCTCCTATTGGCAGACATTTAGGTTGCACAAAATCTTTTGCTGTCACAAACACTGATGGTAGTGACTGACTTTGTACATCCACTATTTTTGCACAAATGCAAGTATATCTGTGAGATAGATTTCCAGAAGTGAAATTGTGAGACAAAGTGAATATATGCATTTACAATTTTGATAAATATTGCTGAAGTGCCATCAATTGAGGAAGTTTCAAGAGATTATTTGTTTCAAGACCCAGTAAAATGCTGCCTATTCCTAAGACTTGTCCTTCCTCTCTCCTACTACATGGAACTAATCCTTACCTGTCCCGAGTGTTTATATTTCATTGTGCTTCACTAATGATATTCATTATAATCTGCTTTAAATTGGAATCATTTGCATATGTGACTGTTTTTCTCCAGTTGGGTTTGAGTTGTCTTTACTACATTAAATAAGGTCATTGAATTTCCTTGATCTGACATTATTTCTTTTTCTTATTAGAATTAGATGAGATATGCAAACTGGTATTATTTCTTTGACTACTTATGTCAAGATTTCTCTAAACAGCTGATTTCTGTTTTCTCTATTTCAGTCTTTCTATGGCAGAAGTAAGGTCAGAGCCAGGCAGGGGAAACTCTTAAGTAGAAAGAGTCTCCTGGGCTTGACTTGGCTAGAATCCATCAGGGAGAAGTCTAGATGCCCAATCAACTGTGGACTAGGCTGCAGAATGTGATAATAAGTCTGGAGATTTTCATTCTGACAGTTACTGGAATGAAAATAATTGGGCAAAATTACACAACACAAAAAAATTCTATGTTAGCTGAAGGGTCATGTCAGGTAATGAATAAAAGTACAACCTCTGAAACGTTATTTACCAAAAAAGATTCATAGTAGACTTTCATATATTCTCTTAGACAATTTTCTTCTAAAAAGAGAACTCTCCAACCTTAGTTCCATCAATCAAATGGAGAATATTAGGTATTCCTGTTAATCATGATGTCTTAGGAAAATATTGAGATCCACTGACTATGATTGTCAATGAATGACAGCTAAGAAAATAATGGGGATTTTTTTAAAGATTGCAGGAAATTTTAATTACTGAGACTTGCCATTAAATACAGAATATTTTAAAATAGTTGTCTTAAAAACCAAACAAAAGTAAAGGGAAAGAGAGTATTTAATGAAGGAAGAAATGAAATAGCTAACTTGATTAAACATAGATTATAAAAATGAGCAAGTGGAGGAAGAACACATAGATTGTTTATCCTGTGCAATAACATACAACCAAATTATTCTGGTAAGGACTTTTTTTTTTTTTTTGAGACAGAGTCTCACTCTGTTGCCTGGCTAATTTTTGTATTTTTAGTAGAGATGGGGTTTCACCATGTTGGTCAGGATGGTGTCGATCTCTTGACCTTGTGATCTGCCCGCCTCAGCCTCCCAAAGTGCTGGGTTACAGGCATGAGCCACTGCGCCCGGCCAGGATTTTTAAAATAACGTTTACTATCTTTTCTGACTACAAAAGTAATACATGTTAATTGAGAAAAATTTGAGGTTACTTAAGAAAAAAAAAACCCAAAAATTATACTAATGAAAAGTGTGTCTATGATCATTTTCAAGTTTGGCAGTTGTCATATTGAGCTACAGTGCCACCCACGAATCGTCAGGGTACTGACTTGATTCTTGTGGAGCAGTAGAATGGAGACAATGTTTGTTTGTTTGTTTTGTTTTTTGTTTTTTTTTTTTGAGACGGAGTCTCGCTCTGTCGCCCAGGCTGGAGTGCAGTGGCTCAATCTTGGCTCACCGCAAGCCGAGATCGCACCACTGCACTCCAGCCTGGTTGACAGAGCGAGACTCCGTTTCAAAAACAAACAAACAAAAGTAATACAGGTTGAATATCCCTTATTTGAAGTGTTTTGGATTTCAGATTTTTTGTTTGTTTGTTTTTTGAGACGGAGTCTCGTTCTGTCGCCCCGGCTGGAGTGCAGTGGCGCGATCTCCGCTCACTTTAAGCTCCGCCTCCCGGGTTCACGCCATTCTCCTGCCTCTGCCTCCCGAGTAGCTGGGACTACAGGCACCTGCCACCACACCCGGCTAATTTTTTTGTATTTTTAGTAGAGATGGGGTTTCACCGTGTTAGCCAGGATGGTCTCTATCTTCTGACCTTGTGATCTGCCCGCCTCAGCCTCCCAAAGTGCTGGGATTACAGGCGTGAGCCACCACGCCTGGCCGAATGGAGACAATGTTGAAAGACCTTAGTTAATGCCTGGTTTTACTATTTACTAACTTTTGTGTCCTTAGACAAGTTATATACTTCTCAGAGCCTATATCTATATTTGTAAAATGAGCAAGACAAAGACCTCGCCCGCACAGAGTTTATATTCTATAGACTAAAAGAAGACAGGCAGTAAACAAATTAAAATAGATTAGCCCTATGTAGTGGCACATTCCAGTAGTTCCAGCTACTTGGGAGGCTGAGGCAGGAGGATCACTTGAGCCCAGGAATTTGAGGCTGCTGTGAACTATGATTACACCACTGCACTATAGCCTGGGCTACAGAGCGAGACCTCATCTCTTAAAAAAATTAAAATCTAAACAAATGGGCAATAAACAGAATAAGAATATAAATAAAATTGATTTGGGGGTAGTAAAGGTGTTATAAGAAAGAAAGAAAGCAGAGTAAAAGAATAGAGTGGCACCACAGATGGGGGAGCAGTATTTTAGATTAGGATGATTAAGGAAAGTTTCTCTCAGGAGGGACATGTGAGCAGAAGCCTTAAAATGGAGTAGAAGAGCTAGCCATTGGAGGGATTCAGGGAGCTGGCATTCCAGCTGGAGAGAATCGTGTGCACTGTTTTGAGCTAAAACCAAAATTGGTCATGAAAGAAACCATGGTAAATCCATTGTGGAAGGAGACAAATGCCAGATCATGAAAAGTCTTGTAGGCTAAGTAAAAAGCTTGGACTTTATTCTAAGTTGAGTTCTCTGAGGACTAGGATCATGTATTTTTCATGTTGGTGTTATTTCTAGTATGTGGCACATACTAAGCATCCGATAACTTGAATTTTTAATACATGAATTGCATATGGAGGTAGGGTACAAGTTGCCACCACCTTTGAATTGAGTTTGAATGAAATAGCCAAGATATGAAGAGCTTGGTATCTCAGGTTTACTTAGTGATTCCTCACCATCTAAATATATTTATTTGTATCAGAACCTGAATATTAATGTATATACTATGATACTTACCACGATTATGGGTATATGAAAGCATTTAATGTTTTCTAATATAGAGAATTGTATAGATGTCATAAATGCCTCTGTATTTTAAAATGTAGGTAGGAAAAAACTGGACTGAAAATTAAAATTTTATCAGTTTTTTTTTTTAAAGATGTGATTTAGAGATAATCTCTCTAGTTTCTTGTAATTTCATAGTTAAAAGTTAGAAATTAAATAGTGTTTTATTGTGACAATAAAGGACGTGTTTCTTCCATTTACTTCATGGTTCAAGTGTGCTGAATGTATTGCTGTTTGAAGCTCATTTATTATTCTTTGCATGGCTTCGTTGTAGCCTCGAGCTGTGGCAGGTTTTCGAGGGACAGTTCGTTATGCATCAATCAACGCACATCGGAACAGGGTAGGTATCTGAACTAGAGTCATATCTGTATAAGTATGCTAATAGCTTAAATCAGATTGACTTCTTTTTTATTTTATTATTATTTTATATATATATATATATGTATATTTGTTGAGACAGAGTCTTGCACTGTCGCCCGGGCTGGAGTGCAGTGGCCCGATCTTGGCTCACCGCAACCTCTGCCTCCCGGGTTCAAGTGATTCTCCTGCCTCAGCCTCCCAAGTAGCTGGAATTACAGGTGCCCGCCACCACGCCCAGCTAATTTTTTGTATTTTTAGTAGAGAAAGTGTTTCACCATGTTGGCCAGGCTGGTCTCAAACTCCTAGCCTCATGATCACCTGCCTCAGCCTCCCAAGGTGAGATTGACTTCTTTACAAAGTACAAAGATGTGGAAAGTGCTTGAGAGTTGAGGATCCCTTTAATAGCTACAAAGTTGCTTGGAATGTTCGTCCTAATTCATTCTTGTGTGGCACTAATGATAATGGAATTGGTAATACTAATGCACGGTATAGTGTATCGTGGATAATAGATATGTGCAGCTGCTTGGAAAATAAAATTGGATTTGCCAGAAAAGACGATAGCTAAGTATATTTATGTCTTTGGGAAATCTGTGTCCTTAATTAGATATAAGTATTAACAAATTTAATATAGAAGTTTGGGAGGCTGAGGTGAGCAGATCACAAGGTCAGGAGTTTGAGACCAGCCTGACCAGCATAGTGAAACCCCATCTCTACTAAAAATACAAAAATTAGCTGAGCATGGTGGCATGTACCTGTAGTCCCAGCTACTCAGGAGGCTGAGGCAAAAGAATCACTCGAACCTGGGAGGCGAAGGTTGTGGTAAGCTGAGATCGCACCACTGCACTCCAGCCTGGGCAACAGAGCAAGACTCTGTCTCAAAAAAAATATACACATATATATATATATATATATATATATATATATATTTATTTATTTATTTTTATATATATATATTTTTATATAGAGAGAGGGAGAATTTGGAAGAGATTGAACATCTCTTCCAAATTTGAGACAGAGCAAGACTCCGTCTCAAATATATATATATATATATATTTTTTTTTTAAATATATATATATATATTTTTAAATATATATATATTTTTAAATATATATATATATTTTTAAATATATATATATTTAAATATATATATATAGAGAGAGAGAATTTGGAAGAGATTGAACATCTGTGTACTATTTCAAGAAATTATTTGGGAATATAATACTATCAATACCTAATGAAATGTGGGAGTCATCATTTTATCTGTAATATGTATCTAATCTGATATCCCTCTCCCCACCAAACCTTTTGTTTTCATGAAGATTTCAAGTGCAGACAATTTTAAAATGTTTGTTTTAGTAAATTATCCCTTTCCTCTTGGGTTAAATTTTAAAAATATCTCCCCTCACCCCCTTACTTTGGTCCCTTTGTTCTGCGCTGACTTTTTCCCCTTCATCCCGAACTTTATGAGTAGGAAAACTGGGCATTTTTATGGATTATCAGTCCTTTAACTTTTTTGCATGGAGTTGGGAAACTGAGCAAGTGATTCCTTGATAAAATAGGGAAAAAAGTATTTCTTGTTGATTCTTTTCTTTACCTTGTTCCTGTTCTGATAAGCCAAAATGAGAACTTGACCAATATATGATAGGAAGAGTATACTGTGGTCTTAAATGCTATGCTGCAGTTAATTTGGCTTCTTATGGCGTGATTATAAATTGAAAATAGTAAAGCTATTTTTCTCGGTGTGTAGCACTCTGCTAAGCATTTAAACTCATTTGGTTTGATTCAGTGTTGCTTTATTTCATGATATCTAGTCATTTACTTATTTACTTTGTCTTGAAAAGAAGCTCTCTTCTTTTCCTGATAGATTCTTACAAAAGTTTAGAAATACTAGGTTTTCCAGTTAATTTTATTAAAGAATTATGTCAACATTGGAATCTGTGAAAATACATTATTTTTAAGATAAACATAAGTATTTTCAGGGATTCTAATAGCTACATAAGCATTTTCAAAATAGCTAATAGAGATTATGTACTTTTACTGTTTTAATTTAGACAGTGGCAATTTCTTCTAAAAGCCTTTCCAGCACAGTGTCCTCTAACAGTTACTTTGATAACTTGCTTCTTTGTTACTCATCTAACCTTGTAGAGGAATTTGATAGTATATAACAGTGGTTCTTAACCCTCTTTTCTGCTCCCAGCACACCTGAGGGGTAGAATGCTTTTACTCAGTAACATAGTTCACAACGATTGTTAGTTTGTGAGGTGATGCAGGAGTGCACCTCTTGGAACTTCCACAGTTGCTTGTCTAAACTTAAAAGGTTTCCCAGCTAATTCTAACATGCTTCTTTTTTCCATACTCTGAAACCCTGATTTGATAATATCTAAAAATAATACACTCTATTTCTCTTTTTCTGGTTCCTTAAACTTTACTTTTTAGAGACAGGGTCTTGTTCTGTTGCCCAGGCTGGAGTGTAGTGGCAGGATCATAGCTTACTATAACCTTGAACTCCTGGGCTCAAGCAATCTTCTCACTTCAGCCTTCTCAGTAGCTAGGACCACAGGTGCACACCACTGTACCTGGCTAATTTTTTAATTTTTCATATTAACAGTCTTGCTATGTTGCCCAAGCTGGTCTCAAACTCCTGGCCTCAAGCAGTCTTCTAGCCTTGGCCCCCGAAAGTGCTGGGATTACATGCATGAGCCACCATGCCTTGCCAAATCTTAAAGTTTTAACATAAATAATTCTTAAATAATACAAGGACTTTTAAAAACACTTGAGCCTGGCCAACATGGTAAAACCCCGTCTCTACTAAAAATATAAAAATTAGCTGGGTGTGGTGGCGGGCGCCTGTAATCTCAGCTACTCGGGAGGCTGAGGCAGGAGAATTGCTGGAACCTGGGAGGCGGAGGTTGCAGTGAGCCGATAGTGCCCCATCGCACTCCAGCCCGGGCTGACGACAACGAGACTCTGTCTCAAAAAACAAACAGAACAAAAAAACACTTGAACTCTGTCATACTGTCTTATTGTTGTTTTACATTTTAATCTTGTTAATATTTATCTCAATACTTTGAAAAAATTACTTTCTTCTGCTTCTTGGGTCACTGTTGAGAACATCTTTGTTACTTTATTTAATTGTTGTTACTTTTTTTTTTTTAAGAGATGGAGTCCTGCTCTCTCGCCCTCCTTCGCCCAGGCTGGACTGCAATGGTGTGATCTTGGCTAACTGCAACCTCCGCCTCCTGGGTTCTAGCAATTCTCCTGCCTCAGCCTCCCGAGTAGCTGGGATTACAGGCATATGCTGCCACGCCCAGCTAATTTTTTTATTTTTTAATAGAGACGGGGTTTCACTGTGTTGCCTAGGCTGGTCTCGAACTCCTGAGCTCAGGCAATCCACCAGCTTCAGCCTTCCAAAGTGCTAGGATTACAGGTGTGAGCCACTGCGCTCGGCCTTAATTTGTCCTTTTTAAAGTTTTATTTTATTTTTTATTTTTTGGGAGAGTCTTGCTCTGTTGCCCAGGCTGGAGTATACTGGTATGGTCTCGGCTCACTGCAGTCTCAACCTCCTGGGCTCAAGCAGCCCTCCCACCTCAGCCTCCTGCATAGCTGGGACCACAGGCATTCACCACCACACTTGGCTAATTTTTGTATTTTTTGTAGAGACGGTGCTTTGCCATGTTGCCCAGGCTAGTCTTGAACTCCTGAGCTCAAGCAATTCACCTGTCTTGGCCTCCCAAAGTGCTGGGATTACAGGCATGAGCAACCGTGCCTAGCCAATTTGTCCTTTTTATTTGAATACTTTTGGTATCTTCTCTGTCTTTGGAGTCCTGCATTCAAATGTGCCTAGGTGTGGGTTTTTAAATATTTATCTGTTTGGGATTTGATGTGTTTCCTAACCAAAATGTTCATGTCTTTCCTTGATTCTGGAAGATTCTTATATTCCCTTTTTCCCTTTCTCTTTATACTCTTTTTCCCAGATCACCAAATTGATACATTAGACTTTCTTAGATTTTCTTATTCTGTCCTTTGTGCTGCCTCTTAAGTTCACTACTGGATTCTCTAATTCTTTGTGTCTCTGTGCTGCATTCTAGATAATTTCTTCATATCTGTTTTCCAATTGATTTTTTTCTGCTGTGTTTGGTCAGCTTTTAAGCCTGCCCATTGAGTTTTTAATTTCTATAATTGCGCTTTTTATTTCTAGATGTTCTTTTTAATCATTTTCCAAATCTGGTTGGGTTTTGGTTTGTTTTTATTAAATATGGTTCTTTTCTGATGACTGATTCCATTTTTCATTTTAACATTTTAAACACTCTTCGTATCCTATAATTCTATTTCTGAAATCCTGGGATACTTTTTTCTACTCTTTGTAGCTTCTTTTGACATTAGCTTATTAATATACTTTATAAATTTGAATAATGAACATATGTTTGGTGAGGCTTTTTCTATAGCACTTCTATGAGGTCTGAATTTAGGGATGTATTTATCCTGAGAGGATAAATTTGCTTCTGTCATTCCTGCAGGGCATGATCACCCAGAAGTTAATTTCAAGTTAATTTCTAGGCTTGGTTTTTCAGACCACATGGGTATATATTTAACCCCCAAATCTAAATGAGGGACAGACCTGTGGTAACAAATTCCCAGGACAATTTTTTTAAAACTCATTTTTTTCTTTTGATAGCAATTAAGTTTTACAGAAAACAATTACAGTATAATGTACACACCAAATACTGCACTACGGATGTAACCCTTTTAGGGCCCTAGCTATATGGTGGGGGTGGGGTGTATCTCAGTTACAACTCATGTCCTATGTAGGCCCAAGGCCTTTATGCCTGTCCCCTTCCTGGTTGATAAACTCATGACAGATGCCCCCACAGCAGCCAAAACTTCAGCATCAGCTTGCTTCCCTTATTTCTACCTTTTAAAAAATAGCTTTTAAGAGTTCTCTTTCTTCTAAATGAACACATTAACTAATGGGCTGTTATATTACTTCCACCATTTCTATGTTTTGGAGTGTCCTTTGTTTCAAAAAGTTTTTCAATTTGTATATTCTGCCATATAGATTGCTGTATAGCTATGTAAATTTATATATATATATATGTTTATCATATAATTTTTTGGGAAATAAATTTACATTTTTAGCCTAATAAGGTGAAACAAAATGGTTAGACCTTGAACAATGTAATGTACTCACAAGTAATAATGTTATGTGACTGGATTCTGTTTTGTTTATGAAGGAAATGGGAAGACATGATGACCTTTGGTCCTTATTCTACATGTTGGTGGAGTTTGTGGTTGGTCAGCTGCCCTGGAGAAAAATAAAGGACAAGGTAATTTTGGGAATGGAGATGTCAATTGTGGTAGAAGAAATAAAAATTTCTGCTGAATAAACATTTTTGTTGAAAATATACTTATGTATAAGACTTAAAATCTACAAGCATTTTCACTATGTCCCAATATATGTATTTTTCTGTGTGAGCTGACATTAGAGATCAAATTAATGTTATGAGATTTTTCTGTGTACATGGAGAATAGATACTAATTGCTTCTGATTAATTTATAGCCCTCCCTCTTAGCTTTTAATTTTATTAGTTCTCCCCTTTGTTTTTGTAAGTCAAGTAAGCTTTTAGTTTTTGATTGTCATATTATATTGTTTGATTTAGAAAACTGTAAACACATGTGTTGATAAAGAAAAGTAGATCAGATTTAAGATAAATTATTTTGAGATGGGTGCAATGGCTCACATCTATGATCCTAGCACCTTGGGAGGCTGAGGCAAGAGGATCACTTGAGCCCAAAAATTCGAGACCAGGCTGGATAACATAGTGAGACCCCAATCTTTACAAAAATTTTTTAAAAATTAGCTGGGCATGGTGGCAAGTGCCTATAGTCCCAGCTATTTGGGAAGCTGAGGCAGGAGGATCACTTGAGTCTCAAAGGTCGAGGCTGCAGTGAGTTGTGATCATGCCATTGCACTTCAGCCTGGGTGACAGAGCAAGACCCTGTCTCAGAAAACTAAATAAATAAATTATTTTTTCTGGGGACTATCGATACACTGATGCAGAACTCTGTGCTACTTGTTTCGTTCTGCATTATAGTTTTTTTCCGCTTTAAAACACTGTACATTAAGCTGTTAGTAAGAGCTCAGTTCTTGCTTTATGCTTAATTACCCACTATCTCATTCCCTAGTACATACCCTTGAGACGGTTACTGAGGGGCTCTTAATGCCTAACCACCAAGAGAAATTGACTGTAGCTCTTTTTCTCTTTACTTCCCAGGAGCAAGTAGGCTCTATTAAGGAGAGATATGACCACAGGCTCATGTTGAAACATCTCCCTCCAGAATTCAGCATCTTTCTAGACCATATCTCTTCTTTGGATTATTTTACAAAACCAGACTACCAGGTAACCATCTTTGTGAGTTCTGTGGGTTAGTTATTTTCTCTCTTAGTCTATGCTTTCACTCATTGTAGCTTTGAAGGTGTTATAAATGAGTAGGGGAGGTCCTTAGAATACGACTGTTTTAATACATCCTGAGAAACATGGTGAAATTAACTTATGATGAGAGTGTCAGCGTGTGTGTTATGTGTTTCATCCCTCTGGATGGACTTAACTTCATTCGAGTTTTAGGTTTATTCATCTTGCAACAGATTTTCCTATTCCTGCATGATTCATTCGGCGTATAGAACTGCTGACAGTTGAAATTATGTAAATTCTATAGCTAATTTGTTGACCAGAAGGAAATGTCCAACTAGGTAATGCATCTGTCAAGGGCTTTAGGGCAGCATATCATATGTTAATATGCTATGGGACAGCGGTCAGTGAAAATTGGCTCCATTTTGCCTGTGGTCAGAGAATCATTTCCTTAGAGCATCAGTTAATGAGCCTTAGAAGGGTTGACTAGGTTTACTACAAATTACATCCCTAACCCCAACCAGCGGTATTTCAGAAGATTCTGTTGCTCTCAGGGAGAATTTGGTCAGGGCTTAATACCTAATAATTGCTACCACTGAAAACATAAATGCGGCCACACATAGATTAATAAGAATATGTATTAGTATATCATCCTTATTTACAAAGGACAATACATAGACTTTACTGCATGTTAATGGTAGTTAAATTCTACAGTGTTGTCAGTGTTGTGCAGTCAAAAGACTAAGAAGTATCTATAGCACAGTAAATGTATTTGCATATAGTAATTATTGCTCTGTGAAATTGCTGCTTTTGTATAAGATACAAACAGGATATAAAGCAAAGAGGCAACATACAGCCTTGAGTCCTTAGAGACCTTAAATTGGTGAGTTTGTCTTCTCATGCATATGCCAATTTGTGTTGTAAGCAATAGGGACTGTCTAACAAATTGAGAAAATACACTGTGTGTGAGTTGTTTTGGAATGTGTTCTTATATTTGTCTTTTGTATGTATTTTCTGAAATGTATACAGTTCACATTACTTAAAGCAATGAAATTATACCTGTAAGACTAGATTCAAGAGGAGCTGAAAATTGTTCCAACTTTCCCATCTTGAGTGCTAATAGTTTCTTATTGACAAAATTTGCTTAGGGGAATTTAGGACAGTAAAAAACTTTGATCACATTCTCTTCTTAAACCTATATCTAAAGAAGACTATCATATTTACCAGCTGAAGTTTGAAACTTAATGATTATTTTAAACTAACAAATTATTGTTCTCAAGTTTTTCAGTTGGACATTCTCCTAAGGGCTTTTCTATCACTTAATAACAAAACAAAGTTTGGTAATTTTCCATTTTTGAAAGAAAGAGAACAGGCATAACATTACTTTGTTTCACAGATTCTGTAAATAATCCAGCTCTTTCCTGCTGTGATCTTTCCTAAGCAGTGAGTGAGAACAGAGGGCAGGTGGACAGGAGAAGGATAATTGAAAAAAGATGTTATGTAAGTGATGGGTGTGTTCTAATGACTAGTATCAATGTGACATCAGGTTTCAAAAGCCTGAGCTTTGCAGCTTCTGCCTCTTGTTTCTCTACTCAGTCTTCATCTTGAGAAAAATAACTCTACTTTTAATCTGAATGGTCTCGTGAATTCATGCTGTCCCTGTGATTAATTTTACAGTTTGAGATTCATTCCTGAATTTGATTTTACTTACTGTTCTTTCAAGATTTTATTTTCTTCATTTAAAAAAATTTTTTGAGACGGGGTCTCGGTCTGTCAGCAAGGCTAGAGTGCAGTTGGTGCAAACATGGCTCACTGCAGCTTCAACCTCCAAGACTCAAGTGATCCTCCCACTTTAGCCTCCTGAGTAGCTTGATCTACAAGTGTGCACCATGCCTGGCTTTTTTTTTTTATTTTTTTTAAAGCAGAGATGAGGTTTCCCTATGTTGCCCAAGCAGGTCTCAAACTGGCCTCAAGCAATCCTTCTGCCTTGGCCTCACAAAGTGCTGAAATAGCCAGCATGAAGCCACCATACCTGGTCTTTTCTTTCAAAATTTTAGGTTTCTCATGGGACAACCAATAAAGTTAAAAAAAACAATAAACCTCCTCCAGCAACAAGCAAAAAGCATATCCATATTAAATATGACTGCTTCCCTAGCTACATCAAAGGTCAAATAGCAATGATATGTTTCCAGCTTTGTCTATTCTGAGCTAAGACCAAAGTCAGTTTTTTTGTTATAATCAAAGTGTTAAATGATGCAGTTTTACAGAGCCACTTTCACTTTGTGTATATTTTATAAATCTTTAAAAATTGGAATATCTTGCCATAGAATATTATTACTTCAACACGTTGCACATGGCCAACACCTCATCCAATAGCTGCTGCTGTTCACTTTGACATCAGTTGTGGACCTAGAGAGAGTAGCTATTTTGTTTTCTACCAGGAATCTTTCATGTGTCTCTCACTTTACAGTAAAGGTCGAAATTTGCTTTTGAGAAGTATTATATTATTTTGGGAAATTACATCAAGTTTATCTGTACTTAGTATTTATGTATGAGTCTGTTTTCCTAACTAGCTTTTAAATCCTGGAGAAACAGCCATGTCTTATTTTTTTAACCCCATATTACACCTGGCACCTAAATTTTCAACAAATGTTAGGCAAATTTAATTAAGTCTTTACTTTGGATCAACAGTCTCCTACACAGAGAATACAAGAAAAATTAACCCTATAAGTGCATAAATAATGTTTTCTGTCTGTTAAAATAAATGTGAAGATATCAGAATTATAAACAAGATTAAAGCAGATATGTTCCTATAAATATTGTTTTTGTCAGATTCTGAATATTATAACAACTATAAGAGACAGAGTGGGCCAAGCACAGTGGTTCATGCTTGTAATCTCAGCACCTTGGGCGATTGAGGCAGGAGTATCACTTGAGGCCAGGAGTTTGAGACCAGCCTGGGCAACATAGTAACACCCTGTTTCTACAAAAAACAAAACAACAACAACAACAAAAAACAACAAAAAAAATTAGCCAGGTGTGGTAGCATGCACCTGTAGTCCCGGCTACTTGGGAAACGGAGATGGGAGGGTTACTTGAGTGAATCAAGGCTGCAGTGAGCCATAATTGTGCCACTGCACTCCAGCCTGAGTGACAGGGTGAGACTCCATCTCAAAAATAATAATAATAATAATAATAATAGGATCACGTGATCCTGGTAACACAAATATCTTTATTAGAGTGTTCAAATTTGTTAAGCATCACTTAGCAAGTTGAGAAGACTAATGGAATCCATAAATATACACACCGTTGGTGAGCCTGAAACTAAAATGTGTATCTCAACCAGTTCACCCACTGCTACAACGTTGCTAATATCAGAGGATAGGATAGAGAGGAAATGCAAAGCTAAGCAAGCTTCATTAATCTTCTTAATATACTTTCCAGGTTTAGGAATGGGGCTATTTAAATGTAGATTACATAAAAATGCAGTAGATTTGCCTCTTGCTTTGGGGGACATAGAGCAGTTGTAGGATCCTCTGACTCTGATAACATCTGAATTAAATTTTTCTGAGGGCATAGATGCTACAAGGTTGAGCTGAAAACAAGGGGGAACCTCCGATCAAATAGAGTGGTCAAGGAAGGTCTCTTTCTAAAGCTACCATGTAAGGCCCAGGGGTGTCCAATCTTTTGGCTTCCCTGGGCCACACTGGAAGAAGAAGAATTGTCTTGGGCTACACATAAAATACACTAACAGTAATGATAGCTGATGAGCCAAAAAAAAAAAAAATCACAAAAAAATCTCATAATGTTTTAAGAAAGTTTACAAATTTGTGTTGGGTCACATTCAAAGCCATCCTGGGTTACAGGTTAGAGAAGCTTGATTGTAAGCCAAGCCCCAAAAGATGGGATTGTGTTGGCCATGTGAAGAGCAAAAATAAGAGGTAGAATGTTACAAGCCAAGGGAAGAACATGTACATGCATGGGCCCTAATGGGAGAAAGGACTGAAAGAAGACAAGTATGGTCAGACAATAAATAAGGAGAGAGACCAGGTTGAGGTGAGGTTGGAAAGAGTCAGAAACCAGATAATGCAGGGCCTTGTAGGCCTTTTTAAGGAGTTTGGATTTTTATTCTAAGTACAACACAAAGCGTTGGAAGTGTTATAAACAGGAGCATGGTGATCCAATTTGTGCTTTAAGAGGATTACTTTTGCGGTTATGTGCATCCAAATGAAACAAAGGAGAATCAGAGACTAGTTGGGAAGGTACTGAGATAAGCTGAGCTGTGCCTTGGAAAGAAATAAATTTTTTTAAATCAGTGTATTTTGTTTTGTTTTGTTTTTTGAGACATAGTCTTGCTCTGTTGCCCAGGCTGGAGTGCAGTGGTGTGATCTCGGCTCACTGCAACCTCTGCCTCCTGGGTTCAAGTGATTCTCTGCCTCAGCCTTCCAAGTAGCTGGGACCACAGGCACATGCCACCATGCCCAGCCAATTTTTGTATTTTTTTGTAGAGACAGGGTTTTGCCATGTTGGCCAGGCTGGTCTCAAACTCCTAGCCTCAAGTGATCCACCCACCTTGGCCTCCCAAAGTGCTGGGATTACAGGCATGAGCCACCATGCCTGGCCTAAAAATCAGTGTCTTAACACAATAAAGGTTCTTGATCATATAATACATTAGTCAAGTTGTACAGCTCTCCTAGGCAACTCTTAAGAGTAACTTGAAAATCCAGGCTCTGCCCATATATTGACACTGCTGTCTTTAATACATGGCCTTTTACTATTATCAGGAAAGGGTATAGTGTGGATGATGGCTTAGGGGTTTTACAGCAGGCCTGGAAGTGATCTACAACACTGGTGTATGCCCAGTAGTCAGAACTCAATCACGCTGGCCCAATTCTAACTGCAGGGGAGGCTAGGAGATAGAGTATTCCCTTGTGGCCAGGAGGCAAGATGATGATGGCCTTGACTTGAGAGAAGTAATAGAGATGGAGGGAAATGGGAGAATTGTTGCCTCTGCCCCATTACGCCTTATCTCCTTTCATTCCCCATTGTACTTATGTGATCTAGTCATATTAGACCCCTCGATGCAGTCAGATGAGACTACCAGCTCTTCTCCCAGTGTGCCCTACCTGGAACGTGCCTCTGTTTCATAACACTGCTTGTCTTGTGAAATTGAAAGCCCAACTCAGATGTCAGTTTCTCCGCAGCCTCCTCTGATTCCTTCAATTCCTTCCATATTCCATACTGGAGTAGTTTCTTCGGTTCAACTCTTAGAGCAGCAGTACTTTGTTTTGTCTCTTTATTATATAAGCTCCTTAAGAGCCAGGGCCTTGCACATTTATCTCAATTTTCTCAAGAACATAGCACAATGATAGGCATTTAATAAAAGTGAAAAATTTAATTAAATCTGCTTGATTATTGCTTCTATTGAATGTAAACCACCCAAAGACAGGACTGTGTTTTGTTAACATTTGTATTCCCAGCACCTAGGACAGTAGGCAGTCAATGTATGTCTGAAACAAGGAGTGGATATTTGATGTAGCTATAGAATACAATAGAGTCACACTATGTTTACATGACTCTCTTAAATTCAGCTGTGTGTTCAGGAGGTAGAAAAATCTTAACGTCTGTGATTCTGCCTGTCCTTTGGCTTAGTCATGCTTTATGGTGAGGGTAATGATTTAGTGCCCTCATGCATCTGCTATTCTCTCAGTCTTCTCGTTGACAGCAGTTCAGTGGCCCCAAATCAGGCTGCACCAGTATGAGTCCAGTAGTTGAAAGCAGAGTACTTTTTTTGGTACAAATGTGACTGCTGTCTGCAGCCAGCTTACTTTATCCACATTCATCTGAGGAAAAGACGTCTATTCTAGAGCTGGAGGAAAAACTGGCTCTGTTGCACCTATTGAGAAATGGTAGTATTCTGTACTTTATGGACATTTTAAGGCACTTTCAAGAATAATTTCAACTATATGCTGTTTTTACCTTGCCTGCTGACTGGCTGTAACTCTTCTTTAGTAGAAATAGCACCATACTTAAAAGACCTGTTTAAATTGATGCTTTGCCACACACTGTTTGGATAACCTTTCTAGATCTCAGTTTTCTAGTCTGTGAAATGGTGGAAATACTGACTTCACAGCATTGTTGTTAAGATTTTTTTTTTTTTTTTGAGATGGAGTTTTGCTCTTGTCACCCAGGCTGGAGTGCAATGGCGTGATCTCAGCTCACTGCAACCTCTACCTCCTGGGTTCAAGCAATTCTGCCTCAGCCTCCCAAGTAGCTGGGATTACAGGCATGTGCTACCACGCCCAGCTAATTTTGTATTTTTAGTAGACATGGGGTTTCACCATGTTGGTCAGGCTGGTCTCGAACTCCTGACCTCAGGTGATCCGCCCACCTCAGTCTCCCAAAGTGCCGGGATCACAGGTGTGAGCCATGGCAACTGGCCATTGTTAATATTTTTAATGAGGTAATTATGATAATAATTTATAAATTTTAAAGTATCATGTAAATGTAAGAAATGTAAGTAGTTTTACATGTACCACAGTGATGCTGCATTTGCTTGTAATCATCTCTCTCTTTTTTTTTTTTTTTTTTTTTTTGCACTCCTCGCTGGAGTACAATGGTACAATTTTGGCTCACTGAAACCTCCACCTCCCGGGTTAAAGCAATCCTCTCATCTCAGCCTCCCAAGTAGCTAGGACCACAGGTGTGCACCACCACATCTGGCTAATTTTTATGTTTTTAGTAGAGATGGGGTTTCACCACGTTGGCCAGGTCTCGAACTCCTGACCTCAGGTGATCGGCCCGCCTTGGCCTACCAGAGTGCTGGGATTACAGATGTGAGCCACCGCACCCTGCCTAAAATCATCTCATTTTTCTTCACTCAGCATTACCTTCTATGTTAATAGAACTTCTTTTATTTCCTCTTTGCTGCTTTGTCCTGTCACAGCAATAAGAAAATGTTGTTTACCTTTTTTATTGGCCTTGTGAGGAGGCACTGAAAAGCCTTAGTGTACTATATTTCCAGGCAGTTTACCTTTTGGACTGACTGAGCCCCTGAAAGGGAAGACTGATATCATCCAGCACTTTTGGCTGAGTAAGTGACCATGCTGCCTTACCCTGCCTCAGGTCCTGGGGCAGCCAACCACATGGGGCACTTCTGAATCTCCAGTATCTTAATATACAGTCATGTGCCACATAATGATATTTCAGTCAATGATGGATTGCATATACGACAGTGGTCCCATAAGCTTATAATACTGTGTTTTTACTATACCTTTTCTATATTTAGATATGTTTACATACACAAATACTTACCATTGCATAACAATTGCCTACAGTATTCAGTACAATAACACGCTACACAGATAGGTAGCCTAGTAGCAATAGGCTATACTATATAGCCTAGGTGTGTAATAGGCTGTACCATCTAGCTTTGTGTAAGTACATGTATTAGTGAGGGTTCTCTAGAGAGACAAAACTAATGGAATAGAGATATATATATAAAGGGGAATTTATTAAGTATTAACTCACATGATCACAGGGTCCCACAATAGGCCGTCTGCGGGCTGAGGAGCAGGGAGAGCCAATCTGAGTCCCAAAACTGAAGAACTTGGAGTCTGATGTTGGAGGACAGGAAGCATCCAGCATCAGAGAAAGATGTAGGCTGGGAGGCTACGCCAGCCTCACCTTTTCACATTTTTCTGCCTGCTTTATATTCACTGGCATCTGATTAGATAGTGCCCAGATTAAGGATGGGTCTGCCTTCCCCAGCCCACTGATTCAAATGTTAATCTCCTTTGGCAACACCCTCACAGACACACCCAGGATCAATACTTTGTATCCTTCAATCCAGTCAATTTGACACTCAGTATTAACCATCACAGTACACTGTATGATGCTTGCACAATGAAATGCCTGTCGACACATTTCTCAGAATGTATCCCCGTTGCTATGTGACACCCGACTTAATGGTGAAAACAGGTAAAGGTTGCAGCTTCTTCAACTCATTCTCTTTATTTTATTTTATTTTATTTTTGCTGGTTTAGTTTGTTAGAGGATGGGTGCAGTTAAATTTTTTTCTTTACCAATGTTGCTAAAATCCCCAAGAAGAGCAGAGAAGTAAAGACTGTGTGCAGACCAAGAAGCAGCTTCTCCACTCCTTCTGGGATTCCGTCTGGTTCGGCCCGCCTGCCTCCACCATGTCCATCAGGGTGACCCGGAAGTCCTACAAGGTGTCCACCTCTGGCCCCCAGGCCTTTAACAGCCTCTCCTACACGAGTGGGCCTGGTGCCTGCATCAGCTCCTCGAGCTTCTCCCGAATGGGCAGCAGCAGCTTCCGGGGTGGCCTGGGTGCAGGATATGGTGGGGCCAGTGGAGGCATCACCACCATCACTGTCAACCAAAGCCTGCTGAGCCCTCTTAACCTGGAGGTGGACCCCAACATCCAGGCCGTGCGCACCCAGGAGGAGAAGCAGATCAAGACCCTCAACAACAAGTTTTTCTCCTTCATAGACAAGGTACGGTTCCTGGAGCAGCAGAACAAGATGCTTGAGACCAAGTGGAGCCTCGTGCAGCAGCAGAAGATGGCTCGGAGCAACATGGACAACATGTTCGAGAGCTACATCAACAACCTTAAGTGGCAGCTGGAGACTCTGGGCCAGGAGAAGCTGAAGCTGGAGGCGGAGCTTGGCAACATGCATGGGCTGGTGGAGGACTTCAGGAACAAGTATGAGGTTGAGATCAGTAAATGTACAGAGATGGAGAATGAATTTGTGCTCATCAAGGAGTATGTAGATGAAGCTTACATGAACAAGATGGAGCTGGAGTCTTCCCTGAAAGAGCTGACTGCCAAGATCAGCTTCCTCAGGCAGCTGTATGAAGAGGAGATCGGGAGCTGCAGTCCCAGATCTCGGATACATCTGTGGTGCTGTTCATGGACAACAGCCGCTTCCTGGACATGGACAGCATCATCCCTGAGGTCAAGGTGCAGTACGAGGAGATTGCCAACCGCAGCCAGGCTGAGGCTGAGAGCATGTACTAGATCAAGTATAAGGAGCTGCAGACGCTGGGTCAGAAGCATGGGGATGACCTGTGGTGTGCAAAGACTGAGATCTCCTAGATGAACCGGAACATCAGCTGGCTCCAAGCTGAGACTGAGGGTCTCAAAGGCCAGAGGGCTTCCCTGGAGGCTGCCACGCAGATACCGAGCAGCGTGGGGAGCTAGCCATTAAGGATGCCAATGCCAAGCTGTCTGAGCTGGAGGCCGCCCTGCAGCTAGCCAGTCAAGACATGGCGCGGCAGCTGCGTGAGTACCAGGAGCTGATGAACGTCAAGCTGGCCCTGGATATCAAGATCGCCACCTACAGGAAGCTGTTGGAGGGCGAGGAGAGCTGGCTGGAGTCTGGGATGCAGAACATGAGTATCCATATGAAGACCACCAGCAGCTATGCAGGTGGTCAGAGCTTGGCCTATGGGGGCCTCACAAGCCCTGGCCTCAGCTACGGCCTGGGCTCCAGCTTTGGCTCTGGCATGGGCTCCAGCTCCTTCAGCCACACCAGCTCCTCCAGGGCCGTGGTCATGAAGAAGATCGAAACCCGTGATGGGAAGCTAGTGTCTGAGTCCTCCAACGTCCTGCCCAAGTGAAGCCCCTCCCAGCCTGTCCCTCCTGCGGCTGCCGCAGAGCCTAGGAGGGAGGCCACTGTGCAGGGGAACACAGGGAACGGGAGACCCACCCGAGGCTCAGCCCTAGCCCTCAGCCCATCCGCGAGGGAGTTTACTACCTGGGGACCCCCCCTTGCCCATGCCTCCAGCTATGAAACAATTCAATTGCTTTTTTTTTTTTTTCCCAAAATAAACCTCGGCTAGCTCTGCCAAAAAAAAAGACTGTATGCATTTCTTTCCCTCTATTGCATCTACTTATCACTGAAGTGGGGCAATTTCTTTTGCTCTAAATAATCTGCCTTTCAATCAGCCAAGCCAACATTGCCATAGTGCTCTCCTGCTTAAGTACTTTATTGATCCACTAATTTTCCATTTATTAACTGAGAATTCAGGAATCAGGATTCTTAGTGAGTTCTTAATATCACCTTACAAATAATTCTTGGTTTTGCAAAAGCTGGACTTGGTCTACACTCTCTTTGAAAGGGCAGACTGGGATTTCATATGGAGGTAAATATGATACAGTTATTGATTGCATTTTGTGCTAAGGATGAGAGGAGTGCTTCCCTAAGGCATTGTGTGTATGTCAGATGACTGATTGCCATAAAGAATAAGGGTATTTTAGGTAGTAGGAGCTTGCACCAAGCATCTATGTAGGCTGCATATAGGTATATAGTCAATTTATTTTAGAATAATATATTTTTGTTGGTTAATTTTTTCTAGTTATTAAAAGTAATATGTGGTCATTATAAAAGTTTTAGAATTAACAGAAAAATAGAAAATCTAGATTATTCAGAATCTCATTATCCTGACATAGTAATTGACTTTTATTATTTATTTATTTATTTTGAGACAGGGTCTCACTCTGTCACCCAGGCTGGAGTGCAGTGGTGTGATCTTGGCTCACTGCAAACCCTGCCTCCTCGGGCTCAAGTAATCCTCCCACCTCAGCCTCCCAAGTAGTTGAGACCAGAAGTGTACACCACCACACCTGGCTAATTTTATGTATTTTTGGTAGAGATAGGGTTTCACCGTGTTGCCTAGGCTGTAATTGACTTTTATTACTTTGTATCTTGAATAATTTGCTTTTGAAAAATCATTGTATTGAATATCCCATCAGATTTAAAATGGACTGCTTCTTATTCATAAGTGCAAGTAGAAGAGGGGTTGACACAAATAATCCACACAGTGGCCAAATAAAAAGTAATGCAGGGCCGGGTGCGGTGGCTCACGCCTGTAATCCCAGCACTTTGAGAGGCCGAGACAGGAGGATCACTTGAGGTCAGGAGTTCAAGACCAGCCTGGCCGACATGGCAAAACCCTGTCTCTACTAAAAATACAAAAAAATTTAGCTGGGCGTGGTGGCACATGTCTATAGTGTCAGCTACTTGGGAAGTGAGGCAGGAGAATCTCTTGAACCCAGGAGGCAGAGGTTGCAGTGAGCTGAGATCACACCACTGCACTCCAGCCTGGGCAACAGAGTGAGACTCCGTCTCAAAAACAAACAAACAAACAAAAGTAATACAGGTTGAATATCCCTTATTTGAAGTGTTTTGGATTTCAGATTGTTTGTTTTTTGAGACGGAGTCTCACTCTGTCGCCCAGGCTGGAGTGCAGCAGCATGATCTCCACTCACTGCAAGCTCCGCGTCCCAGGTTCACACCATTTTCCTGCCTCAGCCTCCCGAGTAGCTGGGACTACAGGTGCCCGCCACCACACCTGGCTAATTTTTTCATATTTTTAGTAGAGACGGGGTTTCACCACGTTAGTGAGGATGGTCTCGATCTCCTGACCTCGTGATCCGCTCGCCTTGGCCTCCCAAAGTGCTAGAATAACAGGCCTGAGCCACCGCGCCCAGTGGATTTCAGATTTTTTAGGATTTTGTAATATTTTGCATTATATTGGTTGAGCAACCCAAATCGAAAATCCGAAATGCCCCAGTCAGCATTTCATTTGAGCATCACTTCAGCACCCAAAATTGTGTTTTGGAATATTTTGGATTTTCGATTTTCAGATTTGGGATGCTCAACCTGTGTAGCATTTTTGCCTGTTCATTACCTTCTTCAAGTTCTCCCTCCTCTTTTCCTCCTCTTCAAACAACTTCCCCTTCACTTAACTGCTTCTCTTCCCTACATCCATTTACAGAAGATTCACTTTCCCGAAGATAATTGCTTCTGGTGTTTCTCACACTGTTTCACCAGTTACTCCTCTGGCAGCCAAGTATAAGCATATTTCTCAAGAAGTCTGGGAATAGCCTTACAGTATCAACCATAAGTCCAAAATTTCTTTGTATTCTCCTGATTTATCTTAAAGGTTCATTTAAATTTTGCCTTCCAACTTCTTTGTGTTCATTGTATTATGAAATATTGTAATAAATGTCATACCTCTGTGTAAAATACTTGAGGAAGCTGTGCCACATTGTCAAATGACTTTAAATTCTCTCTGGCATATGGCTGCATCCCCTGGGGGTACATGTTACCCTAGTTTGAGAAACTTAGACTCTAAATGTAGGTGAATTTGTATTTTCTAAGAATGTATTATTAAGTAAAATAAGGAGTCAGATGTATACTAGATTTTCAGAGATTACCAATGAAGAGATATGGGACATGCCTTTTAGAGGGAAGCGTTGGAATCATTTTGAAGATTTTTTTCAGATTTTTCCCTTCTCCCTTTCCAGTTTGAGAATTACTGCCACAGTGAGTCCCTGTTCTGATGGGAAAGTGCTTTGTTCCCCAGTGACATTGGGATATAAAAAAGAATGAGAGGCTGGGCATGGTGTCTCATGCCTATAATCCCAGCACTTAGGGAGGCCGAGGTGGGTGGATCACCTGAGGTCAGGAGTTTCAGACCATCCTGGCCAACATGGTGAAACCCCGTCTCTACTAAAGATACAAAAATTAGCTGGGCATGGTGGCGTGTGCCTGTAGTCCCAGCTACCCAGGAGGCTGAGGCAGGAGAGTCGCTTGAACCCGGGAGGCGAAGGTTGCAGTGAGCCGAGATCGCACCATTGCACTCCAGCCTGGGCAAGAAAGTGAGACTCCGTCTCAAAAATAAATAAATAAAAATAAAAATAATAAAAAATAAAAAAGGCATGAGGACTATTCAAATTTAACAGGCACACACATATATATATATACACAGACATGTATTCACACACTACATATACTGTATATACTATATAGATGACTTACAAGGTAATTTTTATTCTCAAATCTATTTGACTCACTGAATTAAGAGTTTTCTGTTTTTATTATTTATCATAACCAAATGTGATGTAACACATTCAGTTACCAAAAAAAGTAAGTCCCTGACTTGTCCTGTTTCTACTATTCCAATCTGAGGAAGGTTAGGATTTAGCGCCACCCTGCTCCCGAATTAGAAAATTATTTTGCTAGATTAGAAATGTTTTTCTCTAAAATATCTGCAGACCTCTGCCCAGTCTGACCATTTGTTCCCACTAGGGTGCCTTTAAGTGCCTCAGTGCTTTTAGCTTTCCTATTTCTTTTGTTCTGTGTCCTCCATCTTTCTGCCTCCTGCTGCTGGTGTCTAATATCACCATCGTAGTAACAAACTGTTTCTAATTTGAGGTCCAGTGCCATAGAATACATTTTCTAAGACATACAATACTGTGACAGATGTAAGAAAATAATTCCATGATAAAAGGACATCTGACATAAAAGCCATTTAGGATCATTCCTGTTGCAGCACAGTACAGACAGAGAATTTAGCAGTGGCAGTCTAAGTGCTCACATAGCAAGGCTCCCCTGTATGGGGATTCCACCTTCCAGGAAGCATGCATCTCACTCTGTGAGAACCTATGAGAACCTTGATTTCAGAGTTAGGAGAGAGGGTCAAAGGTCTGGCACTTCAATTCCCTAGGTTCCAGTCCATCTTTATTTCCTCCTTTGTGTTTTCTACGGCCCTCTACCTCTGACATTTGGAGAAGTCTAAGCTATAACGTAGGTGACTTACATGAACAAAAATAGGACCCAAATAAAATTTCTCAGATTTTATAACTATGTCTTTTCCAGTTCCCTTTATCTTTTTAGTTTCTTTTTCTGTATTTACAATTCTTCCTTTTGGAACTTAAATGAAAGATTAAATCATGTGAGTCAGTAAATATTATTACAAATTAACATGTATTATTGGAATGTTTTTAGGAATGTTATGAATAAGGTAATGTATGAGATCCTGGAGACACAATGATGAGTAAGCTCAGATTAATGTCAGCATCTTGGAGCATATAGTCTGGGTTGAAAGAGAAATTAATTAAATACAGAAATAACTATACATTTACAACTGATAACATTTGATCATCCTCCTTAGTGAAATGGTTTCTTCACTTTAGTCTAGAATACCAGACTCGTGGTTTTCCTGCCTCACTGGCCACTCCTTTTTTGTTTCCTTTGCTGAGTCTTTCTCTTCTTTCACCTAAGTATTGGAGTACTCTAGGCTATAGCCCTTGATCTTTTGCTCTCTATTCTTCCTCAATAATACCAGCTGGTTCTATGGCTTTAAATAATATCTCTCTCTCTCTCTTTTTTTTTGAGACCCGAGTCTCGCTCTGTCACCCAGGCTGGAGTGCAGTGGCACAATCTTGGCTCACTGCAGTCTCTGCCAGGCTCAAGCAATTCTTGTGCCTCAGCCTCCCGAGTGGCCGGGACTACAGGCACCTGCCACCACACCTTGCTTATTTTTGTATTTTTAGTAGAGATAGAGTTTCACCATGTTGGCCAGGCTGGTCTTGAACCCCTGATCTCAAGTGATCCGCCCACCTCAGCCTCCCAAAGTGCTGGGATTACAGGCGTGAGCCACCGTGCGTGGCCAGTATCTCTTGATATCTATATGCTGATGACACCCAAATTTATATCTGCATTTCCTATTCCTCCCTAAACTCACTGCTTTCCATGTCACTGCACTGACCCAGTGGCTCAGGACAGAAATCTATGTGCAGTTCTTATCACCTTTACTATTACCATGCTGGTTCAGCTGACAGTAATCTCTTAACTGGTCATCTGTTCCAAGTACCCTCATTCCCATCCCTGTTTATGGCATCTATTGACCACTTAATAGCTGAAGTAATCTTTTTTTTTTTTTTTTTTTTGGAGAAAGATTCTCATTCCGTCACCCAGGTTGGAGTACAGTGACACGATCTTGTCTCACTGCAGCCTCCGCCTCCCAGGTTCAAGCAATTCTCATGCCTCAGCCTCCTGAGTAGCTGGGATTACAGGCGTGTACCACCACACCCGGCTAATGTTTGTATTTTTAATAGAGACAGGGTTTCACCATGTTCGCCAGGCTGGTGAAGTAATATTTTTAAAGCCTAAATCAGACCTGCGCAAAATCCTCCAAAGAAGTGCTGATTTCAGGTCTGGGGCAGGAAATGTACAAGATGAATCTCAGAGGATAGGATAGTAACAGAGTTCCAGAAATGATGAGGAGAGAATAAAGCTATAATCATAAAATTGGAAATGTTGCCTATGACAGAAACAATAGAGGCCTTTTATGAGACCCTTCTTAAGATCACATCAAACTTTAGGAATTGAAAGACAAAAAATGAAATTATACAGGATATAAATCAAACTAACAGAATATAAATCAAGCAATTTTTTGATAATTTATATATGGAGACACACAAACATGCACACACATATTTTAAGAATTTTTTAAACCTGCAAAAAAAAAAAAAATGAAGGAAAGCACAATGAACTTCTATATTCCCCTTACCTAGACACGTTACATGTTAACACTGGCTACTTTTTTAGGTTGAAACATATAAAAAGTCCTTGTTTTGTTTTGTTTTGACAAATAAATGATAAAATAGATGGTTCAATTGAATGCACAAACATATACACTTACACACAACACACATCCTTTAGCCAACCATCTGAGAGTAGGTTATAGATATGATGCTTCATTATGTATCCCTCGAAAACAGAAACATTCTACACAACGGAGAAAAATCAACATTAATTCACTATCATCATCTACATATAGTTCCTATTCAAATTTCGCAATTTGAGCCATCAGTTTTTAAAGAAAATCACATTACAAAATCATTTTATGAGTCTGGTGTGCTTTCTCTTATAGAATAAAGTGACTATGTTTACTGTTCACTTACTCTAGTTTTTTTCTTTGTGGTTTAGCTTCTTACATCCGTGTTTGACAATAGCATCAAGACTTTTGGAGTAATTGAGAGTGACCCTTTTGACTGGGAGAAGACTGGAAATGATGGCTCCCTAACAACCACCACTACTTCTACCACCCCTCAGTTGCACACTCGCTTGACCCCTGCTGCAATTGGGTATGTCCTAAACAGATCATTTGGTGGTGTCTTTCCTGGATGTATTATATTTGCAAAAATTTACTTCATCCAGATTCCCTCAGATGACCAAATGCTAAGACATCCGGGAAAGCCTGTGGATCTCCTCGAATTAACATTGCTCTTATGTACGCCTTTGGAATTACTTGCTTTAGATAGTACTAATAGATTATACTGTGAAATGGGAGCTTAGAGCTTAGAGCTTATGTGACTTGTTGATATCAAATTTATAATGGGTATTCTTCAAAATGAGGACCAGCATTAGTTGTGTTTCCAAATAACATATGGAACCCTGAAAAGAATGTGCCACAGTTATATCTAACTATACTGTGCCAAAGTTTAGTGGGAACAAAGCATGTAACATGTTCCTCTTAAAGTGATTTAACCTTCATAATGTATTAAGAAAAGGTTATGATCTATTTCCGTGATCTTAGTTTTTTATTGTTAATGTTTTTTCCTCTACGTGTATTAGAGTTCCTTTTGTCTTTTATTTTGTTTTTTTATTTGTCTTTTTTTTTTTTCTAATTTTTTACCTGCTTTGGTTGTTTCAAACTTTTTGGTCAAAAAAAAAAAAGGTAAATACCCAAAATGCTGAGGCAGAAGGATCACTTGAGCCCAGGAGTTAGAGGCTGCAGTGGGCTATGATTGTGCCACTACACTCTAGCCTATGCAACAGAGTGGGACCCGTCTCTGGGGAAAAGAAACTGAATAGGGACAAATTATCATACAATTTAAGTTAATTGGGACATTATACCACTCATCCATTGCTTTTATTTTTTTTTTTTTTAAACATGGAGTTTCATTCTTGTTGCCCAGGCTGGAGTGCAGTGGCACAATCTCAGCTCTGCCTCCTGGGTTCAAGCGATTTTCCTGCCTCAGCCTCCCAAGCAGCTGGGATTACAGGCCTTTGCCACCACGCCCGGCTAATTTTGTATTTTTAGTAGAGACGGGGTTTCACTATGCTGGTCAGTCTGGTCTCAAACTCCTGACCTCAAGTGATCTGCCTGTCTTGTTCTCCAAAAGTGCTGGGATTACAGGCGTGAGCCACTGCGCCGGCCTGATTTTTTTTTTTAAGAGATGGAGTCTGGCTGTGTTACCCAAGCTGGAGTGCAGTGGCTATTTATAGGCACAGTCATAGTGCACTATGGCCTCAAATTCCTGGGCTGAAGCAATCCTCCTACCTCAGCCTCTCTGGACTACAGACATGCACCCTTGTGCCCAGCTGTGATTTTTATATTGAAAGATGGGATCACTAGAACTTGTTGAATCATCGGAAGAGTTTTCATAGACTCACATAACTGGATAGTATCACTGACTATCATGTCTAAGCATTCCTAAATGTGAGACCCTGACTAGACCCAGAATCACCACGGATGTTTTTAAAAAACGCCTATTCCTGGGACCTACCCTAGACCTACTGAATCAGAATGCCTAGAAGTGGGGCACAGAAGTCCATATGCATCAAGTATTTCTCATGCTTATCAGAGTTTGGGATCCACTGCCCTAGGTCCAGCCACCCTATCTTACAAGTGAGGAAATAATCCTAACACTGAAGTAAATCCAACTTTAGGTAAATATTAGTGGCAGAGCTGGAGCCAGTCCAGAAATTTTGTTCTAGTGTTTTTGTCCTTCCCCTTTGATTGTTGTTAGAAATAAGTCTCAAACTTGCAAAAATCCAGGTGATAGCACTTCAGGGACCTAAAGACAATGAAGGCAGTTTATGTTCCCATCTTCCAATATTTTCTCCAAAATAACACAGAATAACAAAGAAGGAAAACTAAAGCTACACAGAAAAACCATGTCCTCAGCGTAACTTGTAGAAGATGCCTAAGCTTCAAAATAACTGTAAATAAAAAGAGAGAAAAAAATGAGACCACAAATCCTAGTGCAGTATCTTTCATGCTCTTGCCTCACCTACCCCTGCCAGAAGACTTTATAAAGACAGATCAAGAAAAACTGTGGGGAAGATGAAAATTAGCAATGGGATGTAAGGTTGATCTAAAACCAGTGCCATACTCCAGCTGTCTTTCGATCCCAAAAAATAAATAAATAAATAAAACCAGTGCTAGAAAGACTAAACCCATGCTAATAAGGAAAATACTAAAAAGTGTCCTGATAGATCAGATGATGAATTTCAGGGAAGTAAAAATATGCATAATTCAAAAGAAAAAAAAGGGAGAAGTGTCCTTCATTAGTGGAGTGACGGAGGAAAAAAGATGTATCAATTTGGGTCCAGTCAGGAGACAGAAACTACACAGTAATTTGAATAGGGAAAAAAAATCAAAGAATTATTTATGGCTACACAATAATTATACATATATATGGGATACATGCAATATTTTAATACATGCATGCAATGTGTTGTGATCAAATCAGGGTCATTAGGATATCCATTACCTCAAACATTTATCATTTCTTTGTGTTGGGAACATTTCAAACCTTCTACCTATTTTGAAATATACACTAGTATTTTTGTTTGTTTGTTTGCTACAGAGTCTCACTCTATCACTGTCCAGGCTGGAGTGCAGTGGCGTGATCTCGGCTCACTGCAACCTCCGCCTCTCAGGTTCAAGTGATTCTCCTGCCTCAGCCTTCCGAGTAGCTGGAATTACAGGCATGTGCCACCATGCTAATTTGTGTATTTTTAGTAGAGAGGGGGTTTCACCATGCTGGGCAGGCTGGCCTCGAAATCCTGACCTCAGGTGATCCACCTGCCTCGGCCTCCCAAAGTACTGAGATCACAGGCACGAGCCACCACGCCCAGCCTACACAAGCTATTGTTAACTATAGTCAGTAATAGGGAATTGGAATAACATAGGATTGATTAATAAGAAATAAAGATAAATATAAAGAATACAGGTACAGGAATAGCAGATACAAGGTCCAGCCATGATGCCTAGGACTGAGTGAGATTAAACATCCAAGCAAGAACTGACCCACCCCTGCCCAAGGGCTGAGGTTCAGACCTTATTGGGAGAGGAAGAAATGAAATCATAATTGATTGAACTCAGGAAAGAAATAGAAGGCAAAGACAAAATTATCTCATAATTGAAGAATATATTAAAAAGTGCACAAAGGAGAATAGACATAAGTGAAAATTTAATAGAAGTCATTGAATAAGGACAAAGAAAAAACCCTGAGAGAATGAAAATGAGATAATTCAAAAGAGTTAGAGAGAAGGTAATGCAAATTGAAGGCAGAGAAGAAATAACAGTCAGGTTGTTGGAGTCCCTGAAGAAGAAAAACAAAATAATATGTTAAAACTGAGAAACCAAATAGTAGAAGGTTAGATTTAAAAACAGAGAACTGGCTGGGTGTGATGGCTCATACTTGTAATCCCAGCAGTTTGGGAGGCTGAGGCAGGCGAGTCACAAAGTCAGGAGTTCGAGACCAGCCTGTCCAATATGGTGAAACCCCGTTTC
Source organism: Homo sapiens (assembly GCF_000001405.40). Lineage (NCBI taxonomy): Eukaryota > Metazoa > Chordata > Mammalia > Primates > Hominidae > Homo > Homo sapiens. Next base: position 42,791,203 of record NC_000015.10, on the reverse strand, counting down.
TACTGAAAAATACAAAAATTGGCCAGGCACCGTGGCTCACGCCTGTAATCCCAGCACTTTGGGAGGCCAAGGCGGGCGGATCATGAGGTCAGATCGAGACCATCCTGGCTAACACAGTGAAACCCCGTCTCTACTAAAAATACAAAAACAAAATTAGCCAGGCATGGTGGCAGGTGCCTATAGCCCTAGCTACTCGGGAGGCTGAGGCGGGAGAATGGCGTGAACACGGGAGGTGGAGCTTGCAGTGAGCTGAGATTGAGCCACTGCACTCCAGCCTGGATGACAGAGCGAGACTCCATCTCAAAACAAACAAACAAACAAAAAAAACACACAAAAATTAGCTGGGCATGATGGCGCACACCTGTAGTCCCAGCTACTCCGGAGGCTGAGGCAGGAGAATTGCTTGAACCTGTGAGGCAGAGGTTGCAGTGAGCTGAGATCATGCCACTGCATTCCAGCCTGGGCAACAACGTGAGACTCCGTCACAAAACAAACAAACAAAAACTCACAGAGAACTAAGAGCATTTAAAAAGGTTTATGTCCAAAGATAAGCATTAGAACAAAAAGGCAAAACTTCTGAAATACCCACCCCCCAAATTATTTATAAATTAAAGTACGGGCCAGGCACAGTGGCTCATGCCTGTAATTCCAGCACTTTGGGAGGCCAAGGTGGACAGATCACTTTGAGCTCAGGAGTTTGAGACCATCCTGGGCAACATGGTGAAACCCTGTCTCTACAAAAAATACAAAAATTAGCTGGGTGTGGTGTTGTGCACCTATAGTCCCAGCTACTCCGAAGGCTGAGGCTGGAGAATGGCTTGAGTCCAGGAAATGGAGGTTGCAGTGACCTGAGATCGCGCCACTATACTCCACCCTGGGCAGCAGAGTGAGATCCTGACTCAAAAAAAAAAAAAATAGACAAAGAATACATCTTGTAGAGGAAGAAATATAGCAAGTATAGCAAGATACTGTGCACATAATAATAAAATACTATGACAAAGCTTTCCTCCTATGTTCTCTTCTAGGAGTTTTATAGTCTCAGGTCTTAACATATAGGTCTTTTATACATTTTTAGTTGATTTTTGTGTATTGTGTAAAATAGGGGTCCAATTCCTTTGCACGTGGAAATCCAGTTTTTCCGGCACCATTTATTGAAGAGCACCATTTATTGGATCCCACTGTGTCCTTTTGGTGCCCTTGTTGAAAATTAGTTGACCAAATAAGGTATCTGCACTCTCGTGTTCACTGCAGCAGTATTTACCATAGCCGAGATACAGGAACAACCTAAATACCCACTGATGGACAAATTGATAAAGAAAATGTATATGTGTGTGTGTGTGTGTGTGTGTATTGTATGTATTTGTATATATATATGCACACACAATGGAATATAGATGATGTATAAATACTTACACACACACACATAATGGACTATTATTCAGCTTTTTATTTTTCTATATTTATTTTTTTGAGACTGATTCTTGCCCTGTTGCTCAGGCTGGAGTGCAATGACATGATCTCTGCTCACTGCAACCTCCGCCTCCTGGATTCAAGGGATTCTCCTGCCTCAGACTCCTGAGTAGCTGGGATTACAGGCCTGCGTCACCACAGCTGGCTAATTTTTGTATTTTTATTAGATATGGGGTTTCACCATGTTTACCAGGCTGGTCTCGAACTCCTGACCTCAGGTGATCCACCTGCCTCAACCTCCCAAAGTGCTGGGATTACAGGCATGAGCCGCTACACCCGACCTTATTCAGCTTTTAAAAAGAAGGAGATCCTATCATTTGCCACAGCATAGGTGGAACTAAAAGACATGCTTAGTGAAATAAGCCAGACAGAAATAAAAATGTTGCATGATCTCATTTATATGTGAACAAAAAACATATATATATATATACACACACACACGTATATATATTTTAAAGCACTCAAATACACAGAGATTGAGAATGATACAGTGGTTACCACAGGGGGTTCAAGGAGGGAGGAAGGAAAGGAAATGGGGAGATGTAGGTCAAAGGATATAAAATAGCAGATATGTGGGATGAACAAGTGTGGAGATCTAATGGACAGCATAAGGAATAACCTTTATAAAATTGTATTTTCAGAAGTCTTGGACATAAATAAAAATAAAATTGTATTAGAGATTTTTGTTAAATAAGTAGATTTTAGCTGCTCTTTGTCACAAAAAAAGTAACTGTGAGTTGATAGGTTAATCTGCTTCCCTGTAATGACCATTTTACTGTCTATGTATATCCTATTACATCATGTTACAAAGCTCAAATACAATTTAAGGAAGTAAAATACTACAGCAGACTTAAGACCAAACACATCAGTCACAGCAATAAATATACATGGGGTTAACTCACCTATTAAAAGGAAAACATTTTCAGTTTGGGTTATATAGCTATATTCATATGCTGTGTATAAGAGACACACACCTAAAAAAAGTAAGAAAGAGATGGACAAAGATATATCAGAAAGATAGAAAAGAGAAGTGATCCTAATAACAGATGATGTAGAATTCAAGCCAAAACAAAAAACTTAGAAAAGATGGAAGGGCACTTTTTAATGCCAAATGCCACAATTCACAAGTGGGATACAAAATTTATTAATATTTAGTCACCAGAATCATGACACTCACCTTTGGGAAACAACAACTGCAGGATATTCAAGGAGACATAAAAACACACTCATAGTTGGAGATGTTAATGTACCACCCTCAGTTTAAGACAGATCAAGTGAACAGAGAATAGGAAGATAGAAGACTTAAACAGCGTGATCGTAGTAAGGTAGATCATATGTATGTTTTCTGAACTCTATACCTTGATGATAGAGACTATACCTCCTGCCCAGGGGCCCCTGGAACATTCACAAAAATTGATCAGGTATTAGGTCACAAACAAACATGTAAGTAGTTCCATAAAGTAGAAGTATTACATTATCTGATCACACTGCAAGAAAACTAGAAATTACCAACAAAATTAAAATATCAAAGGCCCTTTTACTGGAAATTTAAGAACCTATTAAACTACAGTCATGTGCCGTGTAATGACATCGCAATCAGTGATACACCGCATATATGACAGTGGTCCTATAAGATTACAATACTGTAGTTTTACTCTACCTTTTCTATGTTTAGATAATGTTATAATACCCAAATACTTAACCATTGTGTTACACTTGCCTCCAGTATTCAGAACAGTGACATGCTGTACAGGTTTGTAACCTAGGAGCAATAGGTTATACCATATAGCCTAGGCACGTAATAGGCTATACAATATAGTTTTTTTAAGTACGCTGTGATCATTTGGATAATGATGAAATTGCTTAACGATGGCATTTGTTAGAATGTATCCCCGTTGTTAAGCGATACATGACTGTACTCTTGGGTGAAAAGGAAAATAAAAACTAAAAGTTATAGAAAAAAATGATAATGTAAACACTACTTATCAGAATCTATGAGATAACTTTAGAACAAAGATCAGAGGAAAACCTATGGCATTAAACAAGGAGGTACATAATGTCAGTATGTCTCATTACTGATGATACTTATGTTGACAATTTGGTTACAGTGGCCAGTTCTTTCTACTATAAAGTTACTGTTTTTCTCTTTGTAAGAAATAATCTTGTGGGAAGATATTTGCAACTATGTCAGCACTGTGTTTCTTGTCATACTTTTCCTATTAATTGTAGCATCCATCAGTGAATCTTGCCCACAGGCCTAACCATTACTGTCTGCCCTCTAAGAAAAAGTTTGCCAACTTCTGATTTTTTTCTGTTTGCAAATGATATGGTAGAATACCTGGAGAATCAGTGTTAAAGAGAAAAATTTATAGTGTATGTCCCAGAACCCTGAATTTCTTCGTAGAGGGAGAATGAAAGTTTAGAAGGTAAGAGGACGCTTTAAATCATGAGCCAGCAAGCTTTATCTATAAAGGGTCAGATAAATATCTGTGAGCTATGCTGTCTCTGTCACTACTGTCATTGCTGTTATAGTGCAAAAGCTGCCATGGCCAACGTGTAAACAGACGAGACTGACTGTGTTCCAATAAGTCTATTAAAAAAAAATAGGTAAGCAGGCCAGATTTGGCCCACAAGCACTAGTTTGCCTTAGATTATGGGGAATGAAATATGAAAAGGATATTCGTTCTTACTATTTTTTCTCATATCTCTTCAGTTCTTCCACACATTTTCTTACTTATTCCCTTAATCTGCTTCAGTTATATAATACCTTGCCTGGAAACACAGACCATGTGCTAATAACACTCTTATGTATACTTTCTCACTCATTCATATTCCTGAACATGATATAATTTTCCTGGGAAGGAATTATTTCTTTCCATATTGCATACTCAAGATTTGGATCAGAGTTTAGGAAAAGAAACAATAACCAGGGAAGGAGAAAGGAATGGAGAATAAATGCAGAGGGAGGGTCTGGGTGGGAGAGGAACCTGAGTCCTATAAAAGAGAGCCTGTGTGGAGAAGATGGACGAGGTCCTTGGAGTGTGTGGTATCATATTGAAGCATAAGAGATAAGAGAAAAAGTAGGATTGAATGAAAGTAGAAGTGTATTCAGAGATGGAGGTGTGGTTTGTTTCCTGAGGTGTGAAAGAAGGAAATGCAAAGGAATTGAGGTAGTTGGAAAAAAAGCAGAATAGTGGCTAGACATAAGGGAAAAAGGGACTTGAAAGAATACTGAGTGATTAAAATGGAAAAAAGGTGACGATAATAGACTAAGCTTCTTGAGTTCAAATATTCATCTATTTCCCTTTCTCTTTCCTCAGGAATAGAGGGAATTCTTTCAATAAACATTTGGATTACCATGTAGTACATGTATGTTAGTGTCCATTATGACTCTTTTATCAATAAATAAATTATATTGAACTAATATCTGAAAAATCTGTTAGTAGCCAGTTTATTTCTGATCTTTAATTATCTCTATAATAAATCTGAACTATTGATTTGAACTATTTGAACTATTTTAGGCCAAACTACCTTTTAAATATGCTTCCACTGTCAGAACTACAGATACTACTTTACTAGGTTGTAAGTTTTTTTTTTTTTCTTTCTTTTTTTTCGGGGAGCCATTATCAGTGCTTTTCTAGATTATATCCTTGTAAATTGTTGATAAAGAGGTTCATTCTAGCATTGATCCATTTAGGCAAAGGTAGTGGTGAAGGTCATCGGTTACCAAGTCAGGTGGAACAAGTCCCTGAAAAATCACTGGTCTTCTCAGAGCATATGAAATACTCGTGACACCAGTGCCAGGATCTAACTGTGACCCTTAAAGTGGCTCACTGAGAGGATGTTGCCACTCACAGTAATTACAGGAGTCAGTATAATGTACTGAAGACTAATTTTTCTACTTTGAGACATTCCAGGTCACTTCTAAGAGGAGGTTTCATTGTGTGCTAAGTATTGTGTTCAGTCAGCAATATTTAAAAAAAAAAAAAAAAACCCTAGAATATAGAGTTACAGAACTGGCAGGAGCCTTTTCACTTGGTGAAGGAAAACTGTGAACTAGAAAAGCCTCTCATGGGAGGGTCTAAGGGAGCGATGACCAACCATATAAATAAGACCTGGAATTACTTTGAAAGAAATATATAGACAAATACCAATTAATATTTGCTATTTTTTCCCCCAGGTCAGTTCATGCTGAACTATATCAACTGTATAATTACAGAAAGTCTAGTTTCCCCTCTAGGGCAAGAATTTCCTTCCTCTTTGTGTTGCTAGGGCCTTGCATGTAGTAGGTGCTTAGTAAAAAGTCTGCAAGTGGCCGGGCACGATGGCTCACACCTGTAATCCCAGCACTTTGGGAGGCCAAGGTGGGTGGATCACTTGGGGCCAGGAGTTCGAGACCAGCCTGGCCAACATGGCAAAACCCCATCTCTACTAAAAATATAAAAAATTAGCTGGGCATGGTGGTGCATGCCTGTAATCCTAGCTATTTGGGAGGCCGAGGCAGGAGAATCGCTTGAACCCCGGGGGCGGAGGTTGCAGTGAGCAGAGATTATGCCACTGCACCCCAGCCTGAGAGACAGAGCTTGACTCTGTCTCAAAAAAAAAAAAAAAAAAAAAATCTGCAAGTGAAAAAGTAATACACATTTCACACTGTAAAAAAATAACATAGCTGATTGATCTGACACCTGTTTATTTCATTATGGCACTGCGAAAGTTGATTATACAAATTAGGTCATTCTTGTCATAGTCAACTAAATCAATCAAGAGGCCAGGGAGAAAGTACTTGGGGCACATAGCACCTGCTCCAAGAATTTAATTTCTTACAAGCCCAGCTGCTGAAATGGCCTGCTGTGACTCCAAGACTAAATTTACATACCTCTGTCACTCACCAGTCAGAGCCTGCCAGCTCCCAAAAGCTTCTCTGATGCCAATGAACTTTCTTTCAAAACAGTATATGACATCTCTCTAATAAAACCCCCAACCTCTCCTTTGGTCTTTAGATATACCAGAGACCCACTCAGTCTATGTGTGTGCCCCAAATTGTCATTCTTGCTTCCCAAATGGAATGTTAATTTGGAGATTCATCTCTGTATTTTATTTGGAGTTCAACAGCACTTAACATTTTCCTGTTTAGAATTTTTAAAAATTCTCTAACACGCCGGGTGCCGTGGCTCACACCTGTAATCCCAGCACTTTGGTAGGCCAAGGCAGGCAGATCACCTGAGGTCAGGAGTTTGAGACCACCCTGCCCAACATGGCGAAACCCTGTCTCTACTAAAAATACAAAAAATAGCCCAGTGTGGTGGTGGGCGCCTGTAATCCCAGCTACTCAGGAGGCTGAGGCAGGAGAATCGCTTGAATCCGAGAGGTGGAGGTTTCAGTGAGCCGAGATCGCGTCACTGCACTCCAGCCTGGGCGACAAGAGTGAAACTCTGTCTCAAAAAAAGAAAAAAAATGTTGTTATAATTGACAGAGACTTCTATGAAAATAGATGAAATGCTTTTTACTTTTAAAGTGATTGTCAAATTAGGGTGTTATTGTTTTAGATTTTGTATTTTAAAATCAGCTTGAAAATTCTAATTGATCAAAATTTTAAAGTTTTATTTCGTAGGATTGGCATGACCTAAGTTTTTTTTTTCTTTTTCTTTTGTTTTTGTTTTGTTTTGTTTTTTGAGCTGGAGTCTCGCTCTGTCACCCAGGCTGGAGTGCAGTGGCGCAATCTTGGCTCACTGTAACCTCCGCCTTCTAGATTCAAGCAATTCTCCTGCCTCAGCCTCATAAGTAGCTGGGATTACAGGTGCCCACCACCACGCCCAGCTAATTTTTGTATTTTTAGTAGAGACAGGGTTTCACCATGTTGGCCAGGCTGGTCTTGAACTCCTGACCTCAAGTGATCTGACTGCCTCAGCCTCCCAAAATGCTGGGATTACAGGCATAAGCCACCATGCCCGGCCAACCTAAGTTTTCAAGGTGCTTTTTTTTTTTTTTTAACTCTCTTAATTATGTGTGGAGTTCATTTAAATGAAGAAATAAAATGATGTAAGATAGTCTCATAGTAATTTTTGATTCTTGCCTTTTTTTTCTCCCTTCATATGTAGAATTGCCAATGCTACTCCCATCCCTGGAGACTTGCTTCGAGAAAATACAGATGAGGTATTTCCAGATGAACAGCTTAGCGATGGAGAAAATGGCATCCCTGTTGGTGTGTCACCAGATAAATTGCCTGGATCTCTGGGACACCCCCGTCCCCAGGAGAAGGATGTTTGGGAAGAGATGGATGCCAACAAAAACAAGATAAAGCTTGGAATTTGTAAGGTATGAGTACCTTATAAACAACAGAAATTTATTTCTTACAGTTCAGAAGGCTGGGAAGTCCAAGAAGGAAGGCTAGGCAGATTTGGTATCTGGTGAGGGCTGTTTTGTGGCTCCTCCTTGCTGAGTCCTCATGTGGTAGATGGGGAAAGGGATCTCTTTTGGGCCTCTTTTGTAAGGACACCACTCTCATTCATGAGGGCTCTGCCTTCTTGACCTAATTACCTCCCAAGGGGCCCACCTCCTAATACCCTCACATTGGGAGTTAGAATTTCAACATGTGAATTTTGGGGGGACACAAACATTCAGACTATAGCAGGTGTATATGTTCAGTCATGGGAGTCATTTGCAAAATGATCTCTGGATCGATGTGATATGCCACAATGTGATTTGGCTGTTGACAAAGCACAATCTGGATGAATAGTAATCAGGAATGAGTAGTGGAAAGTAGACAGGGAGTCAGTGTCAGATTTTTCTAGTATCAGCTGTGGCTGTCTTTATGGCACCAGGAACAAACTGTTCTTATAGCAAAAAAAAAATCACTAGTGACATTCTCAGTTGTCAGCCCATATGGATATCCGTGTATGCGAGAGAATGAAGTGGCGCTTGACATGGAAGATCTTAGTTATTTTGGTTTCTGTCTTTTACTCACTATCACTATTTAATCTCAGTGAAATTTGAATGGTAGATAGTTTTGACCCTAAGTCCATTATTTGTCATCATGGTGATGTGCAGTTTATTGAATTTATAATGTATAGTGCTGTACATTACAAGCTCTCATTTTGAACATCTGGATAAAGCATTAAGCTAAATATTGAAGACAATTTACTAAGCTATGTGCTGTGCAGTTTAAGATACATCTTTTACCTTTAAGGAGCTTACGGTCTCTTTGGGTAGATATGTAGCTGCACAAGCAAATATAATACAAGACAGAACATTGTGCAAAACATTTAAAAAAATTAAAATGCATGCAGATGGGGTGGGAGTTGGGAACATGTCTTATGGAAGAAGTGGTTGAAGTAGAAGTATAAGTAAAAATATGTACATGAGGGCCAGGCATGGTGGCTCACACCTGTAATCCTAGCACTTTGGGAGGCCAAGGTGGGCGGATCACCTGAAGTCAGGAGTTCAAGACCAGCCTGGCCAACATGGTGAAACCCTGTCTCTACTAAAAATACAAAAATTAGCAGGGTTTGGTGGTGGGTGCCTGTAATCCCAGCTACTTGGGAAGCTGAGGCAGGAGAATCGCTTGAACCTGAGAGGTGGAGGTTGCAGTGAGCCAAGATCATGCCACTGCACTCCAGCCTGGATGACAGAGTGAAACTCCACCTCAAAAAATATATATACATATATACATGAAAAAGTGCATGGATAGAGCTTATAACTTTAGGAATTTATTGGTCATCTAGGAGAAAAATTCAAAACAGCTATATTTATCTTTTAAAATCTACTTATACTATATATAAAAGATTTCATATATATCATGTCAAAGCATAGTAATATAAGCATGTGAATCCACCATCTGCCCTAAGAACTAGAATATTTTAACATATTCCTTCTATATTTATGCTTCTACCCTATCCCCACTGAGGTAACCGCTGTCTTAGGTTAGATTCCATAAAAGCAGAGCTACAAAACAAACCTTAATAAGTTTAAATAATTGAAATCACACATACTATGTTCTCTAAAAATATTGGAGTTAATCTAGTAATCAGTGACATAAAGACAACAGGAAAATCTCTAAACACTTGGAAATTATACAGCATATTTCTGTATAATCCATGGGTCAGAGAGGAAGCCTTAAAGGAAAATTTTTTAAATTTACATAGAATTGAATGAAATCGAAACCACAACATATCAAAATGTTGGGGAGGTAGCTAAAGCAGTACTGAGAGAGAAATGTATAGCACTAAATACTTACATTAGGAAAGATAAGGTTTTACATCAATAGTCTAAATCCTACCTCAAGAAAGTAGAAAAAGAAGCAGCAGAATAAGCTAAGACAAGCAGAAAGAAGGTAATGAATATCTCTGTTACTGTATTGCAAAAGTTTTGGTGTGTTGTATTTTTATTCTCATTCTGTTCTGAATATTTTTCCGTAATGATTTTTTTCATCCATGAGTTAAGTGCATACAAGTTTAGAGTTTTTACATCTGCCAGGTGATTAAAAGTTTTGTTTTTCTTTATATAATGACTATTTCTATTCTGTTCCTACTATTTTTTTTTTCTAGCATTAAAGCCTATTTTGTCAGATGTTAATACAGTTATGCCAACTTTCTTTTGGGTAGTACATGCCTGGTGTATCTTTTTTCTGCCTTTATCTTTCTATTTTTTCTCATTCTGTTGTGACTGTTGTTAAGTGGAGTATAAGTGGACAATCTTACGTCTTTATGTTTTAATTAGTCAGCTTAATTGATTTACATTTAGAATTATTATTGTATTTGTGTATTTATTTTCTGAGACAGAGTCTCGCTCTGTCACCCAGTCTGGAGTGCAGTGACATGATCTCGGCTCACTGCAACCTCTGCCTCCCGGGTTCAAGTGATTCTCCTACCTCAGCCTCCCAAGTAGCTGAAATTACAGGCACCCGCCACCACGCTTGGCTAATTTTTGTACTTTTAGTAGAGAGGGTTTTGCCATATTGGCCAGGATGGTCTCGAACTCCTGACCTGAGGTGATTTGTCCGCCTCAGCCTCCCAAAGTGGTAGGATTACAGGCACAAGCCACGACGCCCAGCCAAATTATTTTTATATGAACTTGTTTCTCTTTTAAATTTCTATTCAGTTTTTTAATGCCTTTTTCCTGCCTTTCTTTTCATTACAGATTTTGTTGGTATTTTTCATCTTCTGTTTTCTCTTTGTACTTACTGGGGATTTAAACATTCTAATTCTGTTCTCTTGGTAGTTGTCCTGGAAATTTCCCAGTTATTTTTAACTTAAAAGTCTAAAATTAAGCAATATCCTAACTACCTTTCTGATACTGCAAGGACTGTAGAACATTTTAACTTCATTCACCCTTCTCCCAACATTTTAGTACTCTTCTAATTTTAATTCTTTCTTTTAAAAAAAAAAAAAGAAAAAGAATGACTTGCCCTGGCACAGTGGCTCACACCCATAATCCCAGCACTTTGGGAGGCCAAGGTGGGAGGAACACTAGAGCCCAGGAGTTCGAGACCAGTCTGGGCAACATGGCAAAACCCTATCTCTACCAAAAAAAAAAAAAAAAAAAAAAAGTTAGCCGGGCATGTTGGCACGTACCTGTAGTCCCAGGTACTTGGGAGGCTGAGGGTGGAGGATCGCTTGAACCTGGGAGGAGAAGCTGCAGTGAGCCAAGTTTGCGCCACTGCACTCCAGCCTAGGTGACAGAGTGAGACTCTGTCTCAAACAGACAGCAACAAAGAAGAATGACTTGAATTAGATTATTATTTATTTTATTTATTTTTTGAGACAGAGTCTCGCTCTGTCACCTAGGCTGGAGTGCAGCGGTGCGATCTCAGCTCACTACAACCTCCGCCTCCTGGGTTGTGATTCTCGTGCCTCGTCCTCCCAAGTAGCTGGGAGTACAGGCACGTGCCACCACACCCGACTAATTTTTTGTATTTTTGGTAGAGATGGGGCTTCACCGTATTGGCCAGGCTAAGTCTTGAACTCCTGGCCTCAAGTAATTCACCTGCCTCGACCTCACAAAGTGCTGGGATTACAGGTGTGAGCCACCGCGCCCAGCCTTGAATTGGATTATTAATGTTGTTCTTTTATACAAGTAATGTTTATATGGACTTTCAAAGACGTTTACCATTTCCTTTCATTTCTGAAAGTCCTTGGCTCATCTTTCTTCCGGAAATATTTCCTTCAGAAGTTCCTTTACCTCATGTCTTTTGGTAGAGGACTCTTTCTATAAATGTATTTTCTTATCTATAAATGTACTTAGTTTAGCTTCATTCTTTCAAGATAGTTTATGCCAAATATAAAGTCGGGGGTTTTTTTGGTTTGTTTTCTTTCTTTTTTTTTTTTTTTGTGACAGGGTTTTGCTTTGTTGCCCAGGCTGGAGTGCAGTGGCGCAATCTCAGCTCACTTCAGCCTCCACCTCTTGGGTTAAAGCGATTCTCCTGCCTCAGCCTCCCGAGTAGCCGGGACCACAGGCATGCACCACCACACCTGGCTAATTTTTTGTGTGTATTTTTATTAGAGACAGGGTTTTACCGTGTTGGCTAGGCTGGTCTTGAACTCCTGGCCTCAAGTGATTCACCCACCTCCCTCCCAAAGTGCTGGGATTATAGGCGTGAGCCGCCACGCCCAGCCCAAATATAAAGTTATTGATAGTTATTTTTCCTCTGGCTTCAGTCACTGGTGTTCAGAAACTTACTGTCATTCTAATTGTTTTTTTCTTTTTAAGTGATTGTTTCCCCCACCTTCATCTTTCCTTCCCAGCTACTTTTTAGTTCTTGTTCTTGTCTGTGGTGTTCTGCGTTTTCACTATGATGTTTCTAAGCATATATTTATCTTGCTTAGGATATCTTGTGTCCCTTGAATATTTTTATTCATATTTTTGTATAAAAATATGTTCTGGGAAATAACAGCCATTCTGTATCTGAATGTTACTACCTCTTCATTCTTTCTATTATCTCTTTCTAGGACTCCAGTTAGACATATGTTATGGCTTTTTATTGTATCCATCATATCTCTTAATATCTTTTTTCATAATTTTCTTCTTATCTTGCTGGGTTTGTTTTGTTTTGTTTTTGTTTTTGTTTTTTTGAGATGGAATCTTGGTCTGTTGCCCAGGCTGGAGTGCAATGGCACGATCTCGGCTCACTGCAACCTCCGTCTCCTGGGTTCAAGTGATTCTCCTGCCTCAGCCTCCTGAGTAGCTGGGATTACAGGCGTGTGCCACCATGCCCAGCTAATTTTGTTTTGTATTTTTAGTAGAGATGGGGTTTTACTATGTTGGCCAGGCTAGTCTCCAACTCCTGACCTTGTGACCCACCCTCCTTGGCTTCCGAAAGTGCTGGGGTTACAGATGTGAGCCACCACGCCCGGCCTATCTTGCTGTTTTTTATTCTAGGTAATTTCTTTGGCTGTGTCTTCCACTTCACTAATTAATAATTTCAACCTTTTTTGTTTTTTTTTTTTTTGCTTACTTGCTGCTTAACTTGTTAATTGAATATTAAATATTAAGTTAATCAATCATTTAATTCCAAATAACCCTTTGTTGATCTTTGTTATAATAACCTTTATTTATTTAAACATTTATGCATAGCTGGTCTATATTTTATATTGGAACCAGTTCAATATCTGAAATATTTGGGAGTTTTAAATGTTTTTCTTAATTTTGACTATTATTTCTGTTGTGTCAATCATGGTAGCAGGCCTTCTCATGTATTGATTCTCTCTCTTTTTTTTTTTGGCTAATTAATTAATAATTGATGGGAGTTCTGGAGACCTAAATTGGGGTTTGGGGAAACTTTCCTTCAAGGAAGACTGGCTTGTGTTTCTGCTGCTACCCTGAGTATATCACCAATTTGAGCCAGTTAGGCATCCTCTTGAGGGTCTCTAATCAGAGTAGATGTCCCAGACTTCCCTCTGTCACCACACTCCTTATATAAGGCTTTGCTTCCCTGATAATGTGCTGCTGTAGGCACCTGTGCTTAAATAGTCCCACCCCCTGGGCTGCCTCACAGTCATCCTCCTTCTCCTCTGCCTCAGCTCCTTAGTAGTCTGGCCCCCAGGCTTTTTGTTGTTTTTTGTTTTTTAGAGGGAGAATGAGAAAAGAGGTATAGCGACTCAGGCTTGGCAGCCTCTCCTAAATTGTGAGACCACTTATGTCTCATAGGGAACATCCTTTCCAGGTTTCAGTGTCAGGTTAGTGGAATGGGATACTACAAGCCTCATGTCAGACATAATTCAAAAATCCAAGTCTGTTAAACATTTTTAGATTATTTATGTTTGTGCCAAAAGTATTTTAAAAACCTAAAATAATACTGAAACTGAGTATAAATTAAGAAAACACATTTAATAAAGAGTTAATAGATAAGAATGTAATGAAGTAAACTAGCCAAAATATCCTAATCATCTGAAAACACATCTAATCATTTATTTATATTATTTTGAAAGGCTTCAATGATTCCTCTCATGTGTGTTGCCTAGAATGTTTTTCATGATTTTATTTTATATTTTGGATAGGCTGCTACTGAAGAGGAGAACAGCCATGGCCAGGCAAATGGTCTTCTCAATGCTCCAAGCCTTGGGTCACCAATTCGTGTCCGCTCAGAGATTACTCAGCCAGACAGAGATATTCCACTGGTGCGAAAGTTACGTTCCATTCACAGCTTTGAGCTGGAAAAACGTCTGACCCTGGAGCCAAAGCCAGACACTGACAAGTTCCTTGAGACCTGGTATAAAATAGTGTATTTTTCTTTTTAAAGCTTCTAAGGTACCATTATTATTGTTGTCATTGTTGTTATTATTATTGTATATTTCTGTTACATAAAGTCTTTCAAATAAGAAATCCTTGCATTTTTGTAACACTGAGTCTATTCAGCTCCAATTTTCATCCATGTTTTTAATTATTATTATCCTGATTCTTAATTATTATAAATTCTATAGCATGTCCTTTGGCTTTGGAAGCTGAGCAGTAAGAGCTGATGACTTCCTAACACTAGGTACAAGTTAAATGAACATTTTTACAGTAACTTTGTTTAGAAAGTAATCTCTTCCACACAACAGTGTAGTGCTGGAGAGGGCATGATAAAGATGGCATTAGGCAGAGATGAGGGGAATACATAAAGGAGGGGAAAAAGTAATTCATACACAAGGGACGGTGAGTTCAATTCACTTTAGTGAAGACCCTCTAGGAGTAAGATACTGTGGGAAAACAGATACCAATAAGTATATCATGCTTGCCCTCGAGAGTTTGCAATCTACCTAGAGAGAAAGGAAGGTGAAACTTGAGAGATCTATATACATAGGTAAAGATTGTAGTGCATGGTTTTGAGGCACATTATCCCTACAACAAATTTTGATAACAGAAGACAGAAATGAAAAAAGTGTGGGATATATTTATGAATTATAGAAACTTCAGTAGTATTCGCAGCATTAAGACCTAATTTCCTTTAATAGTAGTCATGCCCTTCAATGGTGCATCTCTAGTGGCTACTATTGGTAATGAAATATTAGGTTAGAGGGACTGTGAATTTGACTAAGATGGTAATTACTGTTTCCCAAGACAATTCAGCCACTTCTGGCCTACTCCAATCTGGCGTCCATTTTAAACAATCCTTCACATATGTGTGTTCTTCCTCACATGGTAATCATTCATAGCTATGTTATGTAAGCACATGTCTACACGCTCACACGATCGAAAGGATGGATGGGGCATTGGTTTATACATTTTGAGTTGTGGCTCATATTGAGAATAAATATCAACATACAATAGGGATAAAAGCTCAGTTCAATAAAAAGTTGGTTTGACAAAATAAGGGAACTAAAAAGGGCCTTGCTGAGGAAAGAACTGAGCTCCATCTTCCAAAGCAGGATGTGGCAGGTAGAGAAGAGCATTATCAATGCTGTGAAACTTTCCTTGTGCTTTATCCATCTTTTTTTCTCTCATCTTTGTGTCCATATTAGTTCTTTATGGAGCTTATATATTATATAATAAATGTTTCCTTAGGACAGTTGAGTAACTTCTTTCCATTTCCTTAAGCCTGGAGAAAATGCAGAAAGATACCAGTGCAGGAAAAGAATCTATTCTCCCTGCTCTGCTGCATAAGCCTTGCGTTCCTGCTGTGTCCCGTACTGACCACATCTGGCACTATGATGAAGAATATCTTCCAGATGCCTCCAAGCCTGCTTCTGCCAACACCCCTGAGCAGGCAGATGGTGGTGGCAGCAATGGATTTATAGCTGTTAACCTGAGCTCTTGCAAGCAAGAAATTGATTCCAAAGAATGGGTGATTGTGGACAAGGAGCAGGACCTTCAGGATTTTAGGACAAATGAGGCTGTAGGACATAAAACAACTGGAAGTCCTTCTGATGAGGAGCCTGAAGTACTTCAAGTCCTGGAGGCATCACCTCAAGATGAAAAGCTCCAGTTAGGTCCTTGGGCAGAAAATGATCATTTAAAGAAGGAAACCTCAGGTGTGGTCTTAGCACTTTCTGCAGAGGGTCCTCCTACTGCTGCTTCAGAACAATATACAGATAGGCTGGAACTCCAGCCTGGAGCTGCTAGTCAGTTTATTGCAGCGACGCCCACAAGTCTAATGGAGGCGCAGGCAGAAGGACCCCTTACAGCGGTAAGAAATTTGTTTTTATTATTATTCTCTGTTATCCACTCAAGGTGCTATTAAGAAAGGACTAACAGTTGATCAACTAAGATACTTCAGTACAGGCCTAAATTTTGCAGATGGCCCAGGGAGTGATTTTGTACTAAGTTCTATAGTCAACCCTCCAATATGAAATTTTTCAAAAAGTGAGGTCTTCTTTTATTATATCAAACTCAATACATGAAATGTCATTATAACCTAATTTTAGAATAACATTTTTAATTAGACTACAAGCGCTAGCTATCTATGTGTGTTTATATATGTTACAATTTTTTGAAGTTCCTAGCAATTTTTACTATACATTTACTGAGGAAGGCATCTATTTAACCCTTCATGGTTTGTTCTTTACACTGTACACTGTTGGGAGGCCTGAGCCTTTAATTCCCTTTCTCTTTCATAAAGTCCACCCAGGAATTTCTCATACTTCATATTCCTGTTAAACGGTAATTTTCTAACATTGATGGCCACTGTTCAAAATGCAGAGTCCCAGGCCTCACTTCCAGAACTTTTGTTTTAGCAGGTCTGGGGAAGAGCGTGCTCAGGAATCCTCATTTTAACAAGCAGGTAGAGGCGGCATTTATGATACAGGTCTTCTGCAAAGGAAACTTTTGAGGAACGACTATTGTTTATTTTCAGTTTTGGGCATTCAGCTGGAGAAGCCTGTTATCCTGTTACCAGTAAACAGTGGTGCCCCTGGTGACTGTGTGAGGAGGAGCCCCAGAAAAGCCAGAGATGGCCAAGCAAAGCCATGAAAAGCCCCCAGGCTAAATAAGTAACTGTGGACACAAATCTTAGGCACCCACAGGTACATCTGTCCTTATGTGATGAGAGCTACCAGGTTTCCTTAAATTCCATAATCATCTAGCAGTCCCCCTCCCCCAACTCACCAGAAACAGCATTGTTCCCCAAACTGAAAGGTTTTCTATTAGAACACAATTCCACATCAAGTGCAAAACAGTGGGAAAAGATACCAGTGAAAATACATTTTGTGTACAGTTCTGAGAAATTTGCCTGTGCTCCAAAATAGGGAAATAAAGGCCTGCCTGCTTCTTCACCAGAGTTAGTTAGCAGGTCCCTCTTTCCTGGGACTGCTTTGTATAGTTAGGCAGGTTGTTTGCAGCATAAAGGAATCTAGCCAGGAAACAAATTAGGGCTGAAATCTACCCCAGACTTTGCTTTCCAAACTGTGCATCTTGGCACAGGGCTGTTTCCTTTTGGAAGGGCATTCTTTTCCAAATTGTACAAAGCTATCATGTGGGCTAGAGGGAGGTAACTACTAACTCCCTCCCTCCCTGCTTCATCCTTTCTCCCAACCCACCTTTCCTCTTTCCATTCATCCACTCTTTCCACCTTCCCAGGTTCACTTTGTTCTTTAACTCTATTATGCTGTGTACTAACTTTTGCTCTAGCATATTTCCAGCAGCATTCTGGTGTGCCTCCCTTCATGGAGGCTTTCTAAAACCTTTGCTCCATTTCTCCTGGTATTTTTTGCCCTCTCTCGACGCTGTCCTATTTACAAAGATTGTGCTCATGGTTCTCTTACACTACTGCGGTGTTTTCTCTGACAAGTTGTTGATAGGCTTGTGTTCATGTATGTGATGTTTGACCTTATTTTTAGATATCTTTGAATTATTTTTCTTTCTTTCTTTCTTTCTTTCTTTCTTTACTGAGACACAGTCTCACTCTGTTGCCCAGGTTGGAGTGCAGTGGTGTGATCTCGGCTCACTGCAACCTCCGCCTTCTGGGTTCAAGTGATTCTCCTGCCTCAGCCTCCCAAGTAGCTGGAATTACAGGTGCCCACCACCAAGCCCGGCTAATTTTTTTGTATTAATTGAAAGTCTCTAATGAAATGTCAGCTGCATCAATTGTATACTTATTTCTCAGTTTTTTATTTCTATTTTAGAGGCTAGGTCTTCCTCAGTCACCCAGGCTGTAGCACAGTGGAATGATCATACCTTACTGTAACCTTGAGCTCCTGGGCTCCAGTGATCCTCCCATGCCAGCGTCCCAAGTCACTAGGACTACAGGCATGAGTCACCACACCCAGCTAATTTTGCTATATTTCAGGGATAGCAAGTTGGCACCAACCTGTCAGGTTGGCAATGAAAACTTACATCTAAACAGTTACCTTAAACAACCTGAAGTGATTTGTAATGGGGCTGTTGTTGTTGTTGTTGTTGTTGTTTTGTAGAGACAGGGTTTTTCCATGTTGCCCAGACTGGTCTCAAATTCTTGTGTTCAAGTGGTCCTCCCACATTGGCCTCCCAAAGTGCTGGGATTACAGGTGTGAGCTCCTAAACCTGGCTAATTTTTCAATCTTTTGCAAGACGGGGTCCCACTGTATTGCCCAGACTGGGCTCAAACTGCTGGGGTCCAGAGATTCTCCTACCTCAGCCTGTCTATAATCTTGGGATTATAGACATGAGCCACTGTACCCAGTCAGTGCTTCATTTTAATATTACCTTTAGAAACAGTGTAAATGTGGCTGGGCACTAGTAACATCACCCATATGTTATCCATTGCCATTGCTATGTAACAAATTAGCCCAAATTTAGCATCGTTAAACAACAGTCATTATTTCACACAATTTCTTGGAGCTAGAAATGCAAGAGTGGCTTAGTTCAGTGGTTCTAGCTCATGTGTGGTCTCTCATGAGGTGGTTGTCAAGCTCTCAGTCAGGGTTAAAATCAATTTAAAAGTTTGGCTGGAAAGGGAAGATCCACTTCCAAGCTCACTCACATGACTGTTGGCAGGCCTCAGTTCCTTACTGGCTGTTAGCCAGAGGCTCTAGTTCCTCGCCATTTGGGCCTCTCCATAGCTGACATGACATCTGGCTTTCCCAGTGAGTGAGGTGAGAGAGACAGAAATGGGGGAAGAGAGGTGAAGAGAATGCATTCCCACCGAGATGGAAGCCACAGTGTCTTTTCTAATCTGTCAGAAGGGACATACCATCACTTCTGCCATATTCTATTAGTCACAAAGACCAACGCTGTACAATATATGAGGGTCTATACGAGGGTGTGAATACCAGGAGACACCTCTGGGTCATTGGGAACCATTTTAGAGGCTGTCTACCATTATTACCTTACGTTTATACTTTACAGAATACTTCCCTATTTGATCTTAACTGCAACTCCATGGAACAAGCAGAGGGAATATTATTTTCTCTTTTCGTACCGAGGGCACTAAGCCTCAGGACAGGGAGAATCCATGAAGAGTCAGACGCTGGTAGGCTAGACTTGGTGTTCCGTCCCTCGTGCCAGGAGATTACACCTTACACCAGTCTTCTGTCCCTACACCAGGGCATTGCCAGCATACTGAAAGACTTTCCTAATTGGCTTGTTTCTTAGAGATCGAGAAAAGGAAAGGGGGTTTAAAATAATGCACAAAGAAGGAACAGTACCAAAAGAAAAAGAGTAGCAGTATTTTTAATAACCTGTTAGCCAACATCTTTTGAGAGAATTCCTCTGACTGTATTTACAGGACTACCAATACCAGCACTAATAAAATTTAAATTAGCAGTTAGTTGTATTGCCTTAATTATGTTTATTTCTTCATACCTGTGAAGTATCTGCTAAGTTCCAGGCTTTACGCTATACTTCAGGGATAACAAGTTGGCACCAACCTGTCAGGTTGGCAATGAAAAGTTACATCTAAACAGTTAATTTAAACAACCTGAAGTGATTTGTAGTGGGGCTGTTTACAGGAATGGGGACACAGACATATCTGCCTAGGACTTAGGAGTGGAATTTTGGATATCTTTATTTTCTCAACTAATTTTTTTTTAGCATGGTAATTAAAAATCTTTCTGGGAAGGTTAAGGAATGCTTCAGGCCGGGCGTGGTGGCTCACGCCTGTAATCCCAGCACTTTAGGAGGCCAAGGCTGGCGGATCACGAGGTCAGGAGTTCAAGACCAGCCTGGCCAAGATAGTGAAACCCCATCTCTACTAAAAATACAAAAAACTAGCCAGGCGTGGTGGCAGCACCTATAATCCCGGCTACTCCGGAGGCTGAGGCAGAGAATTGCTTAAAAACCTGGGAGCCGGAGGTTGCAGTGAGCCGAGATCGCGCCACTGCACTCCAGCCTGGGCGACAGAGCAAGACTCTGTGTCAAAGAAAAAAAAAAAGGAAAGAAAAAAAAGAAATAGTTCCATGTGGCTTTCCTGGCAAGGCATGCTTTGCTTATTTGGATCCCTTGTATAAACTACAGTGACTGTGTGAAAGCTCATGGAGTTATTCAGAGCCTCCACTGACACAGGAATGATCCACACGTGTATTAATAGAGGTGTGCTTTAATAATGTGAAAAGGTGAAGACTCTTTGGGTTGGTTACCATCTGTTTAACTTCTTAAAATGGATTTTGCAGAAGGGTTGAATGTATGTATATTGACTGGGGATTGGCCAAATGTCCTCTGTCTGACCATGAATTCCTATTTTTGATCTGGAAAATTTGGTCATTATAATCATAGGAAAGTTTTTTTGTAATTGTATTTGATATTACACTTCAACCTATGTACAGTCAGAAAGGATCAGTGATTGGATGGACTGCACTGGAAAGTAAAGAAAGCCCATTTGTGAAGTGCTTGAGTACAGACTGGAATATCACTTGGGAGATTTTTGTGGAACCTCAGCATGCAATGGTTGATATACTCATGTGTGCAACATTTGTTGAGTGTCTACTGTGAGTTGGGTACTATGCTAAGTACCAAGAATAAAAAGCCCAGTTAGTCACCTCACTGCTTTCAAGGGTCTTCAATCTAGTAAAGAAACAGTTTAAGTGTTATAGGTGCTGTGATAGAAATTTTGTGTTGTAGAAGTTGGACTAGATTTATCCCTAAGTTGTCTTTATTATTATTATTATTATACTTTAAGTTCTAGGATACGTGTGCATGACGTGCAGGTTTGTTACATAGGTATACATGTGCCATGTTGGTGTGCTGCACCCATCAACTCATCATTTACATTAGGTATTTCTGCTATCCCTCCCCCTGCCCCCCACCCCACGACAGGCCCTGGTGTGTGATGTTCCCCACCCTGTGTCCAAGTATTCTCATTGTTCAATTCCCACCTATGAGTGAGAGCATGTGGTGTTTGGTTTTCTGTCCTTGTGATAGTTTGCTGAGAATGATGGTTTCCAGCTGCATCCACGTCCCTGCAAAGGACATGAACTCATCCTTTTTATGGCTGCATAGTATTCCGTGGTGTATATGTGCCACATTTTCTTAATCCAGTCTATCATTGATGGACATTTGGGTTCCAAGTCTGCTGTTGTGAATAGTGCCACAATAAACATACATGTACATGTGTCTTTATAGTAGCATGATTTATAATCCTTTGGGTATATACCCAGTAATGGCATTGCTGGGTCAAATGGTATTTCTAGTTCTAGATCCTTAAGAAATCGCCACACTGTCTTCTACAATGGTTGAACTAGTTTACACTCCCACCAACAGTGTAAAAGTGTTCCTATTTCTCCACATCCTCTCCAGCACCTGTTGTTTCCTGACTTTTTAATGATCGCCATTCTAACTGGTGTGAGATGGTATCTCACTGTGGTTTTGATTTGCATTTCTCTGATGGCCAGTGATGATGAGCATTTTTTCGTGTGTCTGTTGGCTGCATAAATGTCTTCTTTTGAGAAGTGTCTGTTCATATCCTTTGCCCACTTTTTGTTGGGGTTGTTTTTGTCTTGTAAGTTTGTTTAACTTCTTTGTAGATTTTGGATATTAGCCCTTTGTCAGATGAGTAGATTGCAAAAATGTTCTCCCATTCTATAAGTTGCCTGTTCACTCTGATGGTAGTTTCTTTTGCTGTGCAGGAGCTCTTTAGTTTTAATTAAATCCCATTTGTCAATTTTGGCTTTTGTTGCCATTGCTTTTGGTGTTTTAGTCGTGAAGTCCTTGCCCATGACTATGTCCTGAATGGTATTGCCTAGGTTTTCTTCTAGGGTTTTTATGGTTTTAGGTCTAACATGTAAGTCTTTAATCCATCTTGAATTAATTTTTGTATAAGGTGTATGGAAGGGATCCAATTTCAACTTTCTACATATGGCTAGCCAGTTTTCCCAGCACCATTTATTAAATAGGGAATCCTTTCCCCATTTCTTGTTTTTGTCGGGTTTGTCAAAGATCAGATGGTTGTAGATGTGTGGTGTTATTTCTGAGGCCTCTGCTCTGTTCCATTGGTCTATGTATCTGTTTTGGTACCAGTACCATGCTGTTTTGGTTACTGTAGCCTTGTAGTACAGTTTGAAGTCAGGTAGTATGATGCCTCCAGCTTTGTTCTTTTGGCTTAGGATTGTCTTGGCGATGCGGGCTCTTTTTTGGTTCCATATGAACTTTAAAGTAGTTTTTTTCCAATTCTGTGAAGAAAGTCATTGGTAGCTTGATTGGGATGGCATTGAATCTATAAATTACCTTGGGCAGTATGGCCATTTTCACGATACTGATTCTTCCTATCCATGAACATGGAATGTTCTTCCATTTGTTTGTATCCTCTTTTATTTCATTGAGCAGTGGTTTGTAGTTCTCCTTGAAGAGGTCCTTCATATCCCTTGTAAGTTGGATTCCTAGGTATTTTATTCTCTTAGTAGCAGTTGTGAATGGGAGTTCACTCATGATTTGGCTCTCTGTCTGTTATTGGTGTATAGGAATGCTTGTGATTTTTGCACATTGATTTTGTATCCTGAGACTTTGCTGAAGTTGCTTATCAGCTTAAGAAGATTTTGGGCTGAGATGATGGGGTTTTCTAAATATACAATCATGTCATCTGTAAACAGGGACAATTTGACTTCCTCTTTTCCTGATTGAATACCCTTTATTTCTTTCTCTTGCCTGATTGCCCTGGCCAGAACTTCCAACACTATGTTGAATAGGAGTGGTGAGAGAGGACATCCCTGTCTTGTGCCAGTTTTCAAAGGGAATGCTTCCAGTTTTTGCCCATTCAGTATGATATTGGCTGTGGTTTTGTCATAAATAACTCTTATTATTTTGAGATACGTTCCATCGATACCTAGTTTATTGAGAGTTTTTAGCACGAAGGGCTGTTGAATTTTGTTGAAGGCCTTTTCTGCATCTGTTGAGATAAACATACGGTTTTTGTCATTGGTTCTGTTTATGTGATGAATTATGTTTATTAATTTGCATATTTTGAACCAGCATTACATCCCAGGGATGAAGCCAACTTAATCGTGGTGGATAAGCTTTTTGACGTGCTGCTGGATTCGGTTTGCCGGTATTTTATTGAGGATTTGTGCATCAATGTTCATCAGGGATATTGGTCTAAAATTCTCTTTTTTTGTTGTGTCTCTGTCAGGCTTTGGTATCAGGATGACGCTGGCCTCATAAAATGAGTTAGGGAGGGTGCCCTCTTTTTCTATTGATTGGAATAGTTTCAGAAAGAATGGTACCAGCTCCTCTTTGTACCTCTGGTAGAATATGGCTATGAATCCGTCTGGTCCTGGACTTCTTTTGGTTGGTAGGCTATTAATTATTGCCTCAATTTCAGAGCCTGTTATTGGTCTACTCAGAGATTCAACTTCTTCCTGGTTTAGTCTTGGGAGGGTGTATGTGTCCTGGAATTTATCCATTTCTTCTAGATTTTCTAGTTTATTTGCATAGAGGTGTTTATAATATTCTCTGATGGTAGTTTGTATTTCTGTTGGATGGTGGTGATATCCCCTTTATCATTTTTATTGCGTCTATTTGATTCTTCTCTCTTTTCTTTTTTATTAGTCTTGCTAGCGGTCTTTCAATTTTGTTGATCTTATCAAAAAACCAGCTCCTGGATTCATTGATTTTTTGAAGGGTTTTTTTGTGTCTCTATCTCCTTCAGTTCTTGCCTTCTGCTAGCTTTTGAATGTGTTTGCTCTTGCTTCTCTAGTTCTTTTAATTGTGATGTTAGGGTGTCAATTTTAGATCTTTCCTGCTTTCTCTTGTGGGCATTTAGTACTATAAATTTCCCTCTACACACTGCTTTAAATGTGTCCCAGAGATTGTGTCACATTGTGTCTTTGTTCTCACTGGTTTCAAAGAACATCTTTATTTCTTCCTTCATTTTGTTATTTACCCAGTAGTCATTCAGGAGCAGGTTGTTCAGTTTCCATGTAGTTGTGCAGTTTTGAGTGAGTTTCTTAATCCTGAGTTCTAATTTGATTGCACTGTGGTCTGAGAGACAGTTTGTTATAATTTCTGTTCTTTTACATTTGCTGAGGAGTGCTCTACTTCCAACTGTGTGGTGAACTTTGGAATAAGTATGATGTGGTGCTGAGAAGAATGTATATTCTGTTGATTTGAGGTGGAGAGTTCTGTAGATGTCTATTAGGTCTGCTTGGTGCAGAGCTGAGTTCAAGTCCTGGATATCCTTGTTAACCTTCTGTCTGGTTCATCTGACTAATGTTGACAGTGGGGTGTTAAAGTCTCCCATTATTATTGTGTGGGAGTCTAAGTCTCTTTGTAGGTCTCTAAGGACTTGCTTTATGAATCTGGGTGCTCCTGTATTGGGTGCATATATATTTAGGATAGTTAGCTCTTCTTATTGAATTGATCCCTTTACCATTGTGTAATGACCTTCTTTGTCTGTTTTGATCTTTGTTGGTTTAAAGTCTGTTTTATCAGAGACTAGGATTGCAACCCTTGCTTTTTTTTTTTTTTTTTTTTTGCTTTCCATTCGCTTGGTAGATCTTCCTTCGTCCCTTTATTTTGAGCCTATGTGTGTCTGTGCACGTGAGATAGGTCTCCTGAATACAGCACACTTATGGGTCTTGACTCTTTATCCAGTTTGCCAGTCTGTGTCTTTTAATTGGGGCATTTAGCTCATTTACATTTAAGATTAATATTGTTATGTGTGCATTTGATCCTGTCATTATGATGTTAGCTGGTTATTTTGCCAGTTAGTTGATGCAGTTTCTTCCTAGCATCGATGGTCTTTACAATTTGGCATGTTTTTGCAGTGGCTGGTACCAATTGTTCCTTTCCATGTTTAGTGCTTCTTTCAGGAACTCTTGTAAGGCAGGCCTGGAGGTGACAAAATCTCTCAACATTTGCTTGTCTGTAAAGGATTTTATTTCTCCTTCACTTATGAAGCTTAGTTTGGCTGGATATGAAATTCTGGGTTGAAAATTCTTTTCTTTAAGAATGTTGAATATTGGCCCCCACTCTCTTCTGGCTTGTAGGGTTTCTGCCAAGAGATCTGCTGTTAGTCTGATGGGCTTCCCTCTGTGGGTAACCTGGCCCTTTCTCTCTGGCTGCCCTTAACATTTTTTCCTTCATTTCAACCTTGGTGAATCTGACAATTTTGTGTCTTGGAGTTGCTCTTCTCATGGAGTATCTTTGTGGTGTTCTCTGTATTTCCTGAATTTGAATGTTGGCCTGCCTTGCTAGATTGGGGAAGTTCTCCTGGATAATATCCTGCAGAGTGTTTTGCAGCTTGGTTCCATTCTCCCCATCACTTTCAGGTACACCAATCAAATGTAGATTTGGTCTTTTCACATAGTCCGATATTTCTTGGAGGCTTTGTTCATTTCTTTTTACTCTTTTTTCTCTAAACTTCTCTTCTCGCTTCATTTCATTAATTTGATCTTCAATCACTGATACCCTTTCTTCCACATGATAGAATCGGCTACTGAAGCTTGTGCATGCATCATGTAGTTCTCGTGCCATGGTTTTCAGCTCCATCAGGTCATTTAAGGTCTTCTCTACGCTGTTTATTCTAGTTAGCCATTCGTCTAATCTTTTTTCAAGGTTTTTAGCTTCCTTGCAATGGGTTCAAACATCCTCCTTTAGCTCGGAGAAGTTTGTTATTAGCGACCTTCTGAAGCCTACTTCTGTCAACTCATCAAATTCATTCTCCGTCCAGCTTTGTTCCGTTGATGGCGAGGAGCTGCAATCCTTTGGAGGGGAAGAGGTGCTCTGGTTTTTAGAATTTTCAGCTTTTCTGCTCTGGTTTCTTCCCATCTTCCCATCTTTGTGGTTTTATCTACCTTTGGTCTTTGATGATGGTGGCCTACAGATGGGGTTTTGGTGTGGATGTCCTTTCTGTTTGTTAGTTTTCCTTCTAACAGTCAGATCCTTCAGCTGCAGGTCTGTTGGAGTTTGCTGGAGGTCCACTCCAGACCCTGTTTGCCTGGGTATCACCAGCAGAGGCTGCAGAACAGCAAATATTGCAGAACAGCAAATATTGCTGCCTGATCCTTCCTCTGGAAGCTTCGTCTCAGAGGGGCACCTGGCTATATGAGGTGACACTCAGCCCCTACTGGGAGGTGTCTCCCAATTAGGCTACACGGGTGTCAGGGACCCACTTGAGGAGGCAGTCTGTCCATTCTCCGAGCTCAAACTCCATGCTGGGAGAAGCACTGCTCTCTTCAGAGCTGTCAGACAGGGACGTTTAAGTTTGCAAAAGTTTCTGCTGCCTTTTGTTCAGCTATGCTCTGCCCCCAGAGGTGGAGTCTACAGAGGCAGCAGGCCTTGCTGAGCTGCGGTGGGCTCTGCCCAGTTCGAGCTTCCCTGGCTGCTTTATTTACCTACTCAAGCCTCAGCAATGGCAGACGCCCCTCCCCCTGCCAGGCTGCTGCCTCACAAGTTGATCTCAGACTGCTGCGCTAGCAGTGAGCAAGGCTCCGTGGGCGTGGGACCCGCTGAGCCTGGCGCAGGATGTAATCTCCTGGTGTGCCGTTTGCTAAGACCTTTGGAAAAGCACAGTATTTGGGCGAGAGTGTCCCATTTTTCCAGGTACCGTCTGTCACGGCTTCCCTTGGCTAGGGAAGGGAAATCCCCCAACCCCCTATGCTTCCCGGGTGAGGCGATGCCCTGCCCTGCTTCAGCTTGCCCTCCATGGGCTGGACCCACTGTCCAACCAGTCCCAGTGAGATGAACCAGGTACCTCAGTTGGAAATGCAGAAATCACCTGTCTTCTGCGTCAGTCATGCTGGGAGCTGCAGACTGGAGCTGTTCCTATTCGGCCATCTTGGGACAGAACCCCTAAGGTGTCTTTCAATACTGCATGAAGGGGCTAGAAAAGTGACTGTTTAATCCTGTAGCCTTGTATATAATATGCAATTACAGGCCTGCCAAAAAATATTTTTGTTTTAGTCCATCTTTTCTGGGCTTCTATTCTTTGGATATGAGTTGTGGCTTATGATTTTTAGTAGTCCCACAAAATTTTTATAATTGGAAACCCCTTTAAAGACACATTAAACTTTCAATAATGAGTGACTTGTCTGGGGAGTGGGATGACAAGGTAAGGACAAAAGCAGCTTTTACTTTTCATTCACGTAGGTTTTGAGGCTTTAGGTTTTTAGTTTTGCCCACCTTTGTGGCAAAGACTGCTGCCTTCCCCACTCTTCCCCATCCACCCTCACCTCAATCCACATTGGCCAAAGTGGAAGATACCATGTATGGCCTCTTAAAAAAGTTATAATTGGCACATAATAATCATACATATGTATGAGGTACATAGTGATGTCTTGACACATACAATGTATAGTGACTAGATCAGTGTAACTAGCATCTACATCATCTCAAACGTTTATCATTTCTTTGTGTTGGGAGCATTCGATATCCTTTCTTCTATCTATTTGAAAATATATATTATTGGGCCAGACGCAGTGGCTCATGCCTGTAATCCCAGCACTTTGAGAGGCTGAGGCAGGTGGATTACCTGAGGTCAGGAGTTGGAGACCAACCTGGCTAACATGGTGAAACGCTGTGTCTACTAAAAACACAAAAATTAGACAGGCGTGATGGGGCATGCTTGTAATCCCAGCTACTTGGGAGGCTGAGGCAGGAGAACTGCTTGAACCCAGGAGGTGGAGGTTGCAGTGAGCAAAGATCGCACTCTGTGCTCCAGCCTGGGTGACAGAGTAAGACTCTGTCTCAAAAAAAAAAAAAAAAAAAAAAAAAAAAAAAAAAAAAAAATATATATATATATATATATATATATATATATATATGTATATATATATATGTATGTATATATGTATATATATGTGTATATATATATATACGTATATATATATATATATAAAATTGTTAACTGTAATCATCCTATAGTGCTATGGAACACTAGAAGTTATTCCTTCTCTCTAGCTGTAATTTTGTATCCTTTAACAAATCTTTCCCTATCTCCCCGTTCCCGCTACTCTTTCCAGCCTCTAATAACCTCTCTTCTACTTTTTACTTACGTAAAATCAACTTTTTTTTAGCTTCCTCATATATTAGTGAGAACATGCGGTATTTGTCTTTCTTTGCCTGGCTTATTTCATTTAACATAACAGCCTCCAGTGCCATCCATGTTGCCATGAATGACAGGATTTTATTTTTTATGGCTGAATAGTATTCCATTGTTTGTTTATACCACATTTTCTTTTATTTATTTATTTATTTATTTTTTGAGACAGCATCTCACTCTGTCACCCAGGCTGGAGTACAGTGGTGGTGATCTTGGCTCAGTGCAGCCACCACCTCCCGGGTTCAAGCAATGCTCCTGCCTCAGCCTCCTGAGTAGCTGGGACTACAGGCACATGCCACCATGCCTGGCTAATTTTTGTATTTTTTGTGGAGACTGGGTTTCACCATGTTGGCCAGGCTGGTCTCGAACTCTGACCTCAGGTGATCCACCTGCCTTGGCCTTTCAAAGTTCTGGGATTACAGGCATGAGCCACCGTGCCCGGCCGCTATACCACATTTTCTTTATCCACTCATCTGTTGTTGTACACTTGGGTTGATTCCATATCTTGGCTATTGTGAACAGTGATGCAGTAAACGTGAGTGTGCAGATATCTCTTCAATATACTGATCTTCCCAGTAGTGGGATTGCTGAATTGTATGGTAGTTCTATTTGTAGTTTTTTGAGGAACCTACATACTTTTCTCCATAGTAGTAACTGTACTAGTTTACATTCCCACTGTATTACTCTGTTCTCATACTGCTGATAAAGACATACCCAAGACTGAGCAATTTACAAAAGAAAGAGGTTTAATTGGACTTACAGTTCCACATGGCTGGGGAGGCCTCACAATCATGGTGGAAGGCAAGGAGGAGCAAGTCACATCTTACATGGATGGCAGCAGGCAAAGAGAGCTTGTGCAGGAAAACTCCCCCTTATAATAACCATCAGATCTCATGAGACTTACTCACTATCACGAGAACAGCATGAGAAAGACCTGCCCCCATGATTCAGTTACCTCCCACTGGGTCCCTCCCACAACATGTGGGAATTCAAGATGAGATTTGGGTGGGGACACAGCCAAACCGTTACACCCACAAACACTGTATTTGAGAGTTCTCTTTTCTCTGCATCCTTGCCAGCATTTGTTATTTTTTTGTCTTTTTGATGATAGCCATTTTTACTGGGGTGATACAATATCTCATTGTGGTTTTTATTTGCATTTCCCTGATGACTAGTGATACTGAACATGTTTTCATGTATTTGTTGGCCATTTCTATATCTTCTTTTGAGAAATGTCTGTGTAGACCATTTGCCCATTTTCTAATGAGATGTTTTTCTTTCCTTTTTTTTTTTTTTGGCTGTTGAGATGTTTGAGTTTCTTAAATATTCTGGATATTAATCCTGTTAGATGAATAGTTTGTAGATATTTTCTTCCATTTTGTAGGTTATCTTTTCACTCTATTGACTGTTTCCTTTGCTGTGAAGAAGGTTTTCCTTTGCTATCATCCCATTAGATGAATAGTTTGTAGATATTTTCTCCCATTTTGTAGGTTATCTTTTCACTCTATTGACTGTTTCCTTTGCTGTGAAGAAGGTTTTTAGTTTGATATAATCCAGTTTATTTTTTTGTTGCCTGTGCTTTTGAGGTCTTATTCATAAAGTATTTTCCTAGACCAGTGTTCTGAAACATTTACCCTATGTTTTCTTCTAGTAGTTTTGTAGTTTCAGGCCTTGCATTTAGGTCTTTAATCCATTTTGAGCTGATTTTTATATAAGGTGAGAGATGGGGGTCTAGTTTCATTGTTCTGCATGTGGATATCCAGTTTTCCCAGCATCATTTATTGAAGAGACTGTTCTTTCCCCAGTGAATGCTGTGGTGCCTTTGTCAAACTCAGTTGGCTGTAGATAAATGGATCTATTTCTGGATTCTCTGATCTGTTCTGTTGGTCTATGTGTCTGTTTTTATGCCAGTACCATGCTGTTTTGGTTACTATAGCTTTGTAGTATAATTTGAAATTAGGTAGTGTTATACCTCCAACTTTTGTTTTGTTTTCTTTTGTATTTTTGCTTAGGATTGCTTTAGATATTTGGGGTCGGATTGTTTTTCTATTTCTGCAAAAAATGTCATTGGTATTTTGATAGGGATTGCATTGAATCTGTAGCACTTCAGATACTATAGGCATTTAAACACTATTAATTTAGCAATATTAATTCTTCCAATACAAGAGCATGAGATACCTTTCCATTTTATTGTATGTTCTCTTCAGTTTCTTTCATTAGTATTTTCTGGTTTTACTTGTAGAGATCTTTCACTTCTTTGGTTAAATTTATTCCTAGTTATTTTATTTGTTAAGCAAACAAATAAAATACAGAAAATCTAGTAGATCCTGTAGGTTTTCTTCATTAAAAAATTTTATTTTTGTCTGCCTGAGTTATTCAAAAGACCTGTCTTCCAATTCAGAAATTCTGCCTGGTCTAGTCTGTTGTTGAAGCTCTCAATTGTATTTTTTATTTCATTCATTGAATTCTTTTTTTGTTTTTTTTTTTTTTTTTTTGAGATGGAGTCTCACTCTGCCACCCAGGCTGGAGTGCAGTGGCATGATCTCAGCTCACTGCAACCTCTGCCTCCTGGTTCAAGCAATTCTTCTGCCTCAGCCTCCTGAGTAGCTGGGATTACAGGTGCCCACCACCACACCTGGCTAATTTTTGTATTTTTAGTAGAGACAGGGTTTCACCATGTTGGCCAGGCTGGTCTCAAACTCCTGACCTCAAGTTATCTGCCCACCTTGGCCTCCTAAAGTGCTGGTATTATAGGCGTGAGCCACCACACCCGGCCCATTTAATTCTTTAGTGCTAAGATTCCTTTGGTTCTTTTTTATGATATCTATTTCTGTTGAATTTCTCATTGAAATCATGAATTGTTTTTCTGATTTAACTGAATTGTCTATCTTTATTCTCTTATATGTCACTGAGTTTCTTTAAAATTATTATTTAGATTTTTTTCTGGGATTTTGTATAATTCCTTATGATTGGGGTCTTTTACTGGAGAATTATCATTCCTTGGGTGTTGTCATATTTCCTTGCTTTTTCATGTTTGATGTGTCCCTATGTTGATTTCTATGCATCTGGTAGAACAGTTGACTCTCCAAATTTTATGGAGTAGATTTCACAGGGAAATACTTGGGTCTTGGGGTATCAGTTGGGTGTGGTGCCTTTGCTTTGATGCTAGGTGGATGCAATAATGTAGTCTTCATGCAATTTCTTCAGCTGTAACCCATGCTGGTGATGTTTGCAAGTGTCTCTGTGGCCTAAGGTGAGAGTTTGTGGCAGTGTTGGCATGGTTTTTCTGGGTATGGTCTCACCAGGCTGCTTCTCAGGTCAGGGTCTGCATGTGCAGACAAGTGGGTCAGCCAGTTTGGAGTCTGGCTCACTGGGGTTGGGGCCACAGTGCTGTTACTCTGGCCAGGGACATGGGCTCATGGCTGCTGGGCTGGGCTGGGAGGCACACCTGCCAGGGGCAGGCTCAGCAGGCTGTTTCTCAGGTCCAAGGCGCAGGTATGCAGCCGCTCAGCTGGCCTGGGGGTGTATCTGCCAGGAGCTGGCCTGAGCCAGCTGTCCCTGAGTGCTGGCAAATACACTGACCTGAAGGTGGGTCAGCTCCTCAGGGGTTTGGAAGCCTTTCCTGCTCAAGGGTGTGTCTGCCCTGTGTGGGACTGCCAGACTGTTTCTCTACCTGGAAGTGTGCATGGCAGGGGTTAGTTTTCCTGCTGTGCAGGACTCAAATCACAGCTGATCCTGAGCCCAGGCTCCAAGCAGTCAGGGTCATGACATTGTAGCCACCAGCCACCTGTGTGAGCTTGAGGGAATGAAGATGGAGTCCAAGGGCTGGACAGGTGCAGTGGCTTCTGGCCCCCAGAACAGGGTACACTCCAGAAGTGGCTCTGGCCTTAGGGTGGCATTAAGCTGTGGCAGCTTGGCTCATGGGTGGGTGGGAATGCTTACCTTGTTCTCCTAATCTGGAGCAAAG
The DNA here is from genome assembly GCF_000001405.40 of Homo sapiens. Taxonomy (NCBI): domain Eukaryota; kingdom Metazoa; phylum Chordata; class Mammalia; order Primates; family Hominidae; genus Homo; species Homo sapiens. The sequence goes on along the minus strand of NC_000015.10, from coordinate 42,758,912 downwards.
CAGCTGTGTGAATTTTTAGCAGCTCTCCAAACTAGGCTCCAGGCTCCAGGCTCGCTAGGACTGTTGGTTTCTCTTGTAGTAAGGATTGTAGGTGTTTGCAGTGGCAGTGAGGGCTGATGAGGCTGTTCTGCTTACCTTTTTCCCACAACAGGAAGTCCCTCCTGACTCCAGCCCAATCTGGGCTTGGGTAACGGGGTGGCAGAGGCTGGGTGCCTCCATGCTGCCTTCTTGGGCTTCTTTTTTTTTTTTTTTTTTTTTGAGATGGAATCTCACTTTGTCACCCAGGCTGGAGTGCAATGGTGCGATCTCGGCTCGCCACAACCTCTGCCTCATGGGTTCAAGTGATTCTCCTGCGGCAGCCTCCCAAGTAGCTGGGATTACAGGCATGTGCCACCATGCCTGGCTAATTTTGTATTTTTAGTAGAAACGGGGTTTCTGCATGTTGGTCAGGCTGGTCTTGAACTCCTGACCTCAGGTGATCTGCCTGCCTCGGCCTCCCAAAGTGCTGGGATTACAGGCGTGAGCCACCGCGCCCAGCCTATAATTTTCAACATTTCTATAAAGTATTATATAAAGCTGCTTTAGACAAAAAAGGTCTATGGTAGAATTTGAATGGCTAAAATTTAACTTCTTAATAGGCCAGGCTGTATTAGGTACCAATACATTATTCTATGTATATCTCTGCTCAATTATTTGTCTTTGTCAACAAACAAAAATGAGACATAGAAATTTCATATACCACATTCTTTTCATTTGGAAGAAAGGCTATTTGGAATGGATGTTGAATTTCGCAGTTTTTATTATCTTAGTAACATTACAATCCTTGAATGAGAGAAAAGTAAAAGGATAATCTGTAAGTTAAAATGCAAATGGTAGTTGGTTTGCAGCTCATTGTTTCTCACTAGTGGCTAGTTTGAAACATGGGGTGACTGAAAAATAGTGAGGCTGCTTTACCTGAACTATTAAATAAGACACTAATTTTGGTCAAACAGTACTAGGCACTAATAGAACTAAGAAACTATGAAAGAAATGGAAAATATTGAGATCCTTTTCTAATTCTTTAGAAGGATGTACATGGTACAATTACAGAACAGAAGAAAGGAAATGATTGATTAATGCCATAATGAAATGTTTGTGAATTATGGAAATTAAAGATATAAAAGATGCATATGGCTTACTGGCAGATTATTTATTTGGTCCATTTGTAGAGCGCCCCAAGTATGAGAACTGCTTTTATGTCTTTATAGTTTAAGGAAGCTCTTTGCAGCTACACTTAGAATTAGCTTTCTCTTCTCTATACTCAACTACTGATCCTAGGTTTTCTCCTTTTATTTTGTCAGATAATGTTATTGCAGACTCAGTTTCCCTGACTTTGAGAGTGTGTAGTACATGTCAGTAGGCTGTACTGTGCTGTGCACAACTTTCAAAATCCTGAAGTCCTATCTATGACTTCTTGGCTGTGTTTTTCCTCATTTGTGAATTTGTATTAGTAATAGTACTCTAACCGGGCACAGTGGCTCATACCTGTAATCCCAGCACTTTGGGAGGCCTAGTCAGGAAGATCTCTTGAGCCCAGGAGTTCAAGACCAGCCTGGGCAACATAGTGAGACCCTGTCTGTGCAAATTTTTTTTTTTTTTAATTAGCTGGTGTGGTGCTACATGCCTGTAGTCTCAGCTACTTGGGAGTCTGAGGTGGAGGGATTGCTTGAGCCCAGGAGTTAGAGGCTGCAGTGAGCTGTGATTGCACCACTGCACCTAGCCTGGGCGACAAAGCAAGACTCTGTCTCTAAAAATAATAATAATAATTAAAAAATGATAATAGTACCTGATTAAAATATAAAGAAGCTATGAAATGGGGTTTGTAAAAATGATCTGGGAAATATGAAATTTAAAGTACTATGGAAATATTATATGAGAGTAGTTTATGCACAGTTTATCATAATTGCTCAGAATCTTTTCAAGAAAAATTCTCCCATCTGGTGATTCATATATATTTTTATTGTTGTTGCTTTGGTGTTTTGTTTTTGTTTTTGTTTTTGTTTTTTTTGAGGTGGGGTATTGCTATGTTGCCCAGGCTGGTCTCAAACTCCTGGGCTCAAGCAATCTTCTGCCTCAGCCTCTTGAGTAGCTGGGATTACAGGTACAGGCCACCATGCTTGGGTCATATATATTTTCTATGTATAAAATTGCCACTCTTTTTTTTATACCATATGTATGTGCACATTTATATCCTGAATCTAAAATGAGTTAATCTCAGAACTGTAGAAATTAACCCTAGCTTCAATCTCAGAAGACCAATGGAGTTTTTTGTTTGTTTGTTTTGTTTTGAGACAGAGTGTCGCTCTGTTGCCCAGGCTCGAGTGCAGTGGCACGATCTTGGCTCACTGCAACCTCTGCCTCCCAGGTTCAAGCCATTCTCCTGCCTCAGCCTCCCAAGTAGCTGGTATTACAGGCACCCGCCATCACCCCCAGCTAATTTTTGTATTTTTAGTAGAGAGAGGGTTTCACCATGTTGGCCAGGCTGGTCTTGAACTCCTGACTTCAGATGATCCGCCCACCTCAGCCTCCCAAAGTGCTGGGATTACAGGCATGAGCCACCGTGCTTGGCCTGGAGTATTATTTTTATAGCACTGCTGTGTTCATTTTGACGAATGTACTTAGAATTACATGTAATAATTAGGTGACTGGTTTTTTTTGTTTTTGTTTTTCAGACAGGGTCCAGCAATCTGGCTCTGTCACACAGGCTGGAGTACAGTGGCATGATCTTGGCTCACTGCATCCTCCGCCTCCCAGGTTCAAGCAATTTTCCCACCTCAGCTTCCCGAGAAGCTGGGATTACAGGCGCCCACCACCATACCTGGCTAATTTTTTGTATTTTTAGTAGAGACAGGGTTTCACCATGTTGGCCAGTCTGGTCTCAAACTCCTGACCTCAGGAGATCAGCCTGCCTCGGCCCCCCAGAGCGCTGGGATTATAGGCAAGAGCCACCACACCTGGCCCGATTTTGAATATAGGTTATCATCTCCCTTGGTATTTGACATTTAATATAATTTCTTACACTTGCTTTTCTTATCATGGTCACTTTTGGGTGCATTTACTAAGAAGTAAATTTTGAAAAGTGAATTACTATAAATTTTAGATTTCAACATCACTTTCAAAATATACTAGAAAATTGCCATCTGTCTAAATATATTTTAGAATAATTAAAACAGAAATATGAGATAACTTCCTGAAGGAAAACAGTACCAATAGAACCTAATGCTTTTTCCCAAGGTCATTTTAGATTTGTGCTTATTCTAAGAGTTTAGCTCTAAACCCAAATTGCCTGTCTTGGATTAGCCTGAAAGATCCTCAGGACCGTGGTTGCATTTGGGAGCTATTCCAGGACATTAGTTAGGTGTTTTTTTTCCTGGGCTGGACTTAGGACAAGCTTTACATGTCAATGAGCTTTACAGATCCATGTCCAACTAATAGTATTCCTGACACAAAGTGAAATAGATCTGAACATCTTAGCTGACCCTGGAACCACATGGTTTCTTGGTGTCTTTGGACTAGAGATCGACTCTAAACTAAATCTCCTATGACTAATCCAAATTCATTTTGCATTGTATTCAGACCAATTTCTGTAGTTTTCCTAGAACTTAATGGGTCTCATTAAGTGATTTGAACTTACTTGATTTCTCAAAAAGACTGTTTTTCTTTATTAGTTTATATAGTTATTTTCAGCCTACTTACATGTCACTTTAGGTGACGTGAAAATAATAAAAACTTTAGGTATCTTAAGGAAGGACATTCTTATTAGATATTGAATCTTATTCATATAGAATTAAAATTACCTCAGTGGAAGGGGGGTAGATTTTCACTTCTCATAGGCTTGATTTTTTTTTTTTTTTTTTTTTTTCCTGAGATGGAGCTTCACTCTTATTGCCCAGGCTGGAGTACAATGGCACAATCTCGGCTCACCACAACCTCTGCCTCTCGGGTTCAAGCGATTCTCCTGCCTCAGCCTCCTGAGTATCTGGGATTACAGGCATGTGCCACCACGCCCAGTTTATTTTGTATTTTTAGTAGAGACGGGGTTTCACCATGTTGGCCAGGCTGGTCTCGAACTCCCGACCTCAGGTGGTCTGCCCACCTCGGCCTCCCAAAGTGCTGGGATTACAGGCGTGAGCCACCGCACCCAGCCCGCTTGATCTTTAAAAATTGGTCAGGTGTGGGCTGGGTGCGGTGGCTCACACCTGTAATCCCAGCACTTTGGGAGGCCGAGGTGGGTGGATCACCTAAGGTCGGGAGTTCAAGACCAACCTGACCAACATGGTGAAACCCCGTCTCTACTAAAAATACAGAAATTAGCTGGGCATAGTGGTGGGCACCTGTAATCCCAGATACTTGGGAGGCTGAGGCAGGGAGAATCACGTAAACCCAGGAGGCGGAGGTTGCGGTGAGCCAAGATTGCACCATTGCACTCCAGCCTGGGCGACAGAGCAAGACAACATCTCATAAAAAAATAAAATAAAATAAAATAAAAAATTGGCCAGGTATGGTGGCTTACACCTTTAATCCAAGCTCTTTGGGAGGCCAAGGCAGATGGATCACTTGAGCTCAGGAGTTCGAGACCAGCCTGGGCAACAGGTGACACCCCATCTCTACAAAAATGCAAAAATTAGCCAGATGTGGTGGTGCATGCTGTAGTCCCAGCTACTCGGGAGGCTGAGGTGGGAGGATCACTTGAGCTTGGAAAGCAGAGGTTGCAGTAAGCCAAGATCACACCACTTACACTTCAGTCTGGGTGACACAGTAACCGTGTCTCAAAAAAAAAAAAAAAAAGAAAACATTAGAGAAATCATGAAACATTAGTAAATACCTTTGTATGTCTTTACTTGTAGGAAGATATAATCCTAGTATTTAATAGAATTTATGGAAAACAACAAAATGCATGCAAATTTGGAGTTTTTCAATGAACAATTATTTGCCAATAATTTTTTCCTGTAATCCTGTATCTGGATTCTGGCAGAAAATAGATGGCATACTCAAAGGGACTTGGAGAGAATTTAATGTAAGGAATTTTTTACAGATGTATGGGCAGAGTTAAGAGAGCCAGTGGGACCAGTAACAGAGGGAGCCATTCCTACCATGAGTCCTGAAAGGGGAGTAGAAGTGGGTGTTCGCAGAACTTGGCGAGGGTAGTAGCTGAGAGAGAGGCCATAAGAAGGGAGCTGTGGCCAGGATAGTGGAATGTAGCTGTCACTAGTGCCACAGTCCTCAGTGGGGAAGCAAGGAGAATCATTACCCAGCCCCCTCTTTCCTCTAACCCTCTGATTGCCTGTTGGTGCCATCCATTGAGCAGATCTAACCACAAATCAGAAAGCCAGGAAACCCAGGTGGTGCAGTCTATAGAAATTAGTCTTCCAGGGCATACAGCACACCAAAGAAGGGGCAGGGATAAACCTACAGGGAGAGACTGTTCTGCACAGTTTCTGAGTAGGGTAGCTTGAGTGTCAATCATTGTTATTCAGAATTGTTCATTTTTCTTATAAGTTGGGCAGACCTGGTCAACATCTGTGTTCTTCCTATAAATTAGAATTGGAGATGTTAAATCTCAAAGCATGCATCTTTGTTGATATTTTACATAATTGCATTTTAATTTTTTCTTCCCCTTCTCCAGATTACAATTCCTAGACCTTCTGTGGCATCTACACAGTCAACTTCAGGAAGCTTTCACTGTGGTCAGCAGCCAGAGAAGAAAGATCTTCAGCCCATGGAGCCCACTGTGGAACTTTACTCTCCAAGGGAAAACTTCTCTGGCTTGGTTGTGACAGAGGGTGAACCTCCTAGTGGAGGAAGCAGAACAGATTTGGGGCTTCAGATAGATCACATTGGTCATGACATGTTACCCAACATTAGAGAAAGTAACAAATCTCAAGACCTGGGACCAAAAGAACTTCCTGATCATAATAGACTGGTTGTGAGAGAATTTGAAAATCTCCCTGGGGAAACTGAAGAGAAAAGCATCCTTTTAGAGTCAGATAATGAAGATGAGAAGTTAAGTAGAGGGCAGCATTGTATTGAGATCTCCTCTCTCCCAGGAGATTTGGTAATTGTGGAAAAGGATCACTCAGCTACTACTGAACCTCTTGATGTGACAAAAACACAGACTTTTAGTGTGGTGCCAAATCAAGACAAAAATAATGAGATAATGAAGCTTCTGACAGTTGGAACTTCAGAAATTTCTTCCAGAGACATTGACCCACATGTTGAAGGTCAGATAGGCCAAGTGGCAGAAATGCAAAAAAATAAGATATCTAAGGATGATGACATCATGAGTGAAGACTTGCCAGGTCATCAAGGAGACCTCTCTACTTTTTTGCACCAAGAGGGCAAGAGAGAGAAAATCACCCCTAGAAATGGAGAACTATTTCATTGTGTTTCAGAGAATGAACATGGTGCCCCAACCCGGAAGGATATGGTTAGGTCATCCTTTGTAACTAGACACAGCCGAATCCCTGTTTTAGCACAAGAGATAGACTCAACTTTGGAATCATCCTCTCCAGTTTCTGCAAAAGAAAAGCTCCTCCAAAAGAAAGCCTATCAGCCAGACCTAGTCAAGCTTCTGGTGGAAAAAAGACAATTCAAGTCCTTCCTTGGCGACCTCTCAAGTGCCTCTGATAAATTGCTAGAGGAGAAACTAGCTACTGTTCCTGCTCCCTTTTGTGAGGAGGAAGTGCTCACTCCCTTTTCAAGACTGACAGTAGATTCTCACCTGAGTAGGTCAGCTGAAGATAGCTTTCTGTCACCCATCATCTCCCAGTCTAGAAAGAGCAAAATTCCAAGGCCAGTTTCATGGGTCAACACAGATCAGGTCAATAGCTCAACTTCGTCTCAGTTCTTTCCTCGGCCACCACCAGGAAAGCCACCCACGAGGCCTGGAGTAGAAGCCAGGTAATGCTGTGTGCTCTCCCTGTGTTAAGTGTGTAACACCATTTCTATATCTGCTTTATTGTAGTCCACCAATGGCAACATTTCTGTGTTGCCCCCTTCTCAGTATCTTTCTTTCCTGCCTTTCCCAGGCCTTACAGCCTAGTGCAGTAGAAGTAATCAGATTTTTTCCAATTTATTGCGGTAAAATACACATAACATAAAATTTAGCATCTTTTGTTTCGTTTGTTTTTGAGACAGAGTCTCGCTCTGTCACGCAGGCTGGAGTGGAGTGACTCAATCTCAGCTCACTGCAACCTCTGCATCCCGGGTTCAAGAGATTCTCTTCTGCCTCAGCTACCCAAGTAGCTAGGATTACAGGCACCTGCCACCACACCAGGTTATTTTATTTTATTTTTTTAAACTAGAGACAGGGTTTCGCTATGTTGGGCAGGCTGGTCTCAAACTCCTGGCCCCAAGTGATCCACCTGCCTTGGCCTCCCAAAGTGCTGGGATTACAGGCTTGAGCCACTGTGCCCAGCTGTATCTTAATCATTTTTAAGTGTACAGTTCAGTGGTAGTAAGTACATTCACATTGTTGTGTTACACTTAATATTCTAAAGTTATAACACTTTCATTTGGATTTATATCAGCTTAACTTCAATATCATGCAGAAACTGCTCCTTTCAGTCTCCATCCCCACTCCTTTCAGCTGTTGATGTTACAAAATTACATCTTTATACATTGTGTGTTCAAACACATAAACTAATAATTTTTAAAATGCATTAATCTCTTAAATTATGTAAAAAACAAAATGTGGAATTTTAACTGTCCATGTGTTTGCCTTTATTAAGATCTTTATTTATTCATATGGCTTCAAGTTCCTGTGTGGCGCCCTTTCATTTCAACCTACAGGACTCCCTTTAGCATTTCTTGCAAGACAGGTCTGGTGGTAACAAACTCCCTTAGCTTTTATCTGAGAATGTCTTAATTACTGCCTCATTTTTGAAGGACAGTTTTGCCAGATATAGGATTCTTAGTTGACATTTCTTTTAGTATTTTAAAAGAAGTACTTTAAAGTACTAAAGTACTTCCAGCCTCAATGTTTCTGATGAGAAGTGTTCTGATAATTTTTTTGAGAATCTCAAGATTCTCTGTCTTTGTCTTTTGACAGTTTAATTATAATGTGTCTCATTGTGGGTCTCTGAGTTCATCCTACTTCGAGTTTGTTGAGCTTCTGGGATGTTGTATATTCATGTCTCTTATGACTTTTGGGGAGTTTGCAGGCTTTTTTTCTTTTTTTTAAGTATTCTCTCTGCCTCTTTCTCTTTTCTCCTTCTGGAACTCCCACAATGTGCATGCAAGTCTGCTTGATGGCCCCACAGGCCCTTTATTGTCTGTTTACTTTTCTTTACTCCTTTTTTTTTCTGTACCTCAGACTCAATACTTTCCATTGTCCTGTCTTCAAGTTTGCTGATTTTTTCTTCTGCCTGCTCAAATCTGCTCTCGAATCCATCTAGTGAATTTTTTATTTTAGTGATTGTACTTTTTAGTTCCAAATTTTTTTTGGTTCTTGTTAGGTTTTCTGTCTCTTATTTATATTTCCATTTTGTTCATACATTGTTTTCTTGACTTTCTCCGTGTCTTTCTTTAGTTTTTCAAGCATCCTTAAGAGAGTTGTTTCAAAGTCTTTGTCTAGTAGCTTTGCTATCAGGTCTTTTTCAGGTACAATTTCTGTTGATACATTTTTTTCTCCTTGGAATGGACCATCCTTTCCTGTTTCTGTGTAAGTTTTTTTATTTTTTTTGTTGAAAATTGGATATTTGAATCTAATAATGTGGTAACTCTGAAAATAAGATTTTCCCCTTTCTTCGGGATTTGCTGTGGGTTGTTTTTGTTTCTTTTTATTTTTGAGACAGGATCTCACTCTGTCACCCAGGCTGGAGTGCAGTGGAATAATCATGACTTATTGCAGCCTCTAACTCCTGGGCTCAAGTGATCCTCCTGCCTCAGCCTCCTGAGTATCTGGAACTACAGGTGCATGCCAGCACACCTAGCTAATTTGTTTGTTTGTTTTTTTGATGGTTGTAGACTGTCTCTGTGCTGAGGACCAGCCTGAGATGTAAACCTAAGGTCTCAGACCTTTTCTAAGCCTGTACTTTTTCCTGACTAAGCATAGTAGCTTTCTGATTTCCCCAGTATATGTGGTTGGTTTTGAATATACAAGTCTTTAATATCTGGCTCCGAAGAAGGGAAAAAAGAAAAATGAGGGAAGAAGAAAAAAGAGGACTGGCCCTTTTAATCCCCTAGCAGTCACTTCAGCCAGAGGAGAACCAGTTTGTAACAATGGGGAAAAATGTAAGAGTTACTACCTACCTCTTTCTCTGCTCTTCTGTGATCAGAAGCAGCAATGAGTAATCAGAGCACAGATCCCCAGTAATTGGAGGACAGGGTTCTTTTTGCCCACCTGGTTCTTGTAAGCTGTGTGCACACTGCTCCAGAAATAAGTGCACAGCTGCCTGCCATGGGGCCGGGAATGGGGGATGGGTAGCTGTTAACTGTGCTAAGATCTGAAATAGACTAAAATTAACTGTAATTGACAGTCCAAGCCTTCTCCTGGAAGTTGCAAGCCTTTGGTAGACTCCAGATTTCCAAGATAATTACATCAGACAGATTCTGCCAGTGCAGTTGCCTAGGTGGGGAGACAGATTCCTAGTGCTTCCTACTCTACTGTCTTCCCAGAATCTTCTCTGATCCAGGTTAATTTTTGGCTCTCCCACTTTCTAGCAGTAAGAACCTCCATTTCCTCATCTACGGAGTGGGCAAAATATTTGCTTAATAGTTTTGGGAGAATGAAACAAAGCCACAATCATCTAGGAGTTGGTACATTGCTTAGCATGTAATAAAGATTATGTCTGTCTCCAGTTGCATTTTGATGATCAGCAATTTTCTAGCTTTGTTCAGTCAGAATCCCATTATGTCCCATAATGCCATTATGATGTCAAATGCTAGTGAAGAATACGTTGTCCATGATTTGATAAATGGACCCTGGTAACAGTGCTGTTTATCTTGATTATAATGAATTAAACCAAAAAAATCCTATAGATTTCCCTAGGTCTGATGGTATATACAACCATACATAGTAAAGATACTGCTTTAGTATATACTGCATGCTATACTTTTTATTTAAATATTATCTTGATATATTTGACCACAGAATGTTTATATTTTGAGGAAGAGGGGAAAATATTGGGAGGTGGTAAACCAGTGAAGAGTGCTTTCCAGGGCCAAATGTGGTGGCTCACACCTGTAATCCCAGCACTTTGGGAGGCTGAGGCAGGCAGATTGCTTGAGCTCAGGAGTTTGAGACCAGCCTGGGCAACATGGTGAAACCTCATCTCTACAAGAATTAGCCAGGCACGGGTGCTACACAGCTGTATTCCCAGCTACTTGGGAGGCTGAGGTGGGAGGATCCTTCTATGAGTTGTTGTCTGTCTTCATGTCAAAACATTCTATTGGGTTAGTTTTTTTTTTTTCTTTTGAGACGGAATCTTGCTCTGTCACCCAGGCAGGAGTGCAGTGGTGCGATCCCGGCTCACTGCAACCTCTGCCTCTCAAGTTCAAGCGATTCTCCTGTCTCAGTGTCCCGAATAGCTGGGATTACAGGCACCTGCCACCACACCCAGCTAATTTTTTGTATTTTAGTAGAGATGGGGTTTCGCCATGTTGGCCAGGCTGATCTCGAACTCCTGACCTCAAGCTATCCACCCACCTCAACCCCCCAAAGTGCTGGGATTACAGGTGTGAGCCACCGTGCCCTGGGTTATTTTCTGTAACTAACCCCCTTCTCTGCAAATTATATTGAAGATATTTTATCCTAGTCTGAATTTTAACTTGGGTTGTAGTGCCTTTGGTTTGATAGAAAAGTTTAGTGTTCATGGAACTGAACATTTTTTATTAATTGTGTTTTATATCATGCATAGGAAGGTCCTTCAACCCTAATATTTTTTAAAAGGTAGTAATTTCCAGTACCCTTATAGTTTTGTGCTTTGTGTATAAATTTACTATCGATCTAAAGTGTATCATTATATATGATGTGAAGTTTTTTTCCAAGTAGTTAGTGATATTGCAATACTCATTTCCCATAGAAACATGGGGATCTTTTTGGATTCAATGCTCTGTTCCATTCATTTGTCTGTTCCTTTGCTGTACACTTTCCATTACCATAGTTTTATTATTAGAGGGGCCCTAGGGTCCTTCTCACTACGTAATTTGGCATTGCCACTAAAATATATTGTAGACTGCTTTATAGCAGGCCCTCCCCACCCCAGGGCTGCACGGCAGGAGGCATTACCGCCTGAGCTCCGCCTCCTATCAGATCAGCAGTGGCATCAGATTCCCATAGGAGCGTGAACCCTGTTGTGAACTGCACATGGGAGAGATCTAGGTTGTACGCTCCTTATGAGAATCTAATTAATGCCTGATGATCTGGGGTGGAACACTTTCATCCTGAAACCATCCTTGCCCCTCCTCCCCCCATCGTGGAAAAATTGTCTTCCACGAAACTGCTCCTTGGTGCTAAAAAGGTTGGGGACCACTGCTTTGTAGTTTATAAAAACACTTTTATATGTTCCATTTTCTTTGATTCTTAGGCCAAACCAGAAAGACATTTAGGACAAAGAAGACATTTGCTATTCATATGAATACTCTAAGAATTCTGAGGCCCAAGGGCCGGGGCACTACGGTTCATGCTTGTAATCCCAGCACTTTGGGAGGCTGAGACAGGAGGATTGCTAGAGCTCAGGAGTTTGACACCAGCCTGGGCAATGTGGCAAAACCGTCTCTACACAAAATATAAAAATTAGCCAGGCATGCACTACAGGTGCACACCTGTCATCCCAGCTACTCAGGAGGCTGAGGTGGGAGGATTGCATGAGCCCAGGAGGTCGAGACTGCAGTGAGCTGTGATCATCCCACTGCACTTCAGCCTGAGTGACAGAGCAAGACCCTGTTTAAAAAAAAAAAAAAAAAAAATCTGAGGCCCAAGCTCAGTTGCCAGTATGGAGTGGGCAGTCAGTTCCAGCCTCCACCCTCCTTAATCCCAGACTATTGACAGGAATAGAAACTGAGGTCCACAGAAACCAATGACTACTCTTTTCTCTTGTAAATTATTAAATGAGTTGAATGTACATTTATCTGTAGTTCCTCCTGTTGCTGAGTGTAGTTCATGTTGAAGACTTAGGGGTGACAGATCCTTGGCAGAAAAAAGAAAATTAAAAAAAAAAACACTTACATTGTGGGATTTCGTGTTTGTAGGATTCCTGTCCTAACATCCTTACACAGTATGGTTTACTCTCTGTCTTATGTGCTAACATGCTAGAGACAATTTAACATGCTAGTTAAATTCATCTGAAAATTAGCAGAATAAACATGGCATAGGAGGAAGGGAACGAATACCATTTAAGGGCTTCTTCATGGCAGATGTTCATCTACGTACTTGGGTCACTGCCCTTGGTCTGTTCAGTGACCCTGTGAGATAGACAGTATTCCCATTGAAAGCAGGGAGAGATTGAAGAATTTGTCCAGGGTCATACAACTAGTATATGACAGAGTAACCCTGTATCCTGTTAGTCTATTTTCTGATTTCTACACATTCACATTATGATTTTGGGACATTGTGACTTTTTAGGCACACTTGAAATGAATTAAAATTAAAATATATTTTCTCTGTTCTTTTAAGGCTACGCAGATATAAAGTCCTAGGGAGTAGTAACTCCGACTCAGACCTTTTCTCCCGCCTGGCCCAAATTCTTCAAAATGGATCTCAGAAACCCCGGAGCACTACTCAGTGCAAGAGTCCAGGATCTCCTCACAATCCAAAAACACCACCCAAGAGTCCAGTTGTCCCTCGCAGGAGTCCCAGTGCCTCTCCTCGAAGCTCATCCTTGCCTCGCACGTCTAGTTCCTCACCATCTAGGGCTGGACGGCCCCACCATGACCAGAGGAGTTCGTCCCCACATCTGGGGAGAAGCAAGTCACCTCCCAGCCACTCAGGATCTTCCTCCTCCAGGAGGTCCTGCCAACAGGAGCATTGCAAACCCAGCAAGAATGGCCTGAAAGGATCCGGCAGCCTCCACCACCACTCAGCCAGCACTAAAACCCCCCAAGGGAAGAGTAAGCCAGCCAGTAAACTCAGCAGATAGGAGCCAGGCTGCATCTCTTTGAAAGGTGTGAGATCTTCCTCCTAAACCTGATGCATGTGTGTCCCTGTACTTTCTATGTAAAAAAATCAGTGTTGATCTTCTCTTGCAAAAGAAAGTAACATGATCAATTATTTATAAGAAGACATAATACATGATAAGGAATTACCTAAGGCAGGCAGCAAGTAGATTAGGAATCAATGTCTTTGTACAAGAAGGAAAAATAGAGCAAAAATCCAAGGGGGAGAAACTCATTAAAATGAGCTCTCATTTTTTAAGCTGCCTTTGAAACAAAAGAGTTGAGGATAGGAGATAGAATGGAATTTTAGGGGGGTTGCCTAATTTTTTTAAGCCTCAATTCAAAGATTATATAGCAAAAGTGAAACTTCTTGTTTGATATTTTCATTCAAAACTTTCCCACCCTGAAGAGTCATTGATCAGATATTAGATTATATAAGAAGTCTGTTGCCAGGGAGCCAGTATTCATGTATATTTGGCTTGTGTGTTTATTTCGTGTATTGAGAATGAACACCTTTACTTTGCCTCATTCCTAGTACCCTCCCTGGAGTTCAGATTTTTTTTTAAAATTTTGTATGTCTCGTCTGATTCAATCTCTCTGCTTTTATTTTATGGTCCTAGTTGTACTATCAAATCCAATTACTTTTTTTTAGGTCCCCCTGATTTTTTTTTTTTAGAGCAAGAGTTCTTAACATATTACATTTTTATTATGAAAAATAAGAAAGTTAGGTAAAGGAAAGAAAAGTCTAACTAGAGCTATTTTGCAGGCTTTAGTGTTTAGGGAGAGAAAGAAAGTGTGGGTTAATAGCCTTCAAGATAGAAGATGCCCTTTCATCTCTGTTAAGTGTCCTCCTTTAGAAACTTGAGTAGAAGGAAAACTGACCAGAGTAGACTGCTTCCTTAAGTCTTCTGGGTTCCAACTGTTTGTAATATCAGCATCCAAGATGATACGAGGGAAGCACAATGCTTTGGACTGTGATTTGAGATTTAGAAATAAATTAGATATATTATTGAGGCTTAGAATCCTCAAACTTTGTATTTTATACATTTAGCCAATAAGGAATTAATATCTGGGGAAATAAATTTAGGCAAATATTTCTTTTTTAATGTTTTATTACCTGCTTCTCCTGTGTTTTAGTTCAACATTTGGGCTTCTTGGCCTGATTTTCATACAATCTCAATTTACGAAGCTGTAAAGAGGAAGATATTTGTTCTAATCTCACTCTTCTAATAGGAATCAGGCAAATGAAAGTCTACCAGACTTTTAAAATGGGCTGTTTTTATACTCTCTAGGTGTTTTGTGTTGTAAAGACCTTATTAAGGTCAGGTAAATTGGTCTGCTTGCTGTTGAAATTTGCCTTCTAGCAAACATATGTGCTTTCTGTTTGACCTTGTGTTTGCTGCCAAACCTAATACAGTTGAATTGGGAAACAAAAAAAAAAGAAAGGAATACATTTCCTCCCCAAGTGAACATCTTCTAATGCTGCATCAAAGCTGCCCTGAAGCTGCACTGAACTTCTCTTGTTCTCTTTATCTGTGTTGAGCTTTTTAAAAAAACAAACTCAAAACACTATTGAGGCATATAACGTCTCTTATAAGAAATGTAGCATAGTGTGGAATCTTAATTTCTCTCCAGTTTCAAACACTCCAGAGGAATGCAATAGATAAGACATACTTGCTGTTTATCTAAAGCAACTGTAATATTGGAAGATCAGTCCTTCTGTATTATATTGTATAATAGTTGCTATAACACTACTTGCATGTCTTCATGGTAAATTATATAAATATTTATAAATATATAGAGAGACATATCCTTATATAGAGTCATTCTTTGTCATTCTCCATTTGTAATTTCGAGATCACAGATGGCGAAATTCCTTTTCTATTGTGTGCCTCATGTACACTTGGGCCTTGCCTATCTTCATTTTCTGAAACTATGTTCTTGGCATGTGACACCTCAGAGTCTTCTTGCCTTCCCTGTGTACAATGCAAGGGTGGGCAGTATTTAACAAGCCAAGATAGGTTATTTAATTTTCATTTCAAAAAGATTTTAATAGGGAAAAAATTACAGGGACATGCTTGTAATACTGGTTCAGAGATTTGTCATGTTAATCACATAGTTCTCTCCTTATAGTTAGAGTGGATAAACTGGGATGATGATGAGTCTGACAGATTTTTAAAACATTTCTTAAAAATTGCCATTCTACTTTCCTCTTTTCATCTCACTTTTTTTGCAGGGGGTCGGGGGAATAATGAAGAAATTGTCATATTTCTGTTGCATTAGCTAAATTGTGCTAAAAGTAGCTAGCTTTAAATCCTGACCCCTTTAGTCGGAAATATGCTAGTAGTAATCATTGGAAAAGCTGATGAAGCTACAACTGTGGTACGTGTGTGTGATTTTATTTCTTATTGGCATTTCTCTGCTGGCAGTTGGAACTGACAGTGATGGGAATGTGGCAACTGAATGTTTTCTCTCTTTCTTGGTTCCTTCCATTTTTATCTCAACTTTTCTAGTGTGTTGTCCCCTTTTCTAAATGGCATTGACAAACTCATCAAGATCCAGAGATAAACAGTCCATCGTTTAAGAATATTTTATTTTGCATGTAGAGGAAAGAATTAACCAAAGACGTTTCTGCTCTGATACTTTCTAAAGAAAACAGACTAATTATATATAAGTGGTATCAATAGGTCTGCTTATAAGTATTGTCCTATGTAGAGATTTACTTTTTGGTTTTTACAAGCATAGTTTGCGCTTTTAGATGTCTCTCAGGTGAAAAATAGAAGTTGGCAGCCCTGAGCAAGCACCTGTGACACAGGGATTTTTATTTTAGTTTTAAAGTATGATACAGAGAATGAGGTTTTTGGTTTGATTTGGTTTGGTTGTGTTTTTTAGTTCTTTATTTTTTATTTGGGGGTTCTCTTAGTGATGGCATATTTCAGGTTTCAGTGACATAGATCAAGTAATTTTAAACCAATTTGGTTATTCTATCTAAGATGAGGGACATGGCTATTAAGGTCAAGCCAAACTATACTAAAAGTAGTATAGGGCAGCAGTTAAAATTATCTTTTGAAAATCAAGTATTACCTGGTTTCTTCTGTCACAACAGAATAGCTGGTTACCTAGTCAGTCACAGTTGCCCTTGCCTTCCCTTGTTAGTCCCTGGAGGTACTTGAGTGGAACAGAAGGTAGAATTAGCAACAGCTCAATCACTTTAGGTAGCATTTCTCCTGAATTCTGCTGCCAAATCCTCAGGGTCTATGGATTGGTTGAAATAGTAAAATCACACATAGTGATTTCTTGCACAGCGTAGAGGCGTTTAATTTTAGTGTATAGTGAACAAAGAAGGAAAACTGGGTCATATAAAATTTAACCTTAAAACACAGATTATAAATATCTTTGAATGTTAAGCCCTAGGCAGACAGACACTCTCATTCTTAACTCTGGTATGCAAGCTGGCCTTGCTGACAGTGGCATAGTTACATTAACTGTTTTTTAAGTTGCATGTTGTGATGTGAATGTTTTTTGTAAAAGTTGCCAAGTTAATCGAGTCCTAAATAAGTAGCCAAATGGTAACTGAGACCCACTGTAGACATTACTCGCTTTATATTATTTGCTTTCAAATACTAAAACCTCAGCTGCTAATTCAGCGCTCTAGGTGTACAGTGTCTCCTTCCCTTGGCTCCTAGCAATGTAGGGAACTTGAGGTTCTTCAGTATCTTCAGAGATTCCTTCCAGGCCACATATTTTTATGCTAATACTTCTATAGTTGCATTCAATCTACAAGGAGAAAGTGTACATTGGTGCATGTTTTATAAACCCAGACACAGATAGCTAAAACCATAATTAGTTTTTCTATACCCAGAGCTTTGAATTAAAAACAGATGCTTTTTTTTTCCCCAAGAGCAGACAGTTCTACATTCCTAACATTAGGAATTGGTGATACGAGAAGCAGGATCCAGAATTCAGAATGATTTAGTGAGACTCGGTGAAAAAAATGCATTTTCCCCTGGCTGTTTGAAAATTTACTTATTTGCAGATAAGTCTAGATTTAGTCTTGGAGATCAAAGTCTTTTATATTTTAAAAACTTATTCTTTATATTGATCAAACATGGCATATGTTAGAGAACCACTTCTTCTGTCATGTTTATGTATTTTGGAATTAAGTTGTTTGCATTCACTTTCAAAATCTGCCCATTTCTGTTTATGTGCACTTACCACAGATGTGTCGGGACTTTGCCTCAGGGGAGAGGTACTTTAGCACCTGTGTCACTGAGGAGATGGAGTGGTTGACAAGTACTGTTGCGCTGTGTAACTTGGGGTTTGGCCCTGTGGACAATATATTAGCAGAATGATACCACACAAAAGTATTACAGGATTAAGGCATGTAACTTCTATGGTAGTCCTTATGTATCAGCGTATACCCAAGTTCAGAAACCACAGGTGCATTTTTAGACCTTTACTTAGAGAACTAAAGGCAGTTCCAACCATCAGCCCATATGGCGGGATTAATGCATGAAAACCCTCAGAGGGTGTTGGGACATCCTACTTCCCTGTCCTCACCCAGTGGAACTCTGGTGTGTGCCTTGAGGATAAGGAAGTAGAGTGGAAACTCATCCTATCATTGAGTATTCTCAATATTTTGGCCTTCCCTCTGGAATTATGAGAAATTTAACAAAGTCTCAGGAACCTTTAGAATCCATTGTCCAACACTGCTAGAAAAACTGTAGGAGGTACATGGAGAATTCCTATAGTTCTTAGGTAAGTGCAAGACATGGCACAGGGATCCCTATCCACATAAAGGGGAATCTGGATGCTGCACACCTCAATTCTGAGAAATCCCTGACTGAACTTGGAATTATGACAGTAAAGTTTTCGTCCTTTAGTTTTCTAGAGCAGCTCACAGAAATTTTAAAAAGTAAAACAAGGCCAGGCGCAGTGGCTCATGCCTGTAATCCCAGCTCTTTGGGAGGCTGAGGCGGGCAGATCACGAGGTGAGGAGATCGAGACCATCCTGGCTAACAGGGTGAAACCCCGTCTCTACTGAAAATACAAAAAATTAGCTGGGCATGGTGGCGGGCGCCTGTAGTCCCAGATGCTCAGGAGGCTGAGGCAGGAGAATCGCTTGAACCTGGGAGGCAGAAGATTACAGTAAGCCAAGATCGCCCCACTGCACTCCAGCCTGGGCGACAGAGTGAGACTCCGTCTCAAAAAAAAAAAAAAAAAAAAGTAAAACAAAAATAAAGTCTATGCCCATTAAGACGTCTTCTAATTCAGTTGTGATTGTCTGCTCCTACTTAAAAAAATATTTAAGCTTGATGTTTAATTATTCCCTTTCAGCAAATTTGGATCAGAAAATTAAAGTATGTGACAAGATCAGGTCACCTTGAATTTCCACACAATCTCAAGACACTGAATAGCAAAAAAGTAACATTACACAGTAATGATTAGGATATTTCCTTAGACTTTGCTGGATCTTTGGTCTTAAGGTAACATGTAAAAGTAGTGAAGCCTTTCCTTTCATGGCCCTGTGCAATGTAACGGTTTTCTGCCTCCTCTTCAGCTGGAAGCGTTAGTGGTAGTATGGGCACAGAATATATGTACACTGGCGATGCTGACCATGCCTCCCAGGTACCCTGGCTCTGGGTTCCTTGACCTAGGGAACAAGATTGGATGAGGCAGATCTTTGAGCCCATGTGACTATAGAATTTGCTGATGATATAATTTTACAATAACAATGGATAGGAATTTTACCTCTCTTTTTATTAGTTTAATATTATTTAATATTATGTACATAAGTGTTCACTCGCCTAATTAAAAACATTGAGTAAACCAAGTTTTTATATAGACTACCCTTGCCATATGATGCTCTTTTTCTCTAATAATATGCAGTTTAAATCCTGAGGAATCAATGCCCAGCATTTCACCACATCTGAACTCTGTGTGGGCATTCTTCACTCGCCTACAAGGGGTAAACAAGGCTACCAGAACTTGAATTTGACTTATAGGGAGCTACCCAGGAAGGGGAAAGCCCTTGGGACTTTTTCCAAAACAATCTTCTATTTGAACTGTTCATCAGCCAAAGTAGTCCACTGAGGTGACAAAGCTTTCAGAAATACAAAGATGGGAAGATAAAGGTAACACTGGCCCACTTGGGGCTTTGACATTGGATTGGGTGGACTGAATAAACACAGCCTAGGTGGCCTGGGCTTGAGCCTCACTTACTTCTCCTTGATACATAGTTCCTGGTCTACCTTCTGACCCTTTTTCTAAAATAGCCAGTGTCTATTTCACTAGGCCATTTACTTACAAGTTCCCAGCTTTTAGGGAAAAAAGAGGGAGGGGGGAGCATCTAGTTTTGAATTAGATATACATCTTAGAAGTAATGAGCTATTGGCAGCTGTTAAATCAGATTCAGCCACAAACCAGAATTCTTTCTTGTTGAACAAGACCAATGAGTTAGATGACTTTAATAATTCCACTTTTCTCTCCCTCTCTTCTCCTCTTCCTGAAATCAGAGAGATGAGAAACTACTCTTTGAAATACCTCCAGAGGCGTTTTATTGTGTTCCTTTCCCCTCCAAGCAGCTCCCTTTATACAATTTTGCTCAGGCAACCAAGGACAGAGTATCGGCAGAAACATGGAGTGCTTTTGTATAGGCCACCTGTACATAAAAGTGTAATTATTTATTTAATTTTCCCATTTGTATCATATTAAAGCTTTGTACAGTGTTTTAAGTTCTGTTTTAAAATTATTTTGTATTTTATTTTTATAACCTAGTAATAAAATATTCATTCCGCATGCAAAATCTAGTTCTGTTTGTGTGATGGTCTGGATTTCAAAAGTGGAAAATATTTTTCTAATTTAATAAAGTTATTGAATACACCAGATGTTACAAGATCAACGGGGAGCAGATAGTGTTACTGTAAATGCAGTACCACATCTAGAAGTTCCCTAGAAAAAGCAGCCCAGGACTGAATAGAAGCTAGGTGTTAAGTGTCCCTGCAGTTAGGAGATGTTTTCCTGTAATAAAATTAAAATATTAAAAGCTCCTTTTTAGTCCATTATTCTGTCTGGCTGGAGGTACTTTTTCCTTCTCCATAGGAAATACCCCTTCTGCCACTAGAGAGATTCCTGCACCCCCACCCTCATCCTTCCGCCCGTAACCTTCCTTTGAACCAGAGCAACTCTCAGGAGGCATTCACAAGGGCACTGCCTCACCCCTCCTGGTTTGGTTTGACATGGAATGTTCGTGCCATCTGTTTTTCTCCGCTTGGATTCCCTTGCTTGATTTGTCACTGAGCAGCAACCTTCAAAATCCTCTCTCAGGTTTTTTTGTTTTGTTTTGTTTTTGAGATGGAGTCTCGCTCTGTCACCCAGGCTGGAGTGCAGTGGCGTGATCTTGGATCACTGCAACCTCCGCCTCCCAGGTTCAAGCGATTCTCCTGCCTCAGCCTCCCCAGTAGCTAGGACTACAGGCGCGTGCCACCACGCCCAGTTAATTTTTGTATTTTTATTAGAGACACGGTTTCACCATGTTGGCCAGGATGGTCTCCATCTCTCGACCTCGTGATCCGCCCACCTCTGCCTCCCACTGCATTCCAGCCCCGGGGGTGACAGAGCGAGACTCCATCTCAAAATAAAATTAAATAAAGGAGATTAAGAAATTACTCAGGCCGGGCGTGGTGGCCCACGCCTATAATCCCAGCACTTTGGATCTGCTGCCCTCTCCCGGCCAAAACATTAGCTGGGCTATAGCCCTAGGGAGGCTGAGTCGGGAGGATTGCTTGAGCCCAGGAGGCCAAGGCTGCAGTGAGCCGTGCTCACGCCACTGCACTCCAGCCTGGGCAACAGAGCAAGACCCTGTCTCAAAAAAAACAAAACAAAAACAAAAAACACCAAACCCAAAAATACAAACCTCAAGCTCCCAGAAGCTAATCATGATATGCTTACTGACATCTAAACTGCAAAGTAGTTGAAATATTAACCTCATGTAAACCCACTTAAGTAAATAAAGCTACATACAAGCAATTCTGTGTGCAGGGTGGCCCGAGGCACTTTAAGGGTTGTGGCTTGGGGATTATTAAGAACCTCCTAGAAATAATTCTTTCCTAAATGGTCAGTTGATGGTGAGCGCTGAAAAGCCGATGGGTACTGCTCGGCCAAGGGATTGAAAAATCGGCCTTTGAGAAGAACAAAGTCAAAATGAAAGATTAGATTATAATTTCTCTGGGGTGGTGCCAGTTGGATCTAGGAAACTTAAACTCGTGAAAGAATGTGCTTAGAGCAGAAGATAGAAGCTGGTGGCTGTCTCTGCTCCCCTCTACCTCTCTCCCGGGTCCTGGGTCTCCCTAGAGGGGCGTCCGACCCGCGGCAGCCCCACTCCCAGCTCGAATCCCTCCCTTCAGGTCGCTCCAGGGCGGGCAGCCAAGGTGGGCCTCCCCAGGCGCTGTGATCCACATTTCACCTCCTAACAACCGGCCTCTCGGCCGGGGTTGAGGACTCAGCGAGGCCTTGACTCCGTGGGTCTGGGCAACAGCCGGCTCCGCCCCGCCCCGCCAGCCGGGTCCCTCCCCATCCCGCGACCCAACGGTCGTTCCCCGCCGCCGGCCCCGCCCCTCCCTGGCCGCCCGCGGCGCGCCGGCGCCTGCGCAGTCGCCCCAGAGCGCCCCGACCGGGATGGCGGCCGTTTTGGAGTCGCTGCTGCGAGAAGAGGTGTCGGTCGCAGCCGTCGTGCGGTGGATCGCGCGCAGCACCCAGGGTTCGGAGGTAACAGCGGTGACACGCCCCCAGGTCTGACTCGAAGCCGGTTCCCGCAGTGGAGTCCAGCCCTCCAGTCCCCTTCCTCTAGGGCGCCTGGCTGCCAGCCGGGCCGAGTGCACTCCAACTGGGCGCCGCTGCCCGGGCCGCCCACCCGAGGCGCGCCCTACGGCCCCGGCTGCTCACGGCCCGCGGGCCGGCGGCTGACCCTCTCGCCCCTCCACCTGTGCTTCTGCCCTAGGATAACGCTGGGGAGGCGGCCGCGCTGAGCTCACTCCGGGCCCTGCGGAAAGAATTCGTACCGTTCCTGTTGAACTTCCTGAGGGAGCAGAGCAGCCGCGTCCTCCCGCAGGGGCCCCCGACCCCCGCCAAGACCCCGGGCGCCTCGGCAGCCTTGCCAGGGAGGCCGGGAGGCCCGCCGCGGGGTAGCCGCGGGGCGCGCAGCCAGCTTTTCCCTCCGACCGAGGCCCAGAGCACCGCTGCCGAGGCCCCTCTGGCCCGCCGCGGGGGCAGGAGGCGGGGCCCGGGGCCGGCCCGCGAGCGTGGAGGCCGCGGCCTGGAGGAGGGGGTCAGCGGGGAGAGCCTGCCCGGAGCCGGGGGCCGGAGGCTTAGGGGCTCTGGCAGCCCCAGCCGCCCCAGCCTCACGCTGTCTGATCCGCCAAACCTCAGCAACCTGGAGGAGTTCCCTCCCGTAGGCTCGGTTCCCCCCGGCCCTACAGGGTGAGACTCAGCTCTCATGCAGGAGATGGGTACCACGAAGGCTCTGGGGAGTCAGTCATTCGAGCTCGGCGCTCCGCAGTGGAGCGCCAGGATGGGTAGAAGGCTGGGGGTGATGGTGAGGGTTTTTGTGGGGTTTTTTGGCAAGAGGTCTAGCTGTTGCGGTGGTGGAGGGGAGATGTTTGAAGATAGGAATTTGAGAAAAACCTGTGGCTACTCTCAGCAGGACGAAGCCTTCTCGCAGGATCAACCCAACTCCGGTGAGCGAAGAGCGGTCACTCTCCAAGCCCAAGACCTGCTTCACCTCACCCCCAATCAGCTGTGTCCCCAGTTCCCAACCCTCAGCCCTGGACACTAGCCCTTGGGGCCTTGGCCTTCCCCCAGGGTGCAGAAGTCTGCAAGAGGAGCGAGAGATGCTCAGGAAGGAGCGGTATGGCCTGGCCGCTCCTGGGGATATCGGTTTCCTCGCTGTGGGGGATCTTCAGGGGTTTTCCCTGAAATTGATTTCCCTCTTGGGGACTCTGGGTTTGTCTCCTGGGCTGTTGGTATCTTCTCTGGAGTGACCTGAGTGTGGCCGTAGCAGGGAAGCCAAGCTGACTGCTCATGAAATTTCTTTATTCCATAGCTCTAAGCAGCTGCAGCAGTCACCTACCCCCACCTGTCCCACCCCAGAATTGGGGTCGCCCCTCCCCAGCCGGACAGGAAGCCTCACAGATGAACCTGCAGACCCTGCCAGAGTGTCTTCCCGCCAGCGCCTGGAGCTTGTAGCCCTTGTTTACTCCTCGTGCATTGCTGGTGAGTGAGAGCGGAGGGAGCGGGAGTGGAGACACTTGTAGAACTTATGGGTAAGAGAATTGGTAAGGCACTTGGAACTGAGCCTTGGCTCCAAATGGTGCCCATACCATGGGCTTTCTTTTTGTATCTATCTAGAGAACCTGGTACCAAACCTCTTCTTGGAGCTTTTCTTCGTCTTTCAGCTCCTCACTGCCCGGAGGATGGTGACTGCCAAGGACAGCGACCCTGAACTAAGTCCAGCTGTCCTAGGTCAGTGAGCAAGCCTCCTTTTGAGACATGGGGTCTAGAAACGGGACCGTTCTTAACTGACAGCTTGGTACTGTCCTTCTAGATTCCCTGGAAAGTCCACTGTTCCAAAGCATCCACGATTGTGTCTTCTTTGCAGTGCAGGTTTTGGAGTGTCACTTTCAGTGAGTTTCCCTGGCTGAGGCATTTGGGCCTCATTCTCATCATCTGCTTAGCTCTCTGGCTGCTTGGGATATATGCTGGTGCTTAACACAGGGGCAGTGGTCCTGGACCTTCTCCTACCTATAATCTTTCTTTAATTTTGTGTTAAGGCTATGAATGTAGTCCCTGAAAGAATTGAGATCGGGCCAGGTGTGGTGGCTCACGCCTGCATTCCCACCACTTTGAGAGGCCGAGGCAGGACAGTGACTTAGGCCCAGGAGTTTTAGACCAGCCTGGGCAACATGACAAAATCCCATCTCCACCAAAAAAAAAAAAAAAAAAAGGCCGGGTGTGGGGGAGTGCGCCTATAATCCCAGCTACTTAGGAGGCTGAGGTGGAAGGATCTCCTGAGCCTGGGAGGTCCAGGCTGTAGTGAGATCACGCCACTGCAGCCTGGGTGACGCCCAGCCCAGCCTGGGTGACAGAGACCCCCATCTCAAAAAAAAAGAAAAAGAAATGGACCCCTGTGGTCTTGGCAGCTGAGCTTTGGTTTCTGGGTAATGTTCCTGTCCTGCTGTCTTGGTCCTTGCTCTGTAAAGTCTCATATCCTCCCCTTGACTTTCATTATCTTTGATCCTTGGCCCATGACCTTGCAGTACATATCTGGGCTTGCATACCTGCGCCATGCCTTAGAGATCCTCTGTGGTGTGCAGGTGCTTGCTTCCTACTTGCAGTCTGTGTTCTGGTCTCAGTCATAGGTGCTCTTGTCCCTGCAGGGTTCTTTCCAACCTGGACAAAGGGACCTTGAAGCTGCTGGCTGAGAATGAGCGGCTGCTGTGCTTCTCACCAGCTCTGCAAGGCCGCCTTCGAGCTGCCTATGAGGGCAGTGTTGCCAAGGTAGTAACCCCAGCTTAGTTGCCCACTAGCCTGGACCTAACCCTTCCTAGCTTTCATAAATTCAGGCAACCCTGCTGACGACACTTCAGTGTAATGTGAGCTAACTCTGGGCAAGAATAAGAGGGAGAAGTTTTCTCAGCATGACCCTGCAGTTCCTAACGTTCCTGCTGTATTTTAGGTCTCTCTGGTGATGCCTCCCTCTACTCAAGCTGTCTCCTTTCAGCCAGAGACTGACAATCGTGCCAACTTCTCCAGTGACCGAGCCTTTCATACTTTTAAGAAACAGAGGTGATAAGAAAAGGGACTTTTTGGGGAGGGAATGAGATGACATTTTTCTGGAATAGGCAGCTGTTTGGTTTCATAGAAATTAGGAGTTTGGCACCAACAGGTGGTGGGTTAGTCCCCCCAGGTCCTTCCTGCCGGCCATCATAGGGACCACCTGGCTTCATTCTCATGTGCATCTGTGAACCCCGGCGCTTAGCAAGCCATCTCACAGGTGTATGGTTTTAGTCTCAGGGTTCTCAAGCAAGAGTGTGCCAGGATGAACTGTCACTGCCCACAGAAGTACATGAAGCCTGTAATGTGCTGCTGGTCTGTAGCACTACTGTCATCATATAGAGAACTCTGGAGAAATTTAAAAATGGGGCTGCTGGCCGGGTGTGGTGGCTCACGCCTGTAATCCTAGCACTTCAGGAGGCCGAGGGGCGGATCACCTGAGGTCAGGAGTTTGAGACCAGCCGGGCCAACATGGTGAAACTCCGTCTCTACTAAAAATACAAAAATTAGCCAGGCGTGGTGGTGGGCACTTGTAATCCCAGCTACTCTGGAGGCTGAGGCAGGAGAATCGCTTGAACCCAGGCGGGGCGGAGGTTGCAGTGAGCTGAGATCGCGTCATTGCAATCCAGCCTGAGTGACAAGAGCAAGACTCCATCTCCAAAAAAAAAAAAGGTGGTGGGTGGGCTACGGATAGTTCTTCCAGGGGCAGGAAGGCACTGGTGGGAGTGAGTGCCTCGGCTGATCAGGCGTTCTTATGCGTCAGGGATGTGTTTTATGAGGTGCTGCGAGAGTGGGAAGATCACCATGAGGAGCCTGGCTGGGATTTTGAGAAGGGCTTGGGCAGCAGAATCAGGTGGGTGCTCAGACCTTGTCTTTCTTGTTCCTGGCAATGAGTAGCTCAGTGCTTGCTCGGTGGCAGGAGGGAGGAGGAGGGAAGGTTTTCCCCGCTCCTACCAGCCATTAGCTGTTTTCTACTATCCTCCGAAATCTCTTTAGTTATTGATAACTCTGCCTCTATTCGAAAGGGATGTGTCTCTCCAGCTCCTTCCACTCACAGGTGTCTTATCCTTGTTCTGTAGTGGCAATTGCTTAGAAAGTCCAAAGCTCTTAACTCAGGTTGCTTGAGGTTTTTTTGGCCCAAGTCACTGCTTAGACACATCCAGCCTCCATCTTCTCCATCCTCTAATTTGGGCAAGTCTGGTCACTGTGCAGGTAGATGCCTGGGCTCAGAACGCGAACCTCAGTCCAGTCATCTCCCTTCACATTGCTCATGAAACCCGCCGCCTGTTAGTGTGGCTGAAGACGGTCGGGGGGTGTGGTCGCATGATTTCTTGTTTGGTTAAGTGCACCTCTAGCCTCGGAGGACCTTGGTGCTGAGGGAGTGTCCCTTGCCTTCAGTGTCCCTTTGCAGGCTGGCTCTGGCTGAGGTCTGCTCAAGTCCCTGGTAAACGGCTGGGAAGTCCAGGGGTTGGCTGCTTCTCTCAGATCTTTCTCCCTCTCCCTCCTTTCCACACCCTTCATTCCTGCCTTCTATTCCTCAGGGCCATGATGGGTCAGCTCTCCGCAGCCTGCAGCCACAGCCACTTTGTTCGGCTTTTCCAAAAACAACTACTCCAGGTAACAGCCCCAGCAAGAGATTAATCCACATTAAACAGCAGGCATCACAGGCAGCCACTTAACGGCTGCACTTTGGGATAGGGCAGACAGCCTGGCAGGTCCTGGGCTGGAATTTGAACAAGAGTTCTACTCCTCGCGGAGTGGCTGAAACTCCAGTGGCCACAGAAAAGCCAGGGCACTCTCTTTGACACATCCCGGGCCCTGCAGCTCCTCTAGCCTGCTGCTGCCTTCCCTGATTTGTGCTGTGGTAAAGAGCCCAGGCTTAGTAAGTAGTCAAGCTTTGTTTCAGATCCTAGCTCTAGTGACCCTAGGCACATGCTTAACCTTGGAATTTAAGTTTCTTCACCTGTGAAACAATACTGTAATTCACATCTCAGAAAATCTATCTAAAGCACTTGACACAGTTGGCATTCCTTAAATGTTCATTACTTTCTCCTTATTTTTTGTTCAGTCCTTCCCTCCCACTTGCTGATTTTTTTAATTTCTCTCCTTCCTCTTCCACCCTAGATGTGTCAGAGCCCTGGTGGTGCTGGGGGCACCGTCTTGGGCGAGGCCCCAGATGTGTTGAGTATGCTGGGAGCTGACAAGCTGGGGCGGTTGTGGCGCCTACAGGAACGGCTTATGGCTCCTCAGAGCAGTGGGGGGCCCTGCCCACCCCCCACCTTCCCAGGCTGTCAAGGCTTCTTTAGGGACTTCATCCTTAGTGCCAGCAGGTAGGCTCCCCTGTGTCTTGCAAGGAATGGGGCAGAGGCCAGGAAAGGTTTGGCTTCCCAAAAGGGTAAATAGTTCTCCAGTCTCCTTTGCCTGGAGATAGGCTCCTTCCAGCTCCAACTTGCTGGCTTCATTGCACTTCTCATTCTGTCACCCACGTGGGTGATTTCATTGCTCCTGGGCCTCCCTGTCTGTCCTGCTGCTCCCTTCCCTCTGGAGTGCCCCTTCTCGATTCTGGCTTTTCCTGTACCTCTTCCAGTGCTTATGCCCCACCCACCCCTTCTTCTCAGCTTCCAGTTTAACCAGCATCTCATGGACAGTCTGAGCTTGAAGATCCAGGAGCTCAATGGTCTTGCCCTGCCCCAGCATGAGCCCAATGATGAAGACGGGGAGTCAGACGTAGACTGGCAGGTCCGAAAACAGAACAAGGGAAATAATGGGGTCTGACCCAGGAGGGAAGGGAGTATGTTCAAGAAAAACTTTATAACAGATCGGGAATTGTTCTGGAAGCCTCATGCTTGGACCTTTTACTTCCCTTGATTCCATGCAGGGTGAGCGGAAGCAATTTGCTGTGGTGCTTCTTAGCCTGAGACTTTTGGCTAAATTCCTGGGCTTTGTGGCTTTCCTGCCATACCGGGGGCCTGAACCTCCCCCGACCGGTGAGCTTCAGGACTCCATTCTGGCCCTCAGGAGCCAGGTGAATGGGCGGGGGATTCTGGTGAGGAGGGAGCAGGGAGGACCGGCCAGGCACTGAAGCTGACTGGTTTCCTTGGCTATTCTGGAAACCAGGCAGGTTAAAGGGCATCTCCCAGCCCTTCCTAGGGACCTGCCCCCTGACTGAGCTCTGGCCCTCCCAGGTCCCTCCGGTCCTGGATGTGCGGACTCTGCTGCAGCGAGGGCTGCAGGCCCGCCGGGCGGTGCTCACCGTGCCCTGGCTGGTGGAGTTTCTCTCCTTTGCTGACCATGTTGTTCCCTTGCTGGAATATTACCGGGACATCTTCACTCTCCTGCTGCGCCTGCACCGGTGAGTGGAACAAGGCTGAGGCTTGATGAAAGGATTCGGGACTCGGGACATTGGTCAAGCCTGCTATTAATAAAGAGGGTCGAGCAGTCTGCACTGTGCGTGTGGGGCCCTGGCCATAACTGAGCCCTGGGAGAGGCACGATTGGCTCCCCTGAGGTACAGTGGGAAATCATCTGCACTTTCATTGGCCTCATGCTGTTCCTGAGGTGGCCCCGCTGAGAGACAGTCCCCATGCAGGAGGCGGGGCTGGGGGGATCCTGCTTGCCAACATGGCCCCAGTCCCTTTTAGTTCTGCTTTTGCAAGCCAGTTTCCACTGATGGCGTTTGCCTCCATTCCCTTCCCCTTTCTGCTCAAACCCGTGTACTGCCCATTGATGTTTCAGGAGCTTGGTGTTGTCGCAGGAGAGTGAGGGGAAGATGTGTTTCCTGAACAAGCTGCTGCTACTTGCTGTCCTGGGCTGGCTTTTCCAGGTGGGCAGAGTGAGGGTCCAGATTGGAGAGAGGTTCTACAGCTGAAGATGGGGAGTGGGCAAATGTCTGAGTGCGAATGAGGCAAGGGCTGGAAGACGAAGGTTCAGGAAAGGCCTGGGGATTCCCATCATCTCAGAGGTGGCTGCTTTGAAGCTGGCGCCTACACCCTGGGACCGTGCAGGAGGTGGGGTGGGTTGGGTGGGGGTCTCTGAAGTTGACCTGAATTGTGACTGTCTTGCCAGATTCCCACAGTCCCTGAGGACTTGTTCTTTCTGGAAGAGGGTCCCTCATATGCCTTTGAGGTGGACACAGTAGCCCCAGAGCATGGCTTGGTGAGTGCTGGGGTTCCGCCAGAGCCATGGGAAACTCAGGAATAAAGGAAGTGGGCTGCCTGGGGAGGCCCAGCCAGGGGCAGATGTAACCCTTGTAAAGGCCCTGCCAACTGCCTGCTTTCTGGGTGCGCTGGGGGAGGGGCAGTCTGCTGACACCAACCTTTTCTCCCCAGGACAATGCGCCTGTGGTGGACCAGCAGCTGCTCTACACCTGCTGCCCCTACATCGGTGAGCACCGGTCTTCCCTGGACGGTCCTTGGTCTGTCCCTCCATGAGTACCCAAAAGGCACCCCCTTGGCCCAGCTCCCTTGGATATTGCTCCGTTCATAGTCATTCCTGGGTATCTGAGCCTCTTGACTCCACAAGTAAAGTCCATGATACTTAGGGAGGGGAGAGGGTTCTGGAACTGAGAACTTGGACTTCACTGATACAGGAGAGCTCCGGAAACTGCTCGCTTCGTGGGTGTCAGGCAGTAGTGGACGGAGTGGGGGCTTCATGAGGAAAATCACCCCCACCACTACCACCAGCCTGGGAGCCCAGCCTTCCCAGACCAGCCAGGGGCTGCAGGTAAGGGCAGGGCGGAGACAGCCGTGGGGAAAATGAGGGGGGGTTGGGGGCGGGGACAGGGAGGCTGGAGGAAGCCTTGCTGCCTCTCCCTCCTCCCCCCAGGCACAGCTCGCCCAGGCCTTTTTCCACAACCAGCCGCCCTCCTTGCGCCGGACCGTAGAGTTCGTGGCAGAAAGAATTGGATCAAACTGTGTCAAACATATCAAGTAAGAGTGGGTTAAGGATCCTGGTCTCATCGCCCTACCATTTTTTCCCCTTTTTCCTCAGTTGCTAAACTGAGAAGGTCAGCCAGAGGGTGGGTGTGGGGCTGAAATGGCTGACACATTTTGAAGCAAATTTCTGACCAAATTCCCATAAATTTTCAGCCTCTTTCCGATTAACCCTCCAACCATCCCCAACCTTGCTGTCCCTGCTGCAGGGCTACACTGGTGGCAGATCTGGTGCGCCAGGCAGAGTCACTTCTCCAAGAGCAGCTGGTGACACAGGGAGAGGAAGGGGGAGACCCAGCCCAGCTGTTGGAGATCTTGTGTTCCCAGCTGTGCCCTCACGGGGCCCAGGCATTGGCCCTGGGGCGGGAGTAAGCAGCGCTGGTCCATTTGATCCACTCTCCTCTTGGCTTTCTCTGTCCTTTCTTTCCTCCTTCACACTTACTCTTTTTTCCCTTTCTTCTCTTCATGCCTCCTTTTTTCTTCTCCCTGCGCCCATTCTCTATAAGCCCTGCACTGGCTGTAGGCCTTCTGTGGCACAAAAGCCAAACCTAGGTTTGGGAGCGTGTGTGATGCTGTGGGGCTGGCAGTTGGGCTTGTCTTTTCTCTGGCACCTGGGGTGGGGCGGGAGGGCAAACGGTGCCTCCTTCCAAGGTACAGCCTCCCAGGTCAGGGGCTTGGTGCACTCGGGGCATTTACTTCTGCAGCCAGGCTGAAATACCCAGAGATCACTGACCCCATCTGTCCCCTTTTAGGTTCTGTCAAAGGAAGAGCCCTGGGGCTGTGCGGGCGCTGCTTCCAGAGGAGACCCCGGCAGCCGTACGTGTGAGGGAGGCCTGCAGCTAGCAGGCCAGGCAGTTGTGGGGAGGTGCACGGAGTAGTCTGAGGCTGCGGGAGGGTGTGTGGGGGCGGGGTCAGTGCTCGACTCTGGCATCCTTTGTTGCACCCAGCCCTCCCCTAGCCCCTGACTCTGTAGTTCTGTTTCGCAGGTTCTGAGCAGTGCAGAGAACATTGCTGTGGGGCTTGCAACAGAGAAAGCCTGTGCTTGGCTGTCAGCCAACATCACAGGTAAGGTCCTGGATGGGGGAGTGGCTGAATCAAGTGTTTAAAAAGTGGACTGGCAGAGAGTCAGAGGCATCTTGTGGGCGATGGGACTGAGAGCCAGTAGGAAACAGCAAAAGGCATGGGTTAGCATGGTGAACCTGTGCAGGGCCCTCCCGTGATTCCTTTCCCATTCTCCCTCTGCCCCACAGCACTGATCAGGAGGGAGGTGAAAGCAGCAGTGAGTCGCACACTTCGAGCCCAGGGTCCTGAACCTGCTGCCCGGGGGGAGCGGAGGGGCTGCTCCCGCGCCTGTGAGCACCATGCTCCCCTCCCCTCCCACCTCATCTCCGAGATAAAAGTACACGGCTACCCTACTCCCTTTGGCTTCCCTGCTCCCACCCCCCTGCTCTGTTCCTGGTTTTTCCTTTCTCACATCAGCTCCAGGATTTTTATGTAGAAGCTGTCTGTGCTGTCCAGCTAGTCCCCGTTTCACTCATTACTGAATGGGGGTTAGGTAGGGCAGAGCTGAATTGAATGGTTTTCCTAATTGTCACTCTGACTTTTTAATCATCCAAAAGGGGAAAAGGGCAGCTAGGACATTTTTGACTAAATGCTTATTATGCAGATGGTGATGAGAGTGCGGTGGTGAATGGCTTGATAGCAAATGAGTCTCTAGGAGGCAGTCGCCCCAGTATTTGGAGACAATTTCAGAAATGTTCTATGTGGGAGGTGATGCTTGTTTAGTTACAGGCAGTAAGAATAAACCATCAGTTCTCCTAACTTTATTTTAAAACTCAAAGACTCTCTAGAGCAGGAGTCAAGAAACAGCCCATGGACTGAAGCGAGCCAGCCCCTTGTTTTGTGAGTGAAGTTTTAGTGGAATGCAGCCATATTAATTTGTGTACGAGCTGCCTATGGCTGCTTTTGTGCAACTACTGAACAGCAGAGTTGCATAGTTGGGACACAGACTTTATGGCCTGCAAAGCCTAAAATATTTACTGTCTGGTTCTGGTCTAGGGTAATGATCTAGGAATAGAGATTGGAATAGGGACTATAAGGTACAATGACTAAAAAATGGAGATTATGTAGGAGGGAGAGGAAGAGGCTTAGTGGCCATTTGATACTGGTTGTCAATATGCAGAGGATTTCTGTATTGAAAGCTCAGCTCTCCAGAGAAGATGAACAGAGAGGCTTGAGAGACAGACGATACTAAGACGGTATCTGATAGGCCGGTTTCCTTACATGCTTCAAGAATAAGATGCCCTATGGGAGTTGGTTAGCTACAGTTTGGTCCCAAGTTGAGTGACGTTTCCCATGCTATGGCAGCCTACTGTCCCTCAGCTGACCTCCATCTGTTCCCTCTTTTGTTGTCCACATGGTTGCTTCCCCTGGCTGTATTATCCTGCCCAAGTCCCAGGTCTAGGGGCAACTTGGCTTTACTCACCATATCCCGGGGCCCATTCTTCTGCCTCTCTCCACTGGCTGATCCCTGTCCCAAGCCAAATTCTCTGTGGCATCCTGGCCCCCAGCGCAAGGTGATATCTCCCCCTGCTCTTCACAGGACGTGCTCTCCTTGGCCGTGGGGCCACGGGACCCTGACGAGGGAGTCTCCCCAGAGCATCTGGAACAGCTCCTAGGCCAGCTGGGCCAGACGCTGCGGTGCCGCCAGGTGAGCTGTGGCATCTGCCACCGGGGGGCTTTTTTCTGTGTCCTTGTGTGAGACCTGATAACCAGAGCCACACTGGCTCAGGGCCAGTTCTCGCAGCAGTAAGCATGGTGATACCTATGGTCTCTCTTTCCCCCCCACCCCAACCGCAGTTCCTGTGCCCACCTGCTGAGCAGCATCTGGCAAAGTGCTCTGTGGAGTTAGCTTCCCTCCTCGGTATGGTTGCTTTCCATCAAATCCCTCTCTTGCCTGATCCCCCAAATCTCAGGGTTGGGTACAAGCAAGATTAGAAACAGAGCCCTCTTCTGTCCCTTTTTTTTTTTTTTTTTTTTTTTTTGAGACGGAATCTTGTTCTGTTGCCCAGGCTGGAGTGCAGTGGCACGATCTTAGCTAACTGCAACCTCTGCCTCCCGGGTTCAAGCAATTCTGCCTCGGCCAAGTAGCTGGGACTACAGGTGCCTTCCACCACGCCTGGCTAATTTTGGTATTTTTAATAGAGATGGGGTTTCACTATGTTGGCCAGACTGGTCTCGAACCCCTGATCTGCCCACCTCAGCCTCCCGAAGTGTTGGGATTATAGGTGTGAGTCACCGCACCCGGCCTGCCCCCATCTTTTAAAGCTTGGCTTTCCTCTTTCCACAGTTGCAGATCAAATTCCTATCCTAGGGCCCCCGGCACAGTACAGGCTGGAGAGAGGGCAGGCTCGAAGGCTTCTGCACATGCTGCTTTCCTTGTGGAAGGAAGACTTTCAGGGGCCGGTTCCGCTGCAGCTGCTGCTGAGCCCAAGAAATGTGGGGCTTCTGGCAGACACAAGGCCAAGGGAGGTGAGTCAGACGGAACAAGAAGCCCTCTGCAGTCACACTCTGAACATCCACCACCCTTGCCCCAAACTATGAGCTGCTCTGCATCCTTTATTTCCCCTTCCTGTTCCACACAGAAATGGGCTCCATTTATCCATCTCAAGTCTCTTCCCAGCAGCTCTGCCCTTTGAGATCTCAATCTCTGTCATCAGGGTCACTCTGTCGTCCTCCTAGCAACCCTGACCTCGGTGTGTTTTGCAGTGGGACTTGCTGCTATTCTTGCTACGGGAGCTGGTGGAGAAGGGTCTGATGGGACGGATGGAGATAGAGGCCTGCCTGGGCAGCCTCCACCAGGCCCAGTGGCCAGGGGTAAGGAGTCTCCTGTCTTTTAGGTGGAGAGAGAACAGGTGTTACATATCCCATCTGTCCTGAAAGGAAGCAAGTGATGGGGCCAAACTAAGTGGATTTTTGTCAAGAGTCTTCAGGGCCACCCTGAAATTGTCCCGATTTGAGTAGTTATTATATGAGGGACTGTGTTAGTGGGAAGACGGACGAAAGGCAGGCAGTTAGTTGGAAAGCAGCACAGCCCATTATATGGGTTTTTAAAATTAGAATAACCTGGATTTTAACGGGAATAATAATTTCAAGATGAAGTAGATGCACTCAGTAGTACTCAAAAACTGGTCAAGCCTGTGCCTCCATCAGAGTTCGCTCCCTGCCATAACTTCAGCCTCCCAGAGTACTAACAAACAGACAAGGTTTCATGTCCATTTCAGTGTGGAGGGCAGTTGAGAAAAAATAATATAGCCAGCCAGGTTGTGGTCTTTAGTGACAAAGGATGAGCCATTGAGAATTATTACATGCTGCCTTTTCCCTCATCTTTCTATGTATTCCAGGACTTTGCTGAAGAATTAGCAACACTGTCTAATCTGTTTCTAGCCGAGCCCCACCTGCCAGAACCCCAGCTAAGAGCCTGTGAGTTGGTGCAGCCAAACCGGGGCACTGTGCTGGCCCAGAGCTAGGGCTGAGAAGTGGCCCTGCCTTGGGCATTGCACCAGAACCCTGGACCCCCGCCTCACGAGGAGGCCCAAGTGCCCAATGCAGACCCTCACTGGTTGGGGTGTAGCTGGGTCTACAGTCAGACTTCCTGCTCTAAGGGTGTCACTGCCTGGCATCCCACCACGCGAATCCTAGAGGAAGGAGAGTTGGCCTGATTTGGGATTATGGCAGAAAAGTCCAGAGATGCCAGTCCTGGAGTAGAAGAGGTGGTGTTTGTTTATCTCTTGGATACTAAATGAAATGAGGTGTGTGGGCTTGTCAACACAGAATTCAAGCCTCATTTGCTATCCCAGCATCTC
The DNA here is from genome assembly GCF_000001405.40 of Homo sapiens. Lineage (NCBI taxonomy): Eukaryota > Metazoa > Chordata > Mammalia > Primates > Hominidae > Homo > Homo sapiens. Next base: position 42,724,154 of record NC_000015.10, on the reverse strand, counting down.
TTAAAACTTTGTAGTCTTGGAATTCATGACAGAGGCAAATGACTCCTGCTTAACTTATGAAGAAAGTTAAAACATGAATCTTGGGAGTCTACATTTTCTTATCACCAGGAGCTGGACTGCCATCTCCTTATAAATGCCTAACACAGGCCGGGTCTGGTGGCTCATGCCTGTAATCCCAGCACTTTGAGAGGCCTGAGGTCGGCGGACTGCCTGAGGTCAGGAATTCAAGACCAGCCTGGCCAACATGGCAAAACCCCATCTCTACTAAAAATAAAAAAATTATTAGCTGGGCATGGTGGTGTGTGCCTGTAATCCCAGCTACTCAGGAGGATGAGGCAGGAGACCTGCTTGAACCTGGAGGTGGAGGTTGCAGTGAGCCGAGGTCGCACCACTGCACTCCAGTCTGGGTAACAGAGCGAGACTTTCTAGAAAAAGCCTAACAAACAGATAAGGTAGGACTCAACCAACTGAAACCTGACTTTCCCCCTGTACCTTCAGCCCCTGTGCAGGTAGTAACCTCTTGAGACCTCTCCCTGACCAGGGACCAAGCACAGGGCATTTAGAGCTTTTTAGAATAAACTGGTTTTCTTTAACAAGGGCTTGATGTCTAATCATTGTCACCTGTCTTCTCCCTTTAGAAGGCTGCAGTCTCGGGTGGGCTGTAGGTGGAGCGCTGTAATTGTGGCTTTGCTCTGTGCATTACAAGGTGAGCTACCTTGGCTCTTAGAAATGCCTGTATATTCCACTCTAGAGGGCTAGTCTCTGGTGGCAATATCTATTAATTTAATTTATCGCCAGTGGTACTGACTTCTCCTGTGTAACTCGCTTTATTTGTGGGAGAAAGGGTTAGGATAATGTAGTTTCCACACACAAGATATTCCCTACTGAACCACATGGTGGGGCAGTGTTCTTGTTAAGCTTGTTAAGGCTAAGGTGTTTGTTTGATTGATTTGGCTTGGAGTTTCTCAGAGCAAAAGCATTGCTTCTCGATTACAGCTGTATCAAGCTCTATAAATGAGCCACTGATTTTGACAGGTTCACACCTGTAATCCCAGTGCTTTGGGAAGCCGAGAGAGAGGACTACTTGAGTCCAGGAGTTAGAGGTTACAGTGAACTATGATTGTGCCACTGCACTCCAGCCTGAGCAAGAGTGAGACCCCCATCTCTTTGAGGGGAAAAAAAAAAAGCACTACTGTGATCATGTGCATTAATAACCAGGAGTTGGACTGATAATATAATCCTCAGGAGGACCTAAAGGGGTCCACTTGTGTGACCATGGTAGAGCCAGGAAATCCCATCAACCTAGAAAGTAAAAAATGGGAGTTTTCCTCAGTCACCACCTTGTGATCATACTTCTCCCAAACACCATGCCTTTCCCTTCTCCTCAGCTCAGCTACTCCTTTAACAAGTTTCTATATCTGAACCATTTTCCCCTGATCTCTTCATTTTCAAAGGCCTTTATCTTTATCCTTTAAATCCAATTTGTTCTGAATGCCTGGGAACCAAAAAAGCTTTAAGGAATGCTTTCTCGGCCGGACACAGTGGCTCACACCTGTAATCCCAGCACTTTGGGAGGTCAAGGCGGGAGGATCACTTGTGCTCAGGAGTTTGAACCAGCCGGGGCAACATGGGGAAGCCTCATCTTTAAAAAATACAAAATTGGTGAGGAGTGGTGGTCCATGCCTGTGGTCATAGCTACTTGGGAGGCTGAGGTCAGAGGATCACTTGAGCCCAGGAGGTCAAGGCTACAGTGAGCCATGATCACACCACTGCAGTCCAGCCTGGGCTACAGAGCGATACCCTGTCTGTCTCAAAAAAAAAAAAAAAGCTTTCTATGCCCAGAGACCAGCACTGGGTGTGATTAAACCATAGCACCGCCCCCACCCAGGAAGCTTAGGGTCAGCGTCAGGCTTGTGGCTACTCCTTGACTTGTTCCAGAGGACCCAGCTGAGGTGTGTGACATGGAATGGGCAGGAGAGGAAAACCTGAAACCCCTAAGGATGCTGAGACTGAAGGGCTGGGCCATAACCCAGGCCTGGCTTAAGGCCCACTGAGTTAAAAACAAGTTCTTGGGAATCTGAATGGAAATTTAACATGTTCCCGATGAAGGAAACTTCCTGCTGGCCTGTGTGAGCCTTAAAGGCTACTCTAAGGATTATGGAGACAGGCAGCTAGTGGGTCAGTGAACTAGATTCTGTATGTCTGCTCTCTAATTGTCAAAGCCAGCTGTTTATAAAATGTGGTCCCCAGACCAGCAAACTTCAGGGTCCCCTGGGACTTCTTGTTAACACAAATTCTCTGGTCCTTCTCCGGGGCTACCAAACCAGTAACTTGGGGTAGGGCCCATCCTGGGGCATAAGAAAGCGTTCAGGTGATTCTGATGTATGCGAAAGTATGACAACCACGCCATGAATCCAAAATCTGACTCCACTTTTGCTTTTTGCTACAAGATCCCTCTCAATCTTTCGCTTGCTGATTCAGTCAGGTCTGGTGTTGCTTTTTTTTTTTTTTTTTTTTGAGACAGAGTCTCACTCTGTTGCCCAGGCTGGAGTGCAGTGACACAATCTCGGCTCGGCTCACTGAAACCTCCCCCTCCCAGGTTCAAGCAATTCTTGTGCCTCAGCCTCCCAAGTAGCTGGGATTACAGGCACATGCCACCACGCCTGGCTAATTTTTTGTATTTTTAGTAGAGACAGGTTTCACCATGTTGGCCAGGCTGGTCTCAAACTCCTGACCTCAGGTGATCCACCCGCCTCAGCCTCCCAACGTGCTGGGATGACAGGCATGAGCCACCATGCCCGGCTGGCTTCTCTATTAAGGCGGGCAGGGTCACCTCCTGGTTATCCCCTGACTCAGATTCCCATAGGTGGCTCTGCCTCAGAAGCCCCAGGGCACTGTGGTCACTGTTAGGTGTGGCAGTGACTGTTCTGGATTCTCCCCTTTAGTTCTTACTTGGGCTATAGTTGAGCAACTTACCTGGTTGCTGTTTACCCTGCAAAGCAATGCCAAGTTCATGGGAAACTGTACATACATGTAAACTGAATCTTTGAAACAGCTATGAGTGGGTATTGCCAGGGTGATCTCCAGCTAATCTGCCAAGCTCGAATCACACACTTAGGCTATCCCGGTGCAGGATTTCATCTACTCTTCACTAGATAAAGTACACAGAGGACTTTTAATTTTAAAATGTTCTTTTTTGGTCAGTAGTCTTAGTAAGAGATTTATATGAAAAGAGGTAGGAGTATATAAATAGGGTGTTAAATATATCATGTCACCAAAAAATTTACCCGAGAAATAGAAGTTTAAAAGCAATTTTAAAAAACCTTCAATCAACAATATATAAATAACTTAATCTGAGGTAAGAGGGAAAAATGCCCTGCAAACACTTTAGAAAAACACATCTCTGCCACACTACAGAAATAGACCTTTACCACATCTTCTGAATCCCCAGTTCCCTCCATCTACCAAAGATTTTGGGCACCAGAACTAAAGATGAGAATCTCTCCCACCCCTACCACTTCCAGGTAAACACAAAGTTCATGTTCAGCCAGGCTAAAGTACAAGAAAACTGAACCCACTCTCCATCCCACCCCATCCTAGGATAGGTGGGGCCAGGGCAGAAATCATGGAATGCTCAGGACTCCACCCCTCCCAAGTGCACTGAGGTAAGTTCTGGAACTGAGCTTCCTCCCAACAAGCCACTCACCTCCTCTGGGAGTTCATTCACCTCCTCTCCCTTCCTCAAAGGACAATGTTTAATCTCTGAAATTCCTCTTGCCTTGTCAGCAGCCACCATCTGGCTGCCACTCCAACCAGTCCTCAAAAGAACTCAGCCTCCAACCCTGACCCCAAATCTGTCCAACCTGGTTCTATAGTGTCTTCCATCTGACCGAGCTCTAGAGTGACAGCTCCATATCAGAGCATCATCGCTCAACACCCCTGCCTCAGGCCAAGACCCAAATGTCTTCTCCTGGGAGGGAAAGGGAGAAAAAAAGCAAAAATCAATAATAAAGTATTTTGCAAAAACTCAAGAGGGAGAAAAGATTCTGAATCGGTGTTCTGGTTTGTGCAGCTGTTTTTTAAACCCTCTTTCTGTTTTGGTATTTTTAACGTCCCATCACACAGTAGAGCTGAATGCTAGAGGAGGTAGATTCAGAACAGAGTCTTGGCCAGTGGCTGCCTGCTTCCCTACCAGCCTGCGGAAGCACCTTGCCAAAGCACTGCAGTCCCCGGCTCTGCTGGCTGTGCCCAGTCCTGGTCCTTAAGTGTCCTGTCTGCCGCAGAGTCCCAGAAACAGGAAAGAAAGGTGAGAAATCCAAAAGGTGAGCGGAGCTGCATTCACTCTGGATAGTCTGGGCCAGGAGCTCAGGCCGTTTGCTCTGCACTGGTGCCAGCTGTGACCAAGTACTGACTGGGCTTTGCTAGCATCCCTGGGCCAGTGCTGTCTGCCCCAATCGGCCACAGCAGGTAGCATCAGCTTTTCCTGCACTGTGGTATGGAAAGTAACAAGGAGCTGCCACAGTGTCTCTCTTGAGCAGCCTGGGCCTGCATCTCAGCAGCACCATCTTGACGGTGAGATGCTACCTACCAAGGAAGGAAGCCAGTCTGGCTATAACCAGTGGCTGCCGTTTGATGAAAGAGCTCAGGAGCTGAGGTGGGAAGCCTGGAGCACCAAGTTCCACCTGAAAGCAGAGAGAGAAGAATTTAAGGTGCAAATAGATTTGAGAGAATGCCAGGCGTACTCCAGTCCCATGGAGTCCCCTCAGCCTGTGGTGATGGGAGAAGCACCTCAGATTGTGGTTTGGTGTTTACAGGCCCCTGGGCTCTGCCATCCAGATCTAAGTATTGGCGTTCACCTCCTAGTGACAAAGTACAAGTCAAGGGACTGGGACGGGAGAGGTGAACCCAACAGGTCATCATTCCGCTCTGCTGAGGCTGCTGCTTTTGCCTCACAATGACTCATCTATCTCCTAAGGACACTGGGATCACCCACAGGATGCAGGTCACTAGGTTTTCGGTAACAGCAGCTTCAGAAAAGATTGATAAACTCCTGTCGCATTCCCTTCTCTCCAATTCCCCACTGACTCCCCTTACTGCAAAAGCCCAGGAAGCCCTCAAGTCTCCAGGTCTCAGGCCAAAGGGCCTGGGCACTGGAGGGTGTTCAAAAGCGAGACAGAAAAATCCCAGGGGGCTGTGGGACCAAGTCAGCCTGTGCTGTGAGGCCAGCTGCAAAGGATTTATCACCTGGGCCAAGTAGATGACTCTGGTGACTTCCTTCCCTTCCACAGTGATGGGCTGCAAGATCCAGGCACTGGGCAGGATCTCCCCGCGAACCATTTTTCTGCTGGGTCTTGGCATGGATGTATCATACACAGACTGGGCTGCCATGACAGACAGGTGACCCTGGGGACAGAGGGAAATGGGAGTCCTGCCTGTGTAGTGTGGACAAAACAGGAACAGGCTCCCGTGTAGACAGTATGGTGAAAGGCAACACTGGGCCAGCCTTCAAGCCACCCCTACCCTGGCTCCAGCCCCAATTTGCCCTCCTTCCCCTAGAGGACCTGAGGCCCACATAGATTGTTTCTCACGACACTTCAGCCCAAGTTCTTCCCACAACATCTTTACCACCAAGGCAGGCACCTCTTTGGCTTCCACGCAGACACAACAGAAATCCCGTGGCTGCTTCAGTGCGCACAGGGTGGTGTTGCACACCAAGTACACTGGAGGGACAGGGATAAGGAAGGTCAGGAGGCCCATGGACAGACCTAGTCCTAAAGCCTTCCTGGTCAGGGAGCCCTCCCCCCAACACCCCATCACTTGACACCTAGCTCAACCTAGGCTGAGCAATCAAGGTAACCTGAGTACCTGGCCTCCAAAGAGGGCTGCCTCCAACCCTCCACCTCTATCCCCCAGCAAGACCCCACTGGGCACACCAGAAACTAGGCCCCATGGAAGCCTTCCTTCCCTGGGCTCACCCAGGCTGATGCTGTTGGTCACTCGCTGATGCAGCCTTGCTGTCTGGATGGGCTTGTAATACAGGGGCCACACAGTGGGGTCACTGACAGCCGCCCACACACGAGACAGCGGCTGGGACACCACACCTGCCCCCAGGAAGCCATGCCGAGTGGGAGAAAACACCTTGTAGTAAAGCTGCACCGCCTGCTCCTCACCCTGATAGCTGGGGGGAGACACCAAGCACAGAAAATAGAAAGGGGTCAAAAATGGGCTCTAAGGGTCACAAAGGAGGGGCTCAGAGTGAAGACTTGAGGAATCCAGGTAAGGGAAAGGAGGAGAGAAGCCAAGCAGGGTGACAAGCTTACCAAGACAGACACTGTACAAAGGACCCTAAACAAACTTACTTCCAGCCAGCAGTTGCCTGGCAGCTGAAGAGGTTGTGCAAATTATCCGAACAAGCAGCCATTACCTGGGGACACAATGGCCACACCCAAATTAGGAGGCACAGTAAAAACTAAGCCCCTGGGTTAGTCAGTCTGGCCTGCATCTGCTAAATTCCCCTTTTCTTTTTTTTTGAGACAGGGTCTAGCTCTGTCACCCAGGCTGGAGTGGAGTGGCGTAATCACAGCTCACTGCAGCGTTAACCTCCTGGGCTTAAGCGATCCTCCCACCTCAGCCTCCCAGTCTCTAGGGCTACAGGTACACACCACCACACCCAGCTATCTTTTTTTATTTTTTTGGTAGAGACAGGGTCTCACCATGTTGCCCAGGCTGGTCTTGAACTCCTGGACTCAAGCAATCTTCCCACCTCAGCCTCCCAAAGTGCTGAGACTACAGGTGTGAGCTACCACGCCTGGCCTAATGTTTTTTATTTTTTTGTAGAGACAGGGTCTTGCTATGCTTCCCAGGCTGGTCTCGAACTCCTGACCTCAAGTGATCCTCCCACTTCAGCCTCCCAAAATGTTGGGATTATAGGCATGAGCTACTGCGCCTGACCCGAATTCCCCTTTTCTCAAGATGAAGAACCACTGAAGATGCCCACAAGCCTTGGGCTCCTCATCTGCCCAGCTTTTTTCCTACTTTCTCTTCCTGCACACCCAGCAGAGGTCTGGGTAAAGGAATGGTAGGGATGGGTGGGAGCAGTTACTCACATCAGCCATAGAAGTGTCCACGACATGCTTGGCCAAATCCTGGTAGGAGGAGGAAAAGCAGGTCCCCAAGCTGGACAGACTGGATGGTGAACAGCAGCAACTGCCCAGGGAGGCTCTGTGGCCTACAAGAAATAGGTGGAGGCCCTGTGATAGCACTGAACATCAGGGCCTCAGGACAGCAACAGCTCTCCCACAGACCAGTGACTCACTAAGATCTAGCAGCCATCAGCCCCCAAGTCCCCAAACCAGGCAGCTGGCTATGCCCAACACTCCCCGCAACTCACTGTAGGCAGAGTTCTTCCTCACTGCAGAATGGCCTCCTCGCTCATCCCCTATCCATACATCCCTGGAATCAGGCAAGTTTGTATGCCCCTGCAGAAGAGAGGATACTCAGGACAGAGCCAGAAGGCAAGCACAGAATTATCTCCTCTGCCTCTGAACTGCATCTCACAGCTTCCAGTGGGATGACTCAACTGCAAAGGTCTTCCCAGATGGGAATACAAGAGGCTCGATGTCCCCCAAAGAAGACCACAGCAATAGAAATAGGTATCTAGACGATCTCTGCTCCCCCTCTAAGCCACAGGCAGAGGCTGCTTACAGGAGAGTTCCAACAGGGATCAAAACAACCAGGGCCTGAGAGTATGGGGTGCTCTGCCAGCTTCCAAGCTAGGGGGTACCAGGGATCAGTGCATGAGAGGCTCTCTGCACCACCCGGGCAACAGGAATGAGGCCATGGCTAGAGGGGGTTTAACGGGGTAATAAATGTGGAAGATGGGATGGGAGGAAAAGTAATGGGCTATGAAAAGCTGAACGCTTGACCCCCACCCCAGGTGCAGCAGCCAAGCTAAAGGTCCTAACTGGGGATTAGATGGGGTTACCCTCTGGATCTGCAATGTGGTCACCACACCTCCACCGCAGCAAGCTCCTCAACAATAGGACCCTTGACCTCTGCTGGAACTCACAGGCACCCACCATCCTACCTCCATCATCACCTTTAACCTACTGCTACTCTGATCACAATAAAGGAGGAAACAAAGACAGTTCTCTATCCACCCTCATCTCCTTCTCACCTGCTGTCACAGACAGCAGGCCCTTCTGCCTCTGGCTTAGCTCTCACGCTGCCCTGTCAGAAGCCTTTCACTACTGATCACCAGTCTCTTCACTTGTTGCCCCCACCTCTTCCTCTTCACTGGATCTTTCCTATTAGCTACAACACTTGGCTAATTTTAAAAAAAAATTTGGGGGCCGGGCGGTGGCTCATGCCTGTAATCCCAACACTTTGGGAGGCCAAGGCGGTAGATCACCTGAGGTCAGGAGCTCCAGACCAGCCTGACCAACATGGTGAAACCCCATCTCTACTAACAATACAAAAAATTAGCCGGGCGTGGTGGCGGGCGCCTGTAATCCCAGCTACTTGAGAGAATCGCTTGAGCCCAGGACGCAGAGGTTGCAGTGAGCCGAGATTGTGCCACTGCACTCCGGCCTGGGCACAACAGAGAGAGACTCCATCTCAAAAAAAAAAAAAAAATTTGTAAAGACAGGATCTCACCCTGTTGCCCATGTTGGTCTTAGACTCCTGGGCTCAAGTGATCCTCCCCTCTGCGGCCTCCCAAAGTTTTGGGATTACAGGCGTGAGCCCCTGTGCCCGGCTTCTCTCATCTTTAAAACCCTCCTCTTCACTCTCCTGCCCTTCACAGATAAGCTTCTTGCAACCAGTCTCGCTGTTTGCCATCTCCCACTTCTCACTGACTTCTGAACCCACCCTAATCTAACATTTGCCCTCGTCACTCCTCCAAACAGCAGTCACCAAGGTCCACGGTGTCCGTGTGGCTGGATCATGTAAATAACTTCTGTCCTACATTTCCTGAGTCTCTCAGCAAGCTTTGACTTAGCCAGTCTCTCCCTTTCACTGACAGAATCACTTCCAGAGGCCCCGGCTTCTCATCTCTCTGAGTGGTTTTTTTTTTTTTGTTGATACATCCTCTTCAACTGTTGACATTTTGGGATTCTTTCAAAATTCAGGCCTAGGCCCTATTTTCTCACTCCATAATATATTCCTAAGTAACCTAATCTGTTCCCAGTGCTGTACAAAAATAAATATCCAAAAATTATTGGATACTGACTTCCAAAAATAAATATCCATAAATTAATCAATAAGTACTGCTGAGACAAATGGGCAGCCATCTGAAAAAAAAAAAGATTGCATCAGAGACCCATTTCACAGACATACCAAAATGGATCCTTTATGCTTTATGGATCAAAGATATACTGGGAGATGGAGGAGTATAAAAGTATTACAAGAAAATATAATTCAAAAGATAACTGTGCCTGTAGTACAGTTGCCTGGGAGGCTGGGCGGGAGAATCCCTTGAGTCCAGGAGTTTGAAACATGAGCCACTGTACCTGGCCTCAAAAATGGTTTAAGAAATTCTCAACAATTGAATCAAGGAAGAAATACAAACAGAAAATGCAAAATTATATTAAAAATGAAAATACATGTCACAAGCTATGGAAAATGGCTGAAGCAATGCTCAGAGGGAAATTTTTAGCTTTAAAAACATCCATGAAAAGAAATAAAAATAAATGAATTAATACTATGAACTATATGCCAACAAATTCAATAATGTAAATTACTGACTCAAAAGTTAAACTGACTCAAGGAGAAATAAAACATCTTAGTACAGGCCGGGCGGGATGGCTCACGCCTGTAATCCCAGCACTTTGGTAGGCCGAGGCGGGTGGATCACGAGGTCAGGAGATCGAGACCATCCTGGCTAACATGGTGAAACCCCTGTCTCCACTAAAAGAATACAAAAAAATTAGCCGGGCATGGTGGAGGGCGCCTGTAGTCCCAGCTACTCGGGAGGCTGAGGCAGGAGAATGGCGTGAACCCAGGAAGCGGAGCTTGCAGTGAGCTGAGATCGCACCACTGCCCTCCAGCCTGGGGGACAGAGCAAGACACCGTCTCAAAAAAAAAAAAAAAAAAAAAATCTTAGTGCATATTTTATTTACAAATTTAAGATACTAAATTAGTGATCAAAGAAAATTTCAAGATAGCTTCATTAGTAAAATCTACCAAACGTTTAAGGAATTAATACCAATCCTTCCCAGATTCTTCCAAAAATCAGGAGGGAACACTTGCCAACTCATTCTATAGGGCCAGAATTACCCTGACACAAAAACTGGGCAAAGACATCACAAGTAAACTATAGAGTAATATCCCTTATGAATACACACACACAAATCCTCAACAAAATACTAGTAAACTGAAATCTAGCAACACATAAAAGATCATATATCACGAGCAAGTAGGATTTATCACAGAAACACAGGGCTGGCTCGACATACAAAAATCAATGCAATACACTATATTAATAAAAGAAAAGACCCAGTAAGATTATCTCAGTAGACACCAGAAAAAAGTATTTGACTAAATCCAGTACCTTTTCATGATAAAAATATTCAAAAAACTAGGAATATAAGGGAATTTCCTCAACCTGATAAAGGTCAGCTATAAAACATGCACAGTTAACATCATACTTAATGGTGAAAGATGGATACCTTCCTCCTCAAATCAGGAGTAAGACAAGGACATCGGCTCTCACCACATCTAATAAACAGTGTACTGGAGATTCTAGCCAGCACAACTGGCAAGACAAAAACAAAAAAGGCAGATGACATGATCTTGCATATAGAATATCTTAAGGAATCTATTTTAAAAAACCATCAGAACTAATAAATGAATTCAGCAAGGGTATAGGAGACAAGAACGATATATAAAAATCAATTTTATTTCTGCATAATAGCAATGAAGAAACTGAAAATGAAGTGAAAACAATTCCATTTATAATACTGTCAACAGGAATAAAATACTTACGAATAAGTTTAATAAAATAAGCATAAAACTTATACTCTGAAAACTTCGAAACATTGTTGAAATTAAACCTAAATAAACACAATGACATCCCATATTCACAGAGCTAAAGACTTAATATTAAGATAGCAATGCTCCCCCAATTGATCTACCCATCAAAGTAATCCCAATGAAAATCCCAGCTGACTTCTTTGCAGAAATTGACAAGCTGATCCTAAAATTCATATGGAAATCTGAGAAACCCAGAATAGTCAAAGTAATCTTGAAAAAGAACAAAGTTGGAAGATGCCTACTTCCTGACTTCTAAAGGTACTACAAAACTACAGTAAAGAAGACAGTGTGAGGCTGGGTGCAACAGCTCACACCTGTCATCCTAGCACTTTGGGCGGCTGAGGTGGGAGGATCGCTTGAGGCCAGGAGTTTGAGACGAGCCCAGGCAAGATAGCGAGACCCTGTCACACACACACAAAAAGTGTGGTACTGGCATAAGGATAGATATGTAGATCAATGGAATAGAATTAGGAGTCCAGAAATAAAGCCATATGTCTATAGTCAACTGATCTTTGACAAGGGTGCCAAGACAATTCAATGGGGGAAATAATAATCTTTTAAACAAATGTTGTTGGGAGAACTGGATATCCATATGGAAAAGAATGAAATTCAACCCCTAGCTCTCACCATATGTAAGAATTAACTCAAAATGGGCCAAAGAATGCAATGTGGAAGCTAAAAGCATAAAACTCTTAGAAGAAAACATAGGCATAATCTTTGTGATCCTGGATTAGGCACTCGTTTCTTAGATATGAAACCAAAGCACAAGGAACAACAATAAAAAATAAACTGGACATCATCAAAATTAAACTTTTGGCTTCAAAGGGCACTATATCAAGACAGTGAACAGACACAAAGAATGGGAGGACATTTTCTGTGAATTATATATTTGCTAAGGGACTCTTAAAAAGACAAATAACCGAATCTTAAAATAGACAAAATATCCTGCTAGATATTTCTCCAAAGAAGACATATAAATGGGCAAAGGCACATTTATATATATATTATATATTATATATTATATATTATATATATATATATAATATATATATATATATAAAAAGATGCTCAACACCATTAGCCATCAGGGCAATGGAACTGAAGCCACATAAGGTACTACTTCCGATCCACTAGGACAGCTATAATCAAAAGTAGGTCATAGCAACTGTTGGTGAGGACGGAGAGAAACACACTGCTCATATACTGCTCGTGGGAAGGTAAAATAGGACAGCCACTGTGAAAAACAGTCTGGCAGTTCCTCTATGATCCTGCAACTCAACTCTAGATACATACCCAAGAGAAATGAAAACATATCCATACAAAAGCTTTACAGGGATGTTCATAGCAGCAATATTCATTAGTAGGCAAAAAGCACAAAACAACCTAAATGTCCATCAACTGAAGAATGGATAAATAAAATGTGGTTTATTCATATAATGGAGTATTACTCGGCCATAAAAACGAATGAAGCTCTCATATATTTTACAACATGAAGGACCCCTTGTTGTGGGTTAAATCACTGTCTCCACTGAAAATATGTTGAAGTATTTTCCCAGTATCTGTGAATTTGACCTAATTTGAAAATAAGGTCCCTGCAGATGTAACCAAGTTAATATAAGATAGTACTGGATTAGAGTGGTCCCTAAATCCAATGACTAATGTCCTTATAAGAAGGCTATGTGGAGCTGGGTGCAGTGGCTCACGCCTGTAATCCCAGCACTTTGGGAGGCTGAAGCGAGTGGATCACCTGAGGTCAGGAGTTGGAGACCAGCCTGGCCAACATGGTGAAACCCCGTCTCTACTAAAAATACAAAAAATTAGCGGGGCGTGGTGGCGGATGCCTGTAATCCCAGCTACCTGGGAGGCTGAGGCAGGAGAATTGCTTGAACCCAGGAGGCAGAGGTTGCAGTGAGCCGAGATCGTGCCACTGCACTCCAGCCTGGGTAACAGAGCAAGACTCTGTCTCCAAAAAAAAAAAAAAAAAGTTATGTGGTAGCTTACGATGGTAATTTCAGCACTTTGAGAGGCTGAGGCGGGAGGATCACTTGAGGTCAGGTGTTGCAGGTAAGAATGAGCTGTGATTGCACCACAGCAGTCCAGTCCAGGTGACAGAGACCCTGTCTCTTAAAAAAAAGTTAAATTAAAAAAAAAAAAGAAGGCTATGTGAAAACACGGGGACAAACAGACAGGGAGACAGACACACACACACAGAGAGAGAGAGAGAGAGAGAGAGCGCACAAGTGAGAGCAAGAATGTCATGTGAAGACAGAGATAGAAATGGGAGTGAATGCCAAGGATTGCTGGTAACCCATCAGAAGCCTGGAAAGAGGCTTGGAGCAGATCCTTCTCCCAGGAGCTTTCTGAGGGAGTATGGTGCTGCTAACACCAACATTTTGGACTTCTAGCCTACAGAACTATGAGAGCATAAATGTCTGTGGTTTGAAGCCACTCTGTGAGTGGTAATTTGTTACAGCAATTCTAAGAAACTAACACAATCCTGAAAACATTCCGCTAGGAGAAAGAAGCCATCAAAAAGGATCATATATTGTGTAATTCCATTTATATGAAATGTCCAGAATAGGCAAATCCATGGGGACAGAAAGTAGATTCGTGGTTGCCAAGGGCTGGGGAATGGTGAATTTAGGGAATAACTAGGGGGGTAATGAAAATGTCCTAAAATTGGTGATGGATACACAACTCTATGAATATACTAAAGCCAATGGATTATAACAATAAAAAAATCAATTAAAGAAGTGCTCAAGGGCCAGGCACGGTGGCTCACGTCCGTATTCCAACACTTTGGGAGGCTCAGGCGGGCAGATCCCTTGAGCCCAGGAGTTCAACACCAGCCTGGGCAACATGGTAAAACCCCATCTCTAGAAAACAAAAATACAAAAGTACCCGGGCATGGTGGTGCACACCTGTACTCCAGGTACTCAGGAGGCTGAGGTGGGAGGATCACCGGCGCCCAGGGAGGTCGAGGCTGCAGTGAGCCATGATTGTGTCACTGCACTCTAGCCTGGGCAACACGGCAAGACCCTGTCTCAAAAAAAAAAAAAAAAAAAAGACAGGGCATGTCAAAAGGACACAAGACCCAAGCTGAAAGAACTCCAAATAATTAAAGCTGGAACAAGTTGAACAATGAAATTAATAATGACAGTACTGTATTGAATTACGCCCCAAAGAATATGATTCCAAACTGAAAAAAATTAAATAGTTGAATAAATTAAGTGGCGGAAGAAGGGACTGCACTTTCTTAGAGAAAAGTTCCAATTAATAAATGTAGAATAAATGAGGGAAATACAAAATTCCCTAAAATATCACAGTAATAATTTTTACAGGTAAGATACACCAGTAGACACTAAAATCAGTGGATGAAAGTTTGAGGAAAAACAGGATTTTCCATCATCTCCAATATTTTTTTGGGGGGCTGCTGTGGGGCATGGAGTCTTGCTCTGTCACCCAGGCTGGAGTGCAGTGGCGCCATCTCAGCTCAATGCAAACCCCGCCTCCCGGGTTCAAACTATTCTCCTGTCTCAGCCTTCTGTGTAGCTGGGTCTACAGGCGTGTGCCACCATGCCTGGCTAATTTTTGTATTTTTAGTGGAGACGGGGTTTCACCATGCTGACCAGGCTGTTCCTGAACTCCTGACCTCGTGATCCGCCCGCCTCTGCCTCCCAAAGTGCTGGGATTACAGGCGTGAGCCACCTTGCCCAGCTAGTCTCCAAGATTTTTTGAGACAGGGTCTCCCTCTGTCCAAGGCCAATGATGTAATCATGGCTCACTGCAGCCTCCATTCCCCTCCAGGCTCAAGCGATCCTCCCACCTCAGCCTCCCAAGTAGCTGGGACCACAGGCATGCACCACCAACATAGCTTTTGTGTGTGTGTGTGTAGAGATGGCGTATCACTATGTTGCCTAGGCTGATCTCAAAATACTGGACTCAAGTGATCCTCCTGCCTCAGCTTTCCAAAGCACTGGGATTACAGGCGTCAGCCACCACATTCAGCCATGTTCATTAATCATAAAGGACAATATAGCAACATTCAGTGGAGAGACCCCCAACCACCACCTTAACATCAAAGTTCACATCACCAGAAACAGGACATGTCGGTATCCGGTAACCTCTGATACAATGCACCGAGAATAAGGTATTGCATGAGACATACTTATACTATAAAACTATTTGTTGTCTAAAATTTGAATTTAACTAGCATCCTGTATTTTTCTTTGCCTAATCTGTCAACCTTCAGAAGGGCAAATCACTTCTATGGTATTTTTTTTGCCAAAAACGCATAACTTCAATCCAACCATAAGAAAACCACAGACACGATCCTTTTGTAGTTCGTAAGCATGACGATCGGGTTTTCACATACATGTCTCAGAAGTGCCTCTCTCAAACCTTGTTACGTCAGCACATTACCTGTCTTACATGAAAAAAAAAAGAAAAAAAGCAAGAAACAGCAGATAAATACATTCCAAAAAATTACTAACCACGAAGCAAGAAAAGACTGAGAAACTATCACAATAGGAAAAAGAAACTGATAACAACATACACAGAAATGAATAAGTTAGAATCAAAAGGGGCTCCAGGAGAGATGAAATATCTAAACCAAAGGCTGGCAAAACTTTTTCTGTGGGGAGCTAGATACTGAATATTTAAGGCTTTGTGGGCCATTTGAGTAGCTGCAGCTACTCAACTCTCTGCCACTGTAGTGGGAACACAACCATAGAAGACATGTACATGAATGGGCATGACTGTATTCCGGTAAAACTTTATTTACAAAAACAGGAAGCAGGCCAGATCTGGCCAAAGGGCCATAGTTTGCTAACCCCTGATCTTAACAGACCATCTTCCATTGAAGAAGTTTTTCAAATAACTAATCCCCTACTGAAACACCAAGCCTTGTCAATTTAAAAGGATTATTATATCAAACTTTAAAAGATGATTCAAAAGAAATTTTTTTTTTTTGAAACAGGGTCTTGCTGTGTCACCCAGGCTGGAGTGCAGCAGCATGGTCACAGCTCACCACAGCCTCGACTTCCCAGGCTCAAGCAATCCTCCCACCACAGCCTCCTGAGTAGCTAGGACTACAGGTGTGCAGCACCACCCTGGCTTTTTTTTTTTTTTCTATGTTGCCCTGTCTGGACTCAAACTCCTGGGCTCAAGCAATCCTCCTGCCTCAGCCTCCCAAAGTGCTGAGATTACAGATGTGAGCCACCGTGTCTGGCTCTCAAATTTTTTTACTTTTCATCCCCATTTCACACTCCCATCCAAATCATTCTGATGTGCTTAGAGTGTATCTTTTTGTTTGTATGTGTTCTTGCAAAAAGTGATTGTTGTGTATGTTGTATTTATATACTGTATATGTTGTTTAATTCACAAATAGTAATATATCTCATCTTATGGGCGGATCATGAGGTCAGGAGTTCAAGACCAGCCTGGTCAACATAGTAAAAGTCCGTCTCCACTAAAAATACAAAAAAATAAGCTGGGCATGGTGGCAGGCACCTGTAGTCCCAGCTACTGGGGAGGCTGAGGCAGGAGAATTTCTTGAGCCCAGGAGTCGGAGGCTGGAGTGAGCCGAGATCGTGCCACTGCACTCCAGCCTTGGCGACACAGCAAGACTCTGTCTCAAAAAAAAAAAAAAAAAAAGTTTTTCACTCAGTATTCTGCCTAGGTGTTTAATCTGCTGATTTCGAGTCTTGCATAGTATTAATATTTCATGTGTGCAACTACCACATTTTACCTATCCACTCTTCTCAGTGATGGATTTGCGAATGTCCTCCAACTCATTGCCACTTCAAATAATGCCTTAATAAACAATTCCTTACATGTTCTCTCATAACCTATGCAAACATTGCTGAGTCATAGGAACCTGTAATGGTTCCAATATCCTCAAAGTCCTGCCAAAATCTGGCATCATCTGGCTTCCTAAATTTTGCCAACTTAATAAGTATAAAGTTTTTATTACTTTTTTAACTATTCATAAACCTTGAAAAAGAAAACTACCACCTTTCTTTCCTATTAAAGGAGTATAAAGTAATAACAAAACCTAAGGAATATATTGTGAAAGCAAAAACCACAGAAAAATTCAAATATGGATGCAAAATTCTAAAATATAACTGGACTCCAACACATTAAAAGAATAGTATATCAGAATCATAAATATATATTATAGGATTTATTCCAGGAATGCAAGAATAGTTCAATATTAGCCCCAAAATAGATAGATGGATGGATGAATGAATGAAATCATCTCCAAAGACTCTGAAATACCCATTCTGGATAAGAATATGCTATAAAGTAGGAATAGTTGGATATTTCCTTAGTATTGCAAAAATATATCTATCTCAGCTCAAAAGCTATAAAAAAGCCAGGTGTGGTGGCTCACGCCTGTAATCTCAGCATTTTGGGAGGCCGAGATGGGTGGATCACCTGAGGTCAGGGGTTCGAGACGAGCCTGGCCAGCATGGTGAAACCCAATCTCTACTAAAAATACAAAAATTAGCCAGGCATGGTGGCAGGCGCCTGTAATCCCAGCTCTTCGGGAGGCTGAGGCAGGAGAATCGCTTAAAGATTGAGGCGAAGGTTGCAGTGAGCCGAGATCATGCCACTGCACTCCAGCCTGGGCAACAGAGCAAGACACTGTCTCAAAAAAAAAAAAAAATTAAGATAGGTACATGTATTAGCAGCTACTAAATTAGTAGTGCAGGTCTAGAGAATCAACCAAAAAAATAGATGCAAAATTAATTCACAGAAATCTATAGCTTTAATACACACAAAATAATCAGAAGATATAAAGGAACGAAAAAACCTATTTACAAGAGTAACAAAAAACTTAAAATACTTAGAAATAAATCTGACAAGAAATGTGAGAGACATATGAAGAAAACTTTAAAAACATAAAAAGAAAGCTTGAACCTAGTACATTTTTGGTTAGAAAGTTCTATAGCATAAGACGTGGTTTCTCCCTAAGTCAATCCACATGATCCTATTAAAAATAGTAACAAGTTCTTGCAATTGAACTAGACAAGGTGATCCTAAATTTCATATAAAAAATAAACAACAGGACGGGTGCGGTGGCTCACGCCTGTAATCCCAGCACTTTGGGAGGCTGAGGTAGGCAGATCACTCGAGGTTAGGAGTTTGAGAAAAGCCTGGCCAACATGGTGAAACCCCATCTCTACTAAAAACACAAAAATTAGCCAGGCGTGGGGGCAGGCGCCTGTAATCCCAGCTACTCAGCAGGCTGAGACAAGAGAATCGCTTGAACCCAGGAGGTGGAGGTTGCAGTAAGCTGAGATCACGCCCCTGCACTCCAGCCCGAGTGAGAGAGTGAGACTCCATCTCAAAAAATAAAAAATAAACAAACAAACAACAGGCTGGGTGCAGTAGCTCATGCCTGTAATCCCAGCACTTTGTTCAGCTGAGGTGGGCAAATCACCTGAGGTCAAGAGTTTGAGACCAGCCTAGCCAACACTGAAAACCCCATCTCTATTAAAAATACAAGAAAAATTAGCCAGGCATGGAGGGTGATGCATGCCTGTAGTCCCAGGTACTCGGAGTGCTGAGCCAGGAAGAATCGCTTGAACCTGGGAGGCGGAGGTTGCAGTGAGTCAAGATGGCGCCACAGCACTCCAGTCTGAGTGACAGAGCAAGACTCCATCTCAAAAAAATAAACAAACAACAGATCAGTAACACAGAGGCACAACAAGATGGCAGAATAGGACCCGTCAGTGATAGTTCCCCACAGAAACATCAATTTGAACAACAATCCACAAAAGAAAATATCTTCGCTAGAGCTAGGAAAACCAGTTGATAGATAAAAGTACTAGATTTTACAAGGAGAAGAAGATGCATTAAAGATAATAGGAAGGACAGTCTCATATTATCTGTACCAACCCTTCCCCAACCCTAGGTAGTGATGAGAGACACCGCCCACATGGCAGAAGGAGAGGTTAGTGGACATGGGACTTTGCCTTAGAGCCCAGTACTAAGTCTGCCACAGTAATACACAGAACCAGAAAAAACCCCACAGCCTAATTCCAGGCCTGTGCCCACGGACAAAGATTGTGGACCCACACTAAGCACCAGAAAGGAATTCCCCACCCCATCAGGATGAATGGGATTCTCACATCACTGGGCCCCAAATAAATTTCAGCATGGTAGCAGCCTGGGCCTTGGGCATGACCCATTTCCACCCTGGTCCAAGAGGCCATAGGCTTCAGGTGTAGCCCTGCATAGCATCAGCTGTGGCAGCCACAGGACTGCCCACATCACCTTTCCCTCCAACTGTAGGCAACATGGTACAGAGAAAGACACCATCTACTTTAGGGAAGGAGACCGAATTATGCATGAAACTTTTCCTTGGAACCCAGTACCAAGCCCACAACAACAAAACCAGCACCTGGTTCAGGGCCCTGGCCAGCATTACCACACGAGGTGGGGAACTCTCCCTGGGTCTTACTCAGGTCCATCGGGGCCAGGGACATTGGAGTCTGTAACAGAGTCCCAGCTACATAGGCTTACAGTGCCCTCTAGCGCTAAGATGGCTACAGTGACCACAGGCTTAGGGAACTCAACAGTCAGGCTCCTTTGAATTCCTGGAAGGCTCTCTGAAAGACAGGTACAAACAAGGCCAGATTGCAAAAATTGGAATATATATCAATTTCTTCAATGCCCAGATATTGACACACATTGGAAAGCATCAAGAACATTAAGGGAACTATGACCTCACCAAACCAACTAAATAAGGTGCCAGTGATCCATCCTGAAGAGATTGAGAAGTATAATCTAAGACAGGGAATTCAAAATAGTTGTTTTGAGGTAGCCCAATAAACTTCAAGAAAACACAGAGAAATAATTCAGAAATCTATGAGAGAAACTTTACAAAGAGATTAAAATAATCTTGGCCAGGCGTGGTAGCTCATGCCTGTAATCCCAGCACTTTGGGAGGCCGAGGCAGGCAGATCACCTGAGGTCAGGAGTTCGAGACCAGCCTGACCAACATGGTAAAACCCCATCTCTACTAAAAATACAAAAAAAATTAGCCGGGCGCTGTGTCAGGTGCCTGTAATCCCAGCTACTCGGGAGGCTGAGGCAGGAGAATCGCTTGAACCCGGGAGGCGGAGGTTGCCGTGAGCCAAGATCACGCCACTGCACTCCAGCCTGGGCAACAAGAGTGAAACTCCATCTCAAAATAAATAAATAAGTAAATAATAATAATAATCTTTTAAAAATCAAACAGAAATCCTGGAGGTGAAATACACTGAACAAACAAAAATGCATTAAAATGCTGTCTTGACAGCAGAAATTATAAAGCAGAAGAATAAATCTGTGAGCTCAAAGACAGGATATTTGAAAATACAGAGGAGGAAAGAAAAAAAGAATGAAAAAGAACAAAAGAAAGCTTAAAGAATCTGTGTGATAGTGTCAAAAGAACAAATGTGGCCAGGCGCGGTGGCCCACGCCTGTAATCCTAGTATTTTGGGAGGCCGAGGTGGGTGGATCATGAGGTCAGGAGTTCAAGACCAGCGTGACCAACATGGTGAAACCCTGTCTCTACTAAAAATACAAAAAAAAAAAAAAAATCAGCCAGGCATGGTGGCTGGCGCCTATAATCTCAGCTACTTGGGAGGCTGAGGCAGGAGAATTGCTTGAACCCTGGAGGCGGAGGCTGCAGTGGGCAGGGATTGTGCCACTGCACTCCAGCCTGGGTGAACAGTGCAAGACTCCATCTAAAAAAAAAAAAAACAAACAAAACAAAAAAAACAAATGTACGAGTCACTGGCATTCAAGAGGGAGTGCAGAATGAGAACGGAGGGGAGTAGAAAGTTTATTCAAAGCAATAATAACAGGGAACTTTCCAAACCTAGAGAAAGATATAAATATTGAGGTATGGAAAGGTAAAAAGTTCCCAATTAAATTTAATGAAATAAGACTACTCCACGGCATATAATAATCAAATTCTCAAAGGTCAAGGACAAAGAAAAGGTCATTAAACCAGCAAGAGAAGAGAAGCAAATAGGCTAGGTGTGGTGGCTTATGCTTGTAATCCCAACACTTTAGGAGACTATGGTAGGAGGATTGCTTGAGGCCAGAAGTTCAAGACCAGCCTGGGCAACATAGTGAGACTCCCATTTCTACAAAACACTTAAATTAAACTGTAATTTTTAAAAAAGAAAACAAGCAAATAACAAGTAAAGGAGCTCCAATAGGTCTGGCAGCAGACTTCTCGGCAAAAACCTTACAGGCTAGGAGGGAGTGGGATGACAGTCAAAGTGCTGAAGGAAAAAAACATCAACCAAGAATACTTCATCCAGTAAAACTATCCTTCAGACATGAAGAAGAGAGGAAAGACTTTCCCAGACAAATGAAAATTGGGGAAATTCATCAACACCAGACCTGTCTTATATAACAACTGCTAAAGGCACTTCTTCAATCTGAAAGAAAAGGATGCTAATGTGTAACAAGCAAACATCTGAAGGTATAAAACTCACTGGTAAAACTAAGTACACAGACAAATTTAGAAAACTCTAATATTATAACTGTGATAGATAGACAACTCCTATCTTTGCTATGAAGAATAAAAGACAAAACTATTAAAAATAATAACAACAGGCCGGGCGCGGTGGCTCATGCCTGTAATCCCAATACTTTGGGAGGCCGAGGTGGGCAGATCATGAGGTCAGGAGTTGGAGACCAGCCTGGCCAACATAGCGAAACCCCGTCTCTACTAAAAATACAAAAATTAGCCAGGCATGGTGGTGCGCGCCTGTAATCCCAGCTGCTCAGGAGGCTGAGGCAGGAGAATCATTTGAACCCGGGAGGCAGAGGTTGCAGTGAACTGAGATTGTGCCACTGCACTCCAGCTTGGGCGACAGAGCAAGACTCTGACTAAAAAAACAAACAAACAAAAAATTTTAATCGTCTTTGTTCTATAACTGGGAAGATAAACTAGTAACTGACATTATCAGTGTGGAGTCTGCTGAAAGGGCTGGTTTCTGTTTAGCCCTTAGGGAAGAATGCCTAATATCTGTTAGCGAGGAAGGGGATATAAGCAGGTGTGTCCAACCTCCCATCAGGTCATGGTCATGCATTCAGCTTTTTTTTTTTTTTTTTTTTTTTTGAGTCAGAGTCTCACACTGTCACCTGCACTGGAGTGCAATGATGATCTCGGGTCACTGCAACCTCCACCCTCCCGGGTTCAAGCAATTCTCCTGCCTCAGCCTCCCAGGAAGCTAGGATTACAGGTGCATGCTGCCACGCCTGGCTAATTTTTTGTATTTTTAGTAGAGATGGGGTTTCACTATGTTGGCCAGGCTGGTCTCGAACTCCTGACTTTGTGATCAGCCTGCCTCAGCCTCCCAAAGTGCTGGGATTACAGGCGTGAGCCACCGTGCCTGGCCAGGGCATTTATTTCAACATCTTCTGTTGGTCATGCACTCAACTTTTAAGGTTTCTCTGGGGTCTCCCTGGCTGAGAGGAGGTCTGTTCAGTCAGTTGGAGGCTTAGAATTTTACTTTTATTTATCAATCAACATACAAAAATCAGTAGTGTTTCTATAGACCAAAAGCAAACTATCTGAAAAGGAAAGCAAGAACACAATCCCATTTACAATAGCTACAAAAAAATAAAGTCCCTAGGAATAAATTTAACCAAAGAGGTGAAAGATCTCTACAACGAAAACCGTAAAACACGGATGAAAGAAATTAAAGATGACATGAATCAGTGGAAATATATCCCATGTTCATGGATTGGAAGAATATTGTTAAAATGTCCATATCACCCAAAGCAATCTACAGATTCAATGCAAGCTCTATCAAAATACGAATAACATTCTTCATAGAAAAAATAATCCTAAAATTCATATGGACCCACAAAAGACCCCAAACAGCCAAAGAAATTCTGAGCAAAACAAAGCTGGAGGCATCACAGTACCTGACTTCAAAAAATACTACCAAGCTATAGTAATCAAAACAGCATGGTACTGGCATAAAAACTGACACACAGACTAAAGGAACAGAACAAAGAACACAGAAATCCACACATTCATAGCCAACTGATTTTTGACAAACACACTAAGAACACACAAGGGAGAAAGCACAATCTCTGTGATAAATGATGCTGAGAAAACTGGATATCCACATACAGAAGCAAGAAACTAGACCCCTATCTCTTACCATATACAAAAAGGATCAAAAACTTAAATCTTACACCAGAAAATATGAAACTACAAGAAGACAACATAGGAGAAATGCTTTATGACATTGGACTGGGAAAGGAATTTTTGGACAAGACCTCAAGAGCACAAGTAACAAAAGCAAAAATAGACAAATGAGGTTACATCGAACTAAAAAGATTCTGCACAGCTAAGGAAAAAAGAGTGAAGAGACACCCCACAGAATGGGAGAATGGATTTGCAAACTATGCATATGACAAAGGTTAATATCCAGAATACATAAGGAATTCAAATAATAGCAAAAAATCCCAAAGAATTCAACTTTAAAATGGGCAAAAACCTGATTTCACATTTCTCAAAAAAAGACATTCAAATGGCCAACAGGTATATGAAAAAAATGCTCAACATCACTAGTTTTTAGGGAAATCCAAATCAAAACTACAATGAAATATCACTTCGCTCCATCTAAATGACTATAATAAAAAGACAAAAAACAACAAATGCTGGTAAGGATGTCGACAAAGGGGAACTCTTATACACTGCTGGTAGAAATGTAAATTAATACCGCCATTATGGCAAACAGTATGAAGGTTTCTCAAAAAACTAAAGCAGAACTACCATATGATCCAGCAATTCCACCACTAGGTATATAGCCAGTGAAAATGAAATCAGTATGTCAAAGAGATATCTACACTCCCATATTTATTGCAGCACTACTCACAATAACCAAGAGATGAAATCAACCTAAATGTTTACAGATGAATGGGCAAAGAAAATGTGGCATATATACACAATGGAATACTATTCAGCCATAAAACAGAATAAAATTCTGTCATTTGTGGCAACATGGGTGAACCCAGGGACATTATACTAAGTGGAAGACACCAGGCATAGACAGCCAACCACCACGTGATCTTACTCATATGCGGAATCTAAAAAAGTTGATCTCACACGCCTGTAACCCCAACGCTTTGAGAGGCCGAGGCAGGTGGATCACCTGAGGTCGGGAGTTTGAGACCAGCCTAGCTAACATGGTGAAAACCCGTCTCTCCTAAAAATACAAAAATTAGTTGGGTGTGGTGGTGGGCGCTTGTAATTCTAGCTACTTGGGAAGCTGAGGCATGAGAATCGCTTGAACCCGGGAGACGGAGGTTGCAGTGAGCCAAGTTTGCACCATTGCACTCCAGCTTGGGCAACAGAGTGAGATTCTGCCTCAAAAATAAATAAATAATGAAAATAAAAAAGTTAGCCAGGCACGGTGGCTCACGTCTGTAATCCCAGCATTTTGGGAGGCCAAGGCGGGCAGATCACGAGGTCAGGAAATCGAGACCATCCTGGCTAACATGGTGAAACCCCATCTCTACTAAAAACACAAAAAATTAGCTGGGCGTGGTGGCGGGCACCTGTAGTCCCAGCTACTCAGGAGGCTGAGGCAGGAGAATGGCGTGAACCCGGGAGGCGGAGCTTGCAGTGAGCCGAGATTGAGCCACTGCACTCCAGCCTGGCGACAGAGCAAGACTCCATCTCAAAAAAAAAAAAAAAAAAAAGAAAAGAAAAAAGTTGATCTCATAGAAGAAGAAAGCAGAATAGTGGTTACCAGAGGCTGGGGAGGGGATCAGGAAGAGGGAATGGGGAGTGGATGGTCAACAGGTACAAAGTTAGAAAGGAAGAATAAGTTCTGGTGTTCTATTACACAATAGGGTGACTATAGCTAATAACAATATAATGTATATTTCAAGTTGGCTAGAAAGGGTTTTATGTTATCACCACAAAGAAATGATAAATGTTTAAAGTGATGGATGTGCTAATTGCCTGATTTGATCATTATGCAATGCATATGTGGATTGAAACATCACAGTGTACCTCATAAATATTTACATTATGTGTCAATTATAATAAAATAAGACAATTTTTTTTAATAAACAAGAAAGAATACTCTGGTAAACTCAGAAAGAGAAGAGCAATGAGGGTAGTGGTGGACTAACACTACCGCAGGGTAGAATCTATTCTAAGCCTTGGTATAAGGAAAGGGGACCCCTTAAACTGGTGAGGCAAAGATAAACTGTCTAACAAGCATTACAGGGACAACTAGATAGCCATCTGGAAAGAACACAATCGGATCCATACCTCATATGAAAATGACTCCAAAAGGAACAAAGATTTAAATATGAAAAATAAAACCACAGAAGTTCTAGAAGAAACCATGGAAGAAATTCTTTATAATTGTGGATTGAAGAATGTGTTTCTAGTTATTATTTATAACCTAGATACCATAAAAGGAAAACGGACAAATATATCTGCTTGCATGGCCTCAAACAAAATAAGCAAAGTCAAAAGAGAAGGAAGCACTGGGAAAAAAATATTTCTAGTTCGTATCAGTCAAACGGCTATTCTTACTAAAATATAAAGAACTCTCCAAATTGGTAAGAGAAAAAGAGAAAAGAGCAAAGGATATGAACAGATGGCTCATGAAAAACAAAATACAAATATTCAAGCATATGAGAAAAATGAGATACAATTTTCAACACAAAATCTAAACATTTGATAACATGTTGGTGAGAGTGTGGGAAAAGGTAAACTCTCAGCTATTATTGGTGGGAGTATAAATTAGCTCATCTGTGAGAGAAAATAGTACCTATCAAAAATTTAAATGTATATACTCTTTGTACAAGTGCCCTTCTGGGAATTTATCCCACAAATATATTTGCCTATGTACAAAATGATACATGAATAAAGTTATTCACTGTAGTATTGCTGATAACAGCAAAAGTCTGAAAGCAACCCAAGTTAGAATACTGGGTAAATGACGGTGCAACTCTACAATGGAATGCTATGCAGCAATGAACAAAATGAGAAAGTTCTCTGCATATTCAAATAGAGTTACAAATTATACTGAGTGAAAAAAATATATAAGGTATAGGACAGTGGCATAATATGCTTTATTTTGTATGCATAAAGACCCCTAGGAGGATACCTTCCAAGAAACAACACTGCTTTCCTTGGGTCGGGTGAGGGAGAGGAACTAGGTACACTGAGGGCGGGGATGGGTATTTCCCTGTATCCCTTTTACAGGTTGAGTACCCCTTCTCCAAAATGTGTGGGACCAGAAGTGTTTTGGATTGTGAATTTTTTCGGATTTTGGAGAATTTGCATATGCATAAGGAGATATGATGGGATAGGATCCATGTCAAAATACAAAATTTATGTTGGATATATACCTTATACACACGGCCTGAAGGTAATTTCATATAGTGTTTTAAATAATTTTGTGCATGAAACCAAGTTTTGACTGTGTTTCAACTCAATGTGTCACATGAGGTCAGGTGTAGAATTTTCCACTTCCGGTGTCACAGTGCTCAAAACGTTTTAGACTTTGGAGTATTTTGAATTTCTGATATTTGGATTAGGGATGCTCAACCTGTATGTGTATATATTTGTGCCCTTTCTACTATATGAATATATTATCTATATAAAACATCAAACTTAAAAACATGCAATAAAAGAGAAAAAAAGAAACACTATTCAGCTGTTAAAAAGAAGGCCAGGCATGGTAGCTAACACCTGTAATCCCAGCGTTTTAGGAGGCTGAGGTGGGAAGATAGCTTGAGCCCAGGAGTTTGAGACTAACCTGGGCAACATGGCAAAATCCTGGCTCTTAAAATAACTAATTAAAAGAAGTCAGCACTAGATTTACTGATATGCAATGATATCCCAAAGATATTTTTAAAAGAAAAAGCAAAGTGAGAAAGTGAGTACAGTATACTCCCATTCATCTGCTTTACAAAAAGATGTATATACATCATCCCTGGAAATATACAACAAACTGGGGTAAATGACTGCTTCTGGGGAAAGCAAATAGGAGACTCAAACATGTGCCTGACATTGTATGTCTTTTGCTACTGTTTAAACATTATTTTGTTAAATGACGTTGTATTTGTAAAATGAATTTCAAATATTCATCCCCAGCCAGATCTTACTTATGAGCTCTATATTTCCAACTGCTCTATCTGGATTTCTCACAGGCACCTTCAACTCAGTAAGTACAAACCTGAACTCATCATCTCCCACACAAAACCTGGTTCTCCCTCCAGTGTTCCTTGTCATTGTTCACATGACCGCCTTTCAGCTGCTCAAGTCAAGTGTGTGCTCTTCTCAACTCCCCGCTCTTCCTTCCTCTAACACCCAACCAGTCACCAAGTCCTGCAGATCTCTCTCTCCATTACATCCTCCTCTGTTCGTCTTCACTAGCAGTGCCCTGAAGCAAGCAATCATCTCTCTCAGCTCTGCCGTGGTCATCTAGGAGGTCTCCCACAGCTGCTCCTGCCTCCTTTTCTTACTATCCAGTCATTCTACTCCCCTACTTAAAAGTTTTCTATTACTTTCAGCAGCCTTTTCACTTTTGGGAAGTAACACAATGAGATGGATTAGAAAGGGGCCAGAACTCTCATTATAGTCCACATGATTTTCTAGTCCCTTCTCATGTCATTTTCCCATCTCGCTCTTTACATTCCAACCACACTAACCTTCATTGAGTTCCTCAAACTCTTCTTCCTCAAGGCCTCACTTGCTAGGCCCACATCTCTCCCAATAACAGCACCAATAAGCTTTTACTGCATTAACTACCTCTTATCCTTTTAGTCTCAGTTTAAACACATTCTGTTCGGAGTATCTCTATGACCTTCTAGACTAAGTCAGACCCCTGGTTTTATGCTGGTTTAGCAACCCGCCTTCAAACAATTTACTGCAACAATAACTAAACAATAAAATCAGTTGTTTAATATTTATCCCTCAAACAGTCTAAGGACAAGAACAGTTTTGCTCACCGCTGTATCCTAAAATAATACCCACAGAATAAACATTTGTTGAATGAATGAACAGAAGGAGCAGGGGGCAGAACTAAATGGAAAACCAAAGGCCTGCACATAAGAAGGGCTCATGTCAGCAGTGGCCTCCAGGAGGCACGGCGTCTTGCCCAAACTCCAGGAGGCACAGCGTCCTGCTCAAACTCTTGCCTTGGCAGTCCAGGCCCCTGGCTCATTCCCAACATCTGCCTACTCACCATATTCTCTGGGAACTGGAGCTGGCCTGACAAGGCTGGGCTGCTATTATAGCCAGAGGTCATGCCAGACGAGAGGCTTCCATTAGAGCTGGTGCACAGGGAGCTGGAATTGGCCAAGGTATGTAGTTTATCCTCTTCCTGGGAAGGACAAATCACCATTAACCAGCTTCTGATGCACCCTCACTTTCCCCAGGCCACGCCTTTTCCTACCCAAAGCCACCCCTTCCCTGCTCACCTCTACTGCTCCTTCACCCACCTCCCAGGGCCTCCCTGACTTAGCCTCACATGCCCTGGCTTCCTTAAAGCCACCACTGCTCGTATTTCCCCACACCCTGCACCTCACACCAAAGCCTCTTCCTCCCAGGCCGTGGCCTGGGGAAAGGAGCTGGTGTGATGATGTAAAAAGACAGTGAGCCCAGCTTTGAGTTGACAACAGGGGTCCCACAGCCTCCTCCAAATGTTACGTATGTCCCAAGACTCAGAGGCGGCCACGGTGAAGGTGTACCAGTCTGAGGTCCAGGCCTATCCTGAAATCAGAGGCATGCCCCACTCCACACCTTCAATAGCTGGGAAATGATCTTCTGGTGGATTCTCAGCTTCTCTTGTTCAGTCCGCTCCCGCAGTTGGTCTCGGGCCCGGGCAATCTCCACCTTGGCCTCCTCATGGGCCTGCTGGTAGTCTTGCAGCATCAACTCTATGTCAGAGGGTGTGTGAGCTGACCTTGACACTGACTCTGGGCTCCTGAGGAAGATCACGGGGTGGAAAGAACATGGTGGGTGGGTGACAGTCCTGGTCTGTCCATCCAAGGCTAGCTTGGGTGATACCACCTTCTTAAAAGACCCAACCTCCATTTGCCCACAGGGTTTTAAAGTATGATTTTTTAGCCTCAGGAGAGGTTGCTGGACAGAGAGAACCAAGCCACCTTGAGACCCAGGCCTGCAGACTTGCATAGCATGTCAGAGCCCTTCTGTCCATCATTTCCTGTGCCTTCTCTCTGCCCACCCCCTCCCTCATTCCATTCCCTTCTATGTCCTCTTTCCATTTACCCTGTCTCCTATAGAGAACCCTCCAGGATGCTAAAACTTCAGCTCCTGCTCCCCATACTCCCCTCCCCCAACAGAGCCTGCTCCCAGCAGGGTTCTCGGTCCACACTACCTGGTGGTCTCCACAACATCCTTCCTCAGTTGCTGCAGGTATTCTCGGCGTCTGCTGGGCAAGTCAAGATCCCAGATGAAGAGATCTTTGTTGGGCAGGAGGCTCAGTTGTTTCTGAGGGCTAAGGCTTCGCGTCCGGCAGAAGTTCCCAAGTCGCTCAGCCCGCTCTCTCCTGAGGGTCTCAATGGCCTTTTTTTGCCTGAGGCAAAACACGATTCGCTGAAGCTGGCCCTGAATGTCCTTCACTTTAAGATCTATCTCTGACCCCTGGAAGATCCCAGAGATGAACCAGGGCAGAGGAAACAGCAAGCTATTAGCTTTCTTGGGTTCTCTTTCCTCACAGCCCACCCCTTCCCCTCCCGACTCCAGGCTGGGGGTCCTTACCGTGCATAGAGCTCCTTCCAGGTGGATGTCACAGGTTCATCAGCAGCAAGCGCCTCCCCTGTCCCACTCTGCAGCACCTGGAGCAGGGCATCGGCCTCCCCAAAGCCATGGTGCAGTTTCGCTTCTGTGAGTTCCACGCTGAGTGAGAGGTTCTGGGCCCCAACTTGCAGGGGGATCTGCTCCCTCTTGGACCACTCAGAATCCTGGCTGTGGTCATTAGGAGGTTGTGGGGGACTCTGTTCCTGCTTTTCAGAGCTGAGATCACCGCTGGCCCCCAGCTCCTCCTCAGTCATGTCCAACCCCCCAGGTGAGCCCTTCTGAACCCCACACCAGTTACTAAATTTGTTATGCACCGGGAGGTCCCTCAGACTGTGGTGCTGGTGCTCAGGGGCCATGCACATCTGGCAACTGAAGCACAGTAACTCCTCAGGTTGGCAGGCCTGAGGGAGGCCCAAGGCAGAACCTCGGAGCCCTGCAGTATCAGTCAACTCAGAGACAGGGCAGGGGCTGAGGTGCTGGAGGCCTCCCCATGAAGAAGGTCGGTC
Source organism: Homo sapiens (assembly GCF_000001405.40). NCBI lineage: Eukaryota > Metazoa > Chordata > Mammalia > Primates > Hominidae > Homo > Homo sapiens. The sequence continues at coordinate 42,693,797 of NC_000015.10, read as the reverse complement.
CAGAGTGCGTTGTGGTTCCCCTGGAGATGCTGAACTCTCACCTCCATTTTCTGTCCTGCTCTGCCACTGACTTGGCTCCCTACCGCTCAGTGGGCAATGCTCCGGGGAAGCCACCTTCTCAGGCACAAAGCTGTTGCCCAGCCTTTGGCTCCTGTGCCTCAGTGGTGGTGGCAGCAGTCTGCTTTGGACCCCGATAGTTGTCCTGGGCTGAAGCTGCTGAGGGTGCTGCCCTAAGAAACTAAATTGGAGTTTTGGACTCTGCTGTGGGCTGTGTGGGGAGTGCAACTCAAGGAAGGATCTCCCATTACTCCTTTGTAAGGAACTTCTACCTCTCTGGGAGCCACCTAACTCGTCAGTGGTTTGGGAATAATTATCCATTGGAGTCCTTGGGGCATCAACAGGGTCTGGGCTGGAGTCAAGCTTCTGGTGGCCTTCAACAGGGTGAGTTGAAGGGGCTGAGAGGGTCAAAGAGCCTGGGGAAAGACCCGGCTCTTGGGTGCTGGCACTAAGAGTGAGGATTGGGGAGGAGGCCCTGTCCACGAACAAAGCACTTGTGGGGCCCAGCTTCTTCTGGACCCTGGAGTCCCCAGGATACTCGGAAGTACTGGGAAAGAGCCCTGGGGAATGAGGGGAGCTGGGACTGGGACTGCTGACAACTAAGCAATATGACTCCTCTGGCTGGGAGCTGGGAGGCAGGAAAGCATCAGAAACTGAGGGGCTCACAGAAGGAAGATGCTGCCCAACGGGGGCTTTCTGAAACCTCAAGTGGGATGAGGGTATTGAAGGGCTCTGGGGCTTGTAGGGAGTGCTTTCTTCCTGAAGATAGAGGAGCTGAGCCATTTTCTGTGCTGTTTCCTCTGCCTCTCTCTTCTGAGGTACCCCTGGCACATCTCCCTCTTCTTGAGACACAGTCGAGGTATCTGAGCCTAGCCCTTCAAGGATCACATTGGCTCCCTGAGGTTCAGCCTCTGAAGTCTGGAGGCACAGGGTGGGTAAGGTGAGGTCAGTCTGGCTGCCCTCATCCACAGTGGTCTGAGTAGAGCCATCCATCATCAGGGCCTGTGGGGCTTTATCTGGGATGTCCCTCTTGGTGTTCTGCTCCCTTCTGGCCACATCTGGCTGGGAGAGACTCCCAAGCAGCTCTGAGGTACTGTGCAGGAGCTGTGAGAGGTGGAGAGACAGATTGTGCATGCTGGTCCATGAGGCCAGATCAAAGGCTGATACTGCACTGGCTTCAGGCTGAGCAAAGGAGATGTCAGTGCTGCTCCAGTGGCGCCTGCTGCCGAGGGTCTGTGTGCCCTGTTCGAATGTGTTCGTCCTGGTCTGTCCCACAGGGCAGCCTGCCTCTGATGGATACAGCAGCATAATCTCATCCACTGGACCTGCAGCACTTCCTTTGGCCAAGGGGGGCTTACTCCTCAGACAGTCTGCTTCACCAGAAGGGCCCCTGAACTGAGGCCTTCTGTCATGACCCGAAGTGGGGGCTACTCCTTCAGGGCTCGTCGGGATGTGGGGGTCTCCTAAGGCAATTGAAGAACTCCCTCGGAATACTTCCCAGGCCTCATTTGAACCCTGGGCATTCTCAGTGCTGCTGTGTGTGGTTGACAGATCACAAATATTGGCGTAAGTGCTGAGGTGGGAGTGGAAAGGGGAGTTCTGGTCTTCTAGGCCATTGTCCATGCTGGAGCACCGGGCCACATTTGATAGTGTCAGCCCCTGGGGCTTCTGGCTGCAGGAAACATCGACTGCACTGCCAGACATATACTGCTTCCAGCTGATACGTGCAGGCTCCTCCGGACGCCACGGCAGCGCATAGGGACTGATGTCACTGGAGCCAAAGTGCAGCATTCCTTTGTCCATCTGAGAGCACCAATTTTCTGGCCTAACCTGGACACCCAGTTTCTCTCGCTTTCCCTGTTGGGCTTGTTCCAAAGTACCAGACATCCAGCTGGTCGTGAAATCAGGGGTTGGCATGTGTGAGAGAGTGGAAGGCATTGGATAAGGAGGGGTGGCAGGCTTCAGGTGCCTGTGATCGGTAGTCCCATCATCCAAGCGAGATGAGGCTTTCTGATTGCTGTCCTCAGCCTGCAGAGATGTTCTTGCCACTGACTTTCCTGAGGAATAGCCCCTGAGATGTGGGTTCCACAATCTGTTAGGCCCCTGTGTATCTTCGTCTGTAGGGGAAGGAGGCTCCACACTCAAGTTCAGCTCCTGAAGAGAACGAGAAGAGCCGACAACTGAGAACTGTGGTGTGGGGGAGGACCTGGAGTGTTTGGGGCCAGAGAAGATTGTAGTCACAGGAAGTGAGCCCCTGTGGTTGGGTGCTGGCTGCTCTCTGCCAGTGTAGAGGTGGCCACTCCTCTGAGCAGCAGGCTGCGGTGTTTCATTTTGCCTCAAGGACACAGTGGCTGGGTCTTTGAAGCCCTGTGATAAAATCTTGGACACAGGAGGCTTGGCCACAGCCACCTCCTCTCTCCCAGCATCTAAAATCTGACAGCCATCTAAGCCATCTTCATCAGGAAGGGGATTCACACCCTGGGCGAAGCCTTCTCCACCACCTGAAGCCTGGTCTCTGTGCTGCTCTTCTTCCTGCCAGGGACTGTCTTCCTGGGGGCTGCAGGTATGTTTTAACCTTGCTACAAACTTGGCTTGGGAATCCAAGCGATTGTGATCCCTCAACTCAGTGGAAAATTGTGGCTTTTCCAAAAAACATCTAGTGGTATTTTCTAAACATTCATGCTGTGGCTCTACCACCAACTTGCTCTCAGCAGACCCTTCACTTAAATCCAGGGTGTGTGGTCCCTGAGTTGTTGCAGGTGGTTCTGGATTGGTTTGACACACCTGTGCATTCTGGTCACCTACAGAGCTGTCCCTAAACTGCCTCAGGGGCTCAGAGTACATGCCTGCAGGGAAAGAGGCAGCCTCAAGTTCTGTGCTTGCTTGCTTCTCAGCAACCTTTTTCTCAGGAACCCCTATTAACCCCACGCTTCCATCAGTAGCTGAGTGGCTGAAGGAACCTGTCCTCACGTCAGGAGCAGAAGGGGATCTGCAGCCTTGAGCTCGAGATAGGACAGCAGCCACAGTAGAAGGCTCACAAGTGCTGCTCTCTGTTAGCCTAAATTCCCTGTTAACATCTTTGGGCTCAAGGCCATGTGTCAAGTGCACATCAGGTCCCCTAGAGATCTCTCCTGTCTCATCCATTTCATAGGCCCTGGAAGGTACTACACAGGGTGGGTGGATAGTATGTGGGGCAGCCTTGAAAGGCTCCTTCCCTAGGTCACCATCTCTAAAACACAGTAAAGTAGAGGAATGGGAGGAATAAGCATGAGTAGCAACAGGTTGAGAACTGCATGGCTGTCGGCAAGGAAGAGTTCTGCTCTCTTTCCCTCTAGACGGGCTGAGAGTCCTGCTGCCTTCAGGGTTCCTTGAGAAGACAGGGCCATCTAAAGCTTCCCTTGGGTGTCTACATGGGGCTTCCTCCCCAATTCCCCCAGGATTTGCGCTTGGTCTTTGATCTGGCAGTGGAATTGGCCTGGAATGTTTGCTGCCAGCCCTGCAGACTTCTGTCAACCCAGACCCAACACTCTCCTTACACTGCACACACTGCTGTGTGGGAGCTTCCAGTGCAACCCTTGTCAGAGCTCCAGGCAGAATGGTATCTTGTTTGGGACTTGCCCTACCTTCTTCAAAGCCAGTAGAAGCCTCAGGGCATTGGACATGGTCTTGCTTAGGCCCTGAGGCACTTGTAGAATTCTGAACATCACAGGTCACAGACTGACTTTCAAAATGGGCTGTTTTTTCTCCCTGTGCAGTCACTAACAAATTATCTGAAACTTCTCCATATGTGGTGTCTAGAGTTCTGGGTTCCTGATGCTCTGGGCTGCTGTCCTGACTGCCAGGGGGTATGCCCTCTGCAGTCTCCTGCGGAACTGACTGACTTAGCTCATGCAGAGTCACTCTAGGATCATCATAAGGGGCCTGAGAAGGTAAGGCAGCCACTACCTTCTTTGATACTACCCTCCTGACCTCCTCCACAGGTGCTGAAGAACGAGGACTGTCTGGGGCCAAAGGATCAGCTGAGGAAGGTGTTCTGGTTGCATCTTTCTTTTTCTCTATGATTTCAGAAGAACTAGAGTGACATATAAATGGTTCACTTGCTCCCGCGAACTGCCTCAGTTCTCCAGTACGACGTTTCCTGTCTTGAGCAGGAGCAGCATGGGAGAAAGCCTGCACAGGATCCCATGGCTCTCTGTCAGTTTCCGTATTGGGCAGAGATTCAAAGCTGTCTGCAGACAGAGATGTGGCCTGGACTTTCCTCTCATCAGGTAACAGATCTATCTGCCCTGCTTCAGCAGATAGAGATGCCACATGAAATCCCGGTGCTTCACCCTCATTCCTGGTCTGGTCTGATGATGACTGGTCTATTTGTTTACACTGAGGCCTGCCAGCAACCCTTGAAGAACATTCGGGTTCTAGTAAAGTTTCACAGTAAGAAAGGACTGTGCCCCTGGCCACAAAGTCATGAAGCTGCTTTCTCTGGGCCTTTGCCTGTCTGATCTCCTCCAAGATGGCCAGGCACATGGATGCATGGTCAGAGGGCTCCAACAGCCTAGGCTCTGGACTGGGCACCCTCGGCAGGGAAACAGGTGCTAAGGAAACACCGCTGGTCAGTCCGACGTCCTCAGTCTCCTTCTCTGCCTTCTGCCTTGGCTTGCTGGCTTGGTCACTATCCTCTTCCAAGGAGAAGCTGACCCTCTTTTCAGGCTGGCTAGAGACCTTGTTCAGTGAACTGACTCTTATTTCTTTTTGTACAGCCACCTCGGCTTCAGAAGCAAAATCTTCACTGGTACTGAAACCCAGCAAGGTGATTCTGAGGTCCTTTCCATGGTCTTGGGGGCTGGTGCTTGCTGAGATCCTGTCCTCTGTCCCCAGAGGAATGCTCTCTGGTACACCAGATTGACTATGAGATCCCATGGCCATGGATCGCACAGACCCACACCAGGCAGTGTGTGCCTCAGAGGAACGCCCTCTAACATTTCCTTCGGGGCTGTGGCTTCTGGTCTCCGTACTCTGGTCCTGATGCTCTACTCCAGTTACCAAGGGACTGTTATGAATTTTCAACATTGTGAGATCCAGCACACAGTCAAGTGAAGAGATGCCTAGAGCAACAGGTACATGAAGACACCTTCTTGGCCACCTTGGAGAATTCAAGGGCAAGGTATTACTCAGGTCTTGGTGAAGAGGAGCTGTACAGAATTCTGTCCGGCTTAGTAATGGGCTGACAGTTTCCTGCCTGAAAAACGTGTCCCTACAAAGCTGGCTGAGACTAGGAAATTTCTGAGTCACTTTATTTTCTTCCTGAAGGCTGCCTCCCCTTTGCATAGGCATTTCTTCAACTTTACCTTGAGCTTTTGGCTCTTCTTGGTTGGAACTACTTACGTGTTCAGCTACTTGGCTTTCCTGAAAACCTTTCACAGTCTCCAATTCCTCAAGACTTCCTAAGCCCCAAGGCTGCCCTTTGAGACTTGCTGATGCTTTTACAAACTGGCCATTATTCTTAGAAGACCTCTCTAGCCTGGGTTGCAATGGCAGAGCTCTAGCCAATGCTTTCATTCTCTGTGGGTGAAGAGAAGTGTTGGTGAACTCTCTGCAAGTTGTGTGTTTCCCTAAAGAATCACAAATATCCCTGGCAGGTCTGTCCGATCCAGCTGGGTGGGTGTGCTCTCTCACAGGTTCACTCTCTCGTACACCTTCCCTTGACCTGAAGGGGTTTGGGGTGATTTTCTGGACCTGGGGATGGTTCCCAATGCTGTTAACCTCCATCGCTCCAGCTTCACTATCCCTAAAGACAGTATCATCTGTCTGTCTTGGAGAAGATGGCTGATCCTTAGAGGGCAAAGGGTTTCCAGAGCTGTCTGGCCTAAAGGCATGGTCAGTCTTCTCCTGCTCCTTCTGGTCCTGGAACACCAACTCCTTATCGGTTCCTGGTGTGTGGGAAGCATGAACCTGCTTATTCTGCTTAGATTCAATTTCTAAGATGCCATTTTCCAGCTGCATTACACTCCTAATTAGCCTAGCCATTTCATCAGTATTATTAACTCTTTTATTCTGTTTCTTTCCAGAAGGTTCTCTGTTGGGATTTAACATTTCTTGTGACTTGCATTCACTGGGGTTTCTTTCCTGAGGGCATGCAACTAACTGGAACCTTTCATATGCAGGCTTTGTACCTGGAAGCTTAAACTCTTCTGAGCTATCTTTGGGACGAAGACCTTTTTCAAGAAGCCCAGTTTCATTTTTCCCTTCCCACTTAGGGGTTGGGCCACCACCCTGGGCCACCATCACTGGGCTGCTTACTCTACGATCTACTGATCTGGATTTCAAAGAAACAGCACTTTCCCCTGGCATGTCTTTCTCAAGGCTTACATTGATGGTCTGCCTCAGAACCGTATTCTGATCCAGCTCTTCTTCCTCTCGTGCCTCAGATTCACGAAAGAGGAGAGACTTCCCAGACTCAGTGCTGTCTGAGGAAGCACCGCAACAGGACTGAGCAGTGACCTCTCCTCCCTCAAGTGCTGGAAAACTGTGTTTTTTATTTAAAATTACAACTTGGTTTTCAAATTCACATACTTTTGTGCTGGTAGAGGGGAGAAAATGTCTGTTCTGAGTAACAGAAGAATAAACTGAATCATGGCTTTCTTCTGTAATATTTCCAGGGCATTTACCTGATTCTCTGATGACTTCCCTGGTATTCAGATCAACTGGTATCTCAGCTGTGACCTGCTGAGATGAGGCAATCTTAGAATTCTGGTTTTGTAACAGCACTGGCAAATTATTCTTCAAATAAGCACCTTGGAGAGCTTGGTGGTTGTGACCAAAGCCCCAGGCTTCCCTGGGGGGTGGGGAGGGTACCCTTACTTCTCTGCAAGCTGGAATCTCTAAGGCAGTTTCTGTCAGGGCATCCCTGCTTTTGGTCACATAGAATGTTTCCAAGAGTGGGGGCTGCAGGGAAGATGACAATGGATTCCAGGGAGCAGAGTGAAGGTATAGCTCTGGACCTGAAGGAAGGGCAAAGGAAACATTTATGTGTCTTCTAACTGCTTCCTTAGAGCTCTCCTGGCAATCTGTCTTCTCTTCCTCTAGTGGGTAGTGGCTGTCGGGACTTAATTGCCCTGGCTGGACTGCACTATTTTTCCTGAGAGGAGCCCAGCCTTGGGACCAATGGTCTGCTTTGGTGGCTGTAGTGACATTACTGTGACAAGCGTTCTTCTGGAAAAAATCCTCATCAGAGGAAGTCATCAGTCCAGGTTTCCTGCAACTCTGAAGGCATTCTTCCAAGTTGTTCTGCTTGACTTCACATGCTTCTGTCATGGAATCTGGTATCGCGTTCTCTGTTGCAAAGACCTGTGCATTTGTAGATCGAGAAGCAGACAATGATTCTAAGTCTGCCGAATAAGTTTCGTCATAACTCGCCTCTTTCTCACTAGTGCTAAAGAAATCTGAAACACCTTCTAATTTGGCATTTAAACTGTCCTGTTCTTTCTCTGCCCTCAAACGCCTGATTCTGGACAGATGGACTGGAAAGTTGTTGAGATTCAGATTGCTAGATACCCTAGGGCCAACTGGCAATAGAGTATCTCCTCCTTTGCTAGAAGCTTGGGCCAGGGAACCAGAGTCTTCCTCAAGGTAGGGGTAAGCTGGCTTGGGTGCTCCTATGGCCTCCAAAACAGGACAAGAGAGTTCAAGGAGGTACTTCTGCTGAAGGGCAGACCAATCCCTTTCATGGGTGCTGCCTACATGAGTCAAGGTGGTGGCAGAGGCAGCCAGCACGTTTGATACGCTAGAATTGTGGGATGCTTCAGAGCTGCCCTGCTGGGTCATGTCAGGGATACATCTGCCCTGAAAGGTGCCATCAGCTCCTGGTTGAATAAGCCTTTGAATTCCCCAGAGAGACAGCCTAGACGTATCAGCAGCAGAGGCTGTGTGCTCATCTCTTGCACTGCAGAGGAGCTCAGTACTGCCTTGGTGCAGTTTGGAGCTATATGGCAGAACCGTTTCTGCATCTGATGGCTTTAGTTCCTCAGTATTTGGCCAGTATCCAGGCCTCTCCCCCTTACAGGAGTGAAATTCCTGCATATCAGGACTTGGACATAAAGAACCCACTATTCCTGGGGGGCTGCTGGGGTTGATCTTAGAGTCACAGGAAAACCAGGAATCCATGGACATCAGTGGGCTCTCTCTTGAAAGCTGCATGCCTTGGAGAGAGTCGGCTTGTTCAGAGTAGCTTGGCTCTACCTGTGATTCAGCCTGCTCACAATGGGGCTGGAGCTCACAATGGGGTTGGAGCTCACAATGGGGTTGGAGCTCACAATGGGGTTGGAACTGAGGATCAAGGTAAAACGAACTGCTCATTGGCAGGACGGCATCCAGCCTAGCTGCTGTTCTGTAGTTGATGGGACCAAGCCTGCATATTGCCTCTTGGTCCATTACAGGCAGACTAGAGTCCTCCAGGTGCCAAAAAGTCTCTGTGGGTATCTCGTCAGCTGAACCAGGGAAAGGTTCTTCTTGCTGATCTTCCCCCAGTTCTTCCTCTGCATCAATCAGGCTATCCAAGGAGAAGCTCCTATGAGTTTGAGCAAGTAGGTCACTGTCTGAGGCTGCAGTGAAGCCCCTCACAGAAGCTCTAGTTCTGGTCCTGGGTTGGCCACGGTTGTTGGTGGGACGATTGCCCCCTAGCCTGTTTTTGGGGCTTTGGTACCTCTTCTCAGCCAGTGAGTCCTCAGATAGTTGGCTGTCATCACTTTCAGAGTTCTCTGGCTCTGGGAAATCCCATTTCCTCTCCTCTGGCTTCAGTGGCTCTATCAGGGCTTTGGCATAGACACATGAGAGAGAATCCAATGAGTAGTTGCTATCTGTGTCAGATAAATCATTGTCTTTTTCTCTTGAATGATCCATTACTGGGCTGAAATCTGTGAGTGGGACCATGGTGTCTGGGTCCCTTGTATTTTGTTGTCTCTTCAAAGGACTGCCAAGAGGCAAGTGAGAGGACTTTTTGGTAATATTTCTGACCCTAGTTGCCAGAACCCTCTGATGCCTTTTTGATGCCCTGCTTGGAGAAGGTGGTTTGTATTCTGTCCAAAAAGTCTTGACTGCCTTTCCGTGCCCAGCAGTCTGCCTGGGTCCATGAGGATACAAGGAATTGCAACTGGCTCCCTTAGCAGCCTTGTGGGTCCCAAGGTTCCCTTCTTTTCGCCACCCAGCTTGTGTGTGGCTAGGGTCTGCTAGTCCCTTCGCCCCTCTGGTCTGGGTAGTAGAGGTGAAGATCTTTGGCTCATGCCTTGGCTTTAGTTTGTTAGCTGATTTCCTCAGAGATGCTAAGCCCTGGCTCACCATCTGATGGGGCTGCTTAACCCCCATCTCCATTTCCTGGATGCCAACAGAGTTGGGACTCATGGTGAGGCAAGCGTCTGGAGCTGAGGCTCCCTTCCTGGCCAAGGCTGCTCTGGCTGTGCAGGGCTGCCCATGACCTGAGGAATGCAGGCCGTTCTTGCGGAGGCACCCTGTCCTTGCAGGGTAGGAAGCAGCCTGTGGCAAATGCTCTTCTGATGATGTTTTCTCTGATGTTTGGTGTGTAGGGTCAGGCCTAGGTGGCAATGTGGTAGAGGGATCCCAACTTAGGAAAATGCTGTGAAGACAAGGAAAGCTATCTCAGAAGATGTGAGAGGTACTACTTCCTGTGGACAGAAGGAGGTTAAAAACAAGGCCAGTGTCACTGTCTCCTATAGACTTCAGACCCAGAGAAAAGCTCTCCAGGTATAAAAGGAAATTGTGGACTCTAGTCCTAGTTCTCCAAGAGGCTCCAGGCCCACTCTGTTCCTCAATTTCTTCATCTTGTTAAAAAACTGAACTGAAGCTAATCACACTTGTAGGGAAAGCTTCCTATTAATAGGCAATATGAGGAATAGAGGAACAATTTAAATGGTATTATGAGGAACCAAAAGATAAATCTATAGAGTGATACATATTCTACAGAACTATAATTATCAATAAAAAGAAATAAAAATAATGATTACAAATAAAACAAGAAGAATGATTAAAAGAAACCTGAGAAACAACAAACAAATGCAGTGTGTAAATCCTACTTGGATCTTGATTTGAAAAACCAACGGTTTCAATGCTGAACCATGTTAGAGAAAAAAGAGAGAGAAAAAAGAAAACTGTAAATAGTTTTGGGCAGCAGAGAAATTTGAATATGGCCTAGGTTTTAGAATACATCAAATAATCTTAATTTTGGTAGCTGTCACAATAACATTGTGGTTACAAGAAAAGTCCATTTTTTTTTAGAAGTATATACTTAGAAATGTAGAACTAAAGTGACATGGTGTCTAGAAATTGCTTTAAAAAACTTCAGAAAATGGGAAGGTAGGCAAGTGTGTAAAACCTAATAATTGCTGAATAATATCAGTGATACATGTACTATTCTTCCAACTTGGCATATGTTTAAAATTTTTTCATAATAAAGTTTTTTTAAAAAGCCCACCTGGTACTTTGAAGACCAGAGAGGTGAGCAAACACAACACTAACAGACGTTAATTGTGAACGTCCTATGGACAAGAACCTGTGCTAGGTCCTGAGGATACAAAGAGGTATAAGACACAAACCCTTGCTCCAAGGAGTCTGGGAGATAATACAGCCCTGCCTTGATGGCATGTAAGAAGTAATGGAGAAAAGAAACAAGGAAGGTCCCAACTTGAACCTGGGAGTCAAAAAGATAGCTCAGTCACCAGGTGGGAGGTGGGGTGAGAAAGCTCACTTGATGTGGCAGGTCGAGGAGGGAGAGGGAGGGAGGTGGTGTAGGAGTCAAGAAGTCTGGTTACAGGCATGACAAGATTGAGGTGTGACATACAAGGAAACGTATATGGATAGCCCAGGTCTAAGGAACAGACGAAAAGTGAGGCCGAGATCCTTACTCCTAAGATGTTACCAAAGAAGCAAGAATTGCTACTCAGGGGGTAAGGAAGATGGGAAAGGCCTGAATCTAAAACGATATACACAGAAAGAAGAGTAACCAGAAGATGGAAAAAGTCATGAGGAAGAGAGAAATATACACATTCTTCCATTTCACAGACTGAGGAAATGAGGCATGGGGAAAAACAGAAAACTACCTGGGCAAGAAGGTTGTAAACTTTAACCGAGTGCTTCCCAGTGACAACTACTGGCTGTACCTGTGTAGCTGGGGCATGTGCTTGCTGCAGAGTCTTTGGGGGCTCAAAGAACTGCAACTCGTCAATTTGCTTCTACATGGAGGCCGTGGGACTGTGGCATCAGGGCTGAGGACCTGGTATGGGGGCTCCTGGGTGCTGTCATCCTGGAGCCAGCACAATGTCGTGAGCTTCTCCAGTCTCTTCTGGGCCTCCAGCAGCCTCTGCTTTTTGATGATTCTCTCTAGCTGGAATGAGACCTTTTTCCGCCGGACATTCCGCTCTGCTGCCCGAAGAGTGTGTCTCCGCAGGAGCTGCAGGTGCACCACCCTTTTCTGACTTTGGACAAATGGGGATGGCTGAATCTCAGGATCTGTCTGAAGCCAAGCATCAAGTGCCACAGATGCCTCAAGTTCTTTCTCTGCTACCTGGTCTTCTTGCTGCTGCTGTTGCAAGCTGGCCAGCCAGGTCTCTTCTCTGAGCAGACACTGCTGGTCTGGGAACCAAAAACACCCAGAGAGAATTTCAGCATCTCCTTCCCTGCTTGTGGCTGCCTGGACTCAGATACCTCCAGCCATGGCTGGACCTGTGTGGAGTGAAAGAGCTGGCCAAGGTGATGTGGCAGGGTGAGGGCTGCAGGGCTACAGGGCTCCCTTACCACAAGGTAAGGGAATGAAGACCCTCAGGACTCAGCACAGCAGTGGGCACGTGCTAGGGCAGGCGGTAGGGTATGGATACATGACCAAATGAGGAGCAGTAAGTAGGAGGTCCGTAATTCTGAGGACAATAAGGAAATTAGCGTCCTTATTCTTGCTTCCAGCCCTCTTCTTATAAGAATCTCTGGTGTCTAAAAGAAAAGAGAACACCTAATACCAAAGATTCCATCATATCACAAAGAAAACAAAAGAGAGAATACAGAAGGCTGAGGAAGCATGAAAATGAAAGAATAAGGAGGTGAGGCAGACACATTAAGTGGTGGACACCTACTTTCTTTAATCTGCTGGCTAATCCAAGCTTGGTCAAATTCCAGTTCCTTCGCAGCTCGAATCTCTTCTGCTAGGATTTGATGCCTCAAATCCTCTACGTAGCTCTGCTGCTGCTGAATCTGGGCCCTGTGGGATGTCTCTCCATCCCTCGGTGTCTGATGGTCCTCGTCACATTGCTCTTCAAGCGCTCTCCTGTCACAGAAGCGGCTGAGGTTACCCAAGGGGAAATGCAAACCAAGCTCAGGACAAACTGATAGCAGTGTAAGGCCTTCCAAGAGAGCCCCTGCAATCAACAGGGTAGAGAGTGCTTTGGACTTCTGGCAACCTTGGACAAACAGGCCTGGTGTCACAGGCAGCTTACGATGTCACAGTGCAGGAGGGGAGAATGGTCATTAAACTGGCATAGTCTTAGAGTTGTGGGGTTAGCAGAAACACAAATCCATTTTAGTTAAGGAAAATCACCAGGAAAGTTGTTCTTTTTAAAAAGACACAAAAACATTTTAGCTAAATTCAGAAGTTTGGTCCTTTAAAAAGAACAAAAAGGTGTCTGCTAAAAATATGTTGGAAATACTCAGTAAAGCAGAAGCTCCAGAAACACTGTGGGCATAAAACTCTCTCCTACATATTCAGAGATTGTTACTGCACCTCCATTCCCTGAAACAGAAATCCTCTGTGATCTGGTAGCAAAAGGCAGCTGATAATTTATACACACACCACGCCTGTGTGTGTGTGACCCAAAGGAGAGCTGGTCTCCACTCCAGAGCTGTTTTCAGTGAATGAGCCCTGGAATAGGATTCAAGAGTTTTAGACTCTACCACACCTTTCAAAGATATATACTGAAGCATTTACTGGTGAAATATGTCAAGAATTTGTCTAGATCCAGTGAGAGGGAATGAGGGAGAGTGAGTGTGGATATAAATGAACTAAGATTAGCCGTAAGTTGATAATTTGTGTTGTATTTGAAGTCTTCCATAATAAAAAGCTTACAAAAAAATTTAGATTTTTTCTTTTTTTGAGACAGGGTCTCACTCTGTCACCCAGACTGGAGTGCAGTGGCATGATCTTGGCTGACTGCAACCTCCACCTCCTGGGTTCAAGCGATTCTCCTGCCTCAGCCTCCCAAGTAGCTGGGATTACAGACATATGCCACCACGCCCAGCTAATTTTTGTATTTTTAGTAGAGACAGGATTTTACCATGTTGGCCAGGCTGGTCTCGAACTCCTTACCTCAAGTGATCTCCCCACCTCAGCCTCCCAAAGTGCTAGGACTACAGGCATGAGCCACCACGCCCGACCTAAAAAATTCTAGATTTTAGTCATGCCTTACTCTGCCACCAGGTTCCTATATGACCACAGATGACTCAGAGGCTTACTCTGAAAACTGACAGCTTCTACCTACTTGCTGACCTTTCCCTGGGGGTCACGTAAGGACCTCAAATGCTTTTTCTGCAGGGTATCTTCATCCCTGTCATTTAGGTTTTTAAAGGAGCCAACTGTATGGGCACCCCAGGATGGGCACAGAATGGGAGTGGCTGGGAAGAGTCAGATTCTGCCAGAGGCTAACAAAAAAGTTAGAATCAAGCCTGCTTTATCTAGCCTTCCCCACAATCCCAGGATGTCATGACTTGGAAGCTTGGAGAAGCTTATTGGTTTGATGCTGGAACTATATCTCAGGCAGTATGACCCATACGCTGTAAGGGAACCACTTTTTAGGAGATCCACCACTTTGTAGAGCAGAATGAAATCACACGGGTATCACAGAAGAGGTCCACGAATGAAAGCCTATGAGTCCAAATCTGGTCTGCTGCCTGTTTTTATTAATAAAGTTTTATTAGAACACAACCACACCCATTTATTTACGTACTGTCTAGGGCTGCTTTTGCACCACCCTGGCAAAATTGAGTAGTTGCAGCACAGACCATATGGCCCACAAAGCCTAAAATACTATCTGGCCTTTTACAGAAAATGTTTGCCGCCCCTGCCTTGGAAGAAATTAAGATTTCATAACGCAGCCTTTGGAGGATAGTAAAAGATGGATGGGTGAAGAGTGATAGGTGGAATAGCCCGGGGGAATGGGAGTGGGAGCTGACACAACCACAGTCTCTTCCCAGGGAAGAAGGCTATGAGGTCATTCAATCTGCAACAGGTCCAAGGACTAGGACAGGTCCAGACACTTGAGTGAGTGTGCTCAAAAGACTGGCACTGATTGCTGTGGGCAAAAGGCCAAATATACACAGTGGAGCATACAGAAAGAGGAAGGTTACTCTCTGTTATGTGGAGGCTCAGGATAGCAACTGGAATAGAAACCTGTTAATGCCAAACAAATAGAGAAAGCAGTTAACAGGAAACATACATCCATATGTATCATGCTTGTATTACTGCTCCAAATTTTGTCTGACTATAGAAATGGCTGAATTACAAACATGAGCCCATCCTAGACAAACCCAGCTAAGACCCACAGACCACCAGATGCAAGAGGCTGAGACAGGGTCTTTATCTGAACTCCCTGAGATTACTCAGTCTCCTTGTCTGGCTTTCTCCTCAACCTTCAGATTTACAATCTGCTTCTCCCTAGAAGGGGTGCTCCTTACCCTTCACCTAAGAAAGTGACAGCTATGATATTGTTTCCTGCATAGCCATAGGACCTGCAAGGAGAGGCTGTCTGCTGCCATCTGTATAGATGCAGCACATTCACCCAAGAGGCCGCACAGAATGGTCCCTCTGCTAAGCACATTTTGTCAAGTTCCCAGAAAGCAGGTGAAAAAGAAAATAGCAACCTTATACTACATGTCTGGCTAGATTACAAAGGGCAAGTCTTCATTTACCTGCCAGCCAAGGGACCTCTGTCTTTATCAGGTAATTGCCCTTCATCTCTGATGGCTCCAGTATCCCCCAGCTGCTGCCTAGACACCTGCTTGTGAGGACTCCACTGCACTCTCCTGCTTCTTCTCTCACAGCTGTCCCCCAGCCTCGGGGTCTGGCAGCTTCTGCAGCAGATTGCAGTGGCATCTACTTACTAAAGCCGCAGTGGCAGCGGTGGTGGCAGCGGAAGCAGCAACAGTGTCTCCCAGGCTCTAGGCACTTAAGGTTAACCCCCTACAATTCCAAATGGGAAAATGCCAAGAACACAGGCAATGGTATTCAAAGACAAATTCCCCTCTGGTCCAGATTACTGCTGCAAGGAGAAAAGGAAGGCAGACTGGCCAATTTCCCCTGGCTCTGGAGCTAGCTCCAGCTTTGCAGGCTCCTCATGAATGCTGCTCCAGAGATAAATGAGGGAAAGGAAACCTGGAATAAAGGGAGGCTTTGGAGCCAACCACATCCAAGAGCAGAGGGAGAGACTCGTAGACACACAACCACAAATCCAGACTGGGAGCCCAGCTGACAATTTATATTTTTCTCTAGTCGTGCAGGTTCCTCTCCCTGGTCCCTTTGCCCAATCACGGACTTGAGCACCACACCACACCACCTCCACCAGGGATTGGTACAGATGCTGGCTACAGTAGCTGGGCAGGACCAGCCCAGCCTACAGGCTCCTAGAGCTGGTGCTCAAGAGTGGAGACAGTGGGTGGGAGAGGCCTTGATTCTGAAATTCCTGTCTTCTCTGAATGAAAGGACACATTCTTGTGTGTCTGAAAGCTCATGTCAGTGCCTGTGGGGCTAGAGAGCCATAGAAGACTTTAAAAAGGCAAGAGAAGAGCACAACACCATGATGTACTCTGGGGTGGATAGGTCAGCTGGGTTGAGACAGGAGGACAAGAAAGAGAAAGGGAGGCAGCCTTGCTGGCAGCAATAGGGGCTGTGGGGTGTGTCTGCACCGTGCATATATACTCGCTCTTTCAATCATCCCTGGAAAACAGATAGCAGTATCGTCTCTTTAGAGGTAGGGAAACAGGCTCAGAGGTTCATTGACTTGCCTAAGGTCACACAGCTTTTCTGCAGTACAGCCAGGACGTGAATCGGTTTTGTCTGCTGCAATGCATCTCTTCCATTCTCAGCTATTTAAGTTGCAGTGTTATTTTCTGTAAACCTCTGAACTCTGGGAAAAACAGATCTTCAAAGAGTCTTCCCAACACAAACCTTACCTAAAACAGGAGCTACTTTCATGACTTCACTACAAAAAAGGAAAGTCACTCTGACAAAGCAAAAGCTCCAGCCTAAGTCCTGAGTCCACCTTGTGTCACCTCTTCTACCTTATTCTCCATCCCATAGAGCTCTCAGTTACTCAACACTAGGATCATCCTTCACGCAATTTCTGTTGTAGCATCCTTCACTCAGCAGCTCTCCTATGAGGACTTGCCTGCTGTTCATGCTTTCCTGAATCACAGCATTGTTTGTTTTTCTTTTTTTGAGACGGAGTCTCGCCCTGTCGCCCAGGCTGGAGTGCAGTGGCGCAATGTCGGCTCACTGCAACCTCTGCCTCCTGGGTTCAAGTGATTCTCCTGCCTCAGCCTCCTGAGTGGCTAGGACTACAGGCATGTGCTACCATGCCCAGCTTTTTTTTTTTTTTTTTTTTTTTTTTTTAAGTAGAGACGGGGTTTCACCATGTTAGCCAGGATGGTCTTGATCTCCTAACCTTGTGATCCACCCACCTCGGCCTCCCAAAGTGCTGGGATTACAGGCAGGAGCCACCGTGCCCAGCCCTGATCAGAGCACTTCTGCTCCTGTATCCAACATTCCTCACTGCCAAGGTCAGACATAAGATTGTCTTCATCTGCCATCAAATGCTGCTGGCCTGAGGAAAGAACTGCTGGATCCTTCTGAAGAAACTACGGGCCATCATAACTACTGAGACCCTGTGCTCAAGGTGTTTGGCAGCCTCCCAACACCAGTGATGTCACAGGCACCAAGTCCCCTGCTGAAATTTTCTAAAGGAAATCTCTAAGGCAGAGGTCACTTTGACGTACAGGAATAGAAGGACTCCCAGTACCAAATCTGCAAGGCTTCTGGATCTGGGAAGGGTGTTTTATGTAGAAACGGATGAAGTATGAAGTAGAAAAGTAGTTGCCATCAATCCCATATAAAACTCTGACTCAATGTTTCATAGTTACAATGCAGGCAAAGTGGGTATGAGAGGGTAGAACCAAAAGATATTTTCATATTGTTCCTATAGTTTCTGCCCCTCTATGCACAGTTCTGGATTCTTGGTTATGAGAAAGAAAGCCTTCTCAGTCACACACTATCTTTAAAAACTCAGAGAAAGCCATACGTTCTGGAAGCTATGAGCTCACATACACTACGTGACATATACTATGAGCTCACACACAGGCCAGAACTTAAAGGAGTATATGGGAAGGTAAGCTCAGAACAAAGATGTCCACAAACACAGCACAGCTAAATTTTGTGGAGAGAGAAAAGTGGCCACAGGAACATCAAATAATGTACCTCTTTCAGTGATGAAAAAAGTCGAAATACCAAAGAGGAAATGAACAAGGGCCAAGACCAATTCCCTGCCAACTACGAACTTAGCAGCTAGTTCAGCATCATCAAATGACTTGCCCAAGTTGATTCAGACAAGGGCTCATTCAGACCTTGGCTGCTACATTAATCACCCCCCACCCCCACCCTGATCCATGCTGTCATGGACTAAGAAGCGAACCCAGTAGGTTCCACATCAGTATAAGCAGCTATTTCTTACCTTTCCTTCCAAAGCAAAGGGGAGAGACCCAGCCGGGAGGCAGCGAGATCTCCATCCAAATCCAGCCACTCCAACGAGCCACGACCAGCAGCAGCCTCTCCAACCTTGAACAAGGAAGAAAGCACAGTGAGGCTGCTGTCATCGCCTCCACCTCTCCCAGCTTGGCTTTTCATCTAAAAGGTGGAAACAGGGAGGCCAGCAATAACCTAGAAAACACAGCCCTGCTAACCTGCCTTCGCTGCCGCAGGACAGCAGCCTCTGCTGGGTGGTTGAATCGGAACTTCTGTGCCTTCCCCAGGGTTATGACAGCTCCTGCAGCACAGAGACAAATGAGAATTCAATCAACAGCTCATGTTTTGGAGTACATACTATGTGTACGGCACTGCTCTGTGAGACAAAGTCATGCCCTCGATAACTGATAATTTTGCTGAGTTGATAAGATACATATTAATTCTGCATCTCACAGCATACATCTTGAATTAATAAGACAGACAGGAAGAACTCTACTATTCCAAGGGAAAGGAAGTTGAGTTCCAGGTGGAGTAGTCAGGGAACACTTGATGGAAGAGGAGGAATCTCAGCTCAGTCTCAAAAGAACAGACAGAATTTGCATAGATTAATAACAGTAGCGGTAATTAAAGTAATAATGATAATGAGTGTTTACAGAGTGCAAAGCACACTGTTAAGAACTATAAGGTTCATTCAATCCTCACAATGATTCTATTATTATCCCCATTTTATAGATGAGGAAAGTTGAGGCTCAGAGACTTTCCTAGGGAGACAGAGCTAATTAACACAGGTACAAATTTCATACAGTCATTCTTCACTCCAAGACTTTGGAATTAAGGCTTGTTTATGGGAATAGGATCATATTAGAAAATCTTCAGACTTCAGGGTGCAGAGGCTGGGTGATCCATTTTTAAAGCCTGCTTCACTGAGCTCTTTGGGCCCATGAAACTGGAGCTGGTCCATCACTCATCTTGGGATAAACAGGGCTACAGACAGTCCTACCTTGAGTCAGACGGCAGGAGGCAGTGACCTCCCGGCCATTGACTGTACAGCGGGCCCCACGGGCAGGTCGTAGAACAACTACACCACAGGCACTGGTGATAGTGCAGTGGTCTCTCTCAATCCACTGACCCTGCAGGACTACAAAAGAGGTGGTGGTCACTTGGGTGGGAGGACGATGCAGGGAAACACCCTCTCCATTTCTTTCTGTGAGATCAGAATCCAAAATCTGGAAGACCTCATACCATAATAAAAGAGGAAGAGCTGACCTGAAACCACCCAGACCTGAAATCCTCCCACTGCGTGGGTCTCCCCCTGTGACGTCCCAGACCTGAAACCTAGCAGCAGAAAGAGAAGCAGGCCCTGAATACGCCAATGATTCCCTTCTTCTCAGAGCATCATCAAAGTCCTCGAAGAAACCTTTCGGGCACAAATACTAGCCCCAAAATGCTGGACTCATATACTCTGCCACTTACCAATGTCCTGTTCCTGGTCTGAGTCAATCCTTCCTATTTTTGTTGTCCCTTCCTAAAGGGGGAAAAAAGCCATTTTAATGAGAATTAAAAGGGACAGAGCCTTGCCCTACAGGAGAGTCCACATTAGAATATTCTCACTGTCTTCCCAGCCTCATCTGTACCACTTCTCATCCCATCCCAGCCTGGTCGGTACCACTTCTCAACTTTGGTCCCGGCTGTTCTGACCCTCTGCCCACTCACTCTACAGCCCAGGAAGCCCCTGAGATGGTAGAGCTAAAAAATATACCACAAAGCAGCCCAAGCTATTTGCAAAGTCCAGCAAGTGTGGGCAAACTCCTTTCTGTCCCACAGCCTAAAGTTAGGGAATAGTTACAGCCATTGGTCAGAAAAATTCTCTAGTCCGAGAAAGTACATGCAAAAGTATGGCTTTTCCCTAAGGGGCAAAGGTTGATGTGGTCCAAGTTTGATCCAGTAAGTCTCAATCAAACAAGCATTTTGTGAAGATTTATGGAAACACAGGATTTTTACCTTCTTGGTCCGCAGATGAAGTTTAACAGACACCAGATTCTAAGAAGGGTAAAAGCACAAATAGGAGAAAAGCACCTCTAGAATAAAAAAGAACTGGAAGAGAGTGTAAGAGAGGAGGGGGAAACTGGAGTTAGTACAAATGAATCAGTGGATTAGTTGAAGACAAGGCCTTTTAGACCTCAGATTATGGCAAATTTGCTTAAGACCCACATAGCTATGTTAGGAAAAGGCAGCAACATGGCAACCGGGATGCTAAATTTTAGACATATCTTTATCATTTATTGACTATTCAATATGTCCTAGGCATTATGCTGAGTACTTTATACAAATCATATTACTTTATCCTTTAACAAC
Source organism: Homo sapiens (assembly GCF_000001405.40). NCBI lineage: Eukaryota > Metazoa > Chordata > Mammalia > Primates > Hominidae > Homo > Homo sapiens. The sequence goes on along the minus strand of NC_000015.10, from coordinate 42,673,609 downwards.
TCAAAATACAGGTATTAACATCTCCTTTTTATTGATGAGGAATCTGAAGCTCACAGGGGATAAACTGCCTGAGAAACCCACATACCAAATAGAAGAGCTATAACTAGAAATCAGGTCTCTCTGGATCCTAAGCCCCTGCAGCTTTTTCGACTTCATAACACCTCCCCAGTAATGAATGTCTTTTTGTTTATTTTGTTTTGTTTTTTTTGAGACAGAGTCTCACTTTGATGCCCAGGCTGGAGTACAGTGGTGCAATCTCAGCTCACTGCAACCTTCGCCTCCCAGGTTCAAGCAATTCCCTTGCCTCAGCCTCCCAACTAGCTGGGACTACAGGTGCCTGCCACCACGCCCAGCTAATTTTTATATTTTTAGTAGAGACAGGGTTTCACCATGTTGGCCAGGCTTGTCTTGAACTCCTGACCTCAGGCGATCCGCTAGCCTTGGCCTCCCAAAGTGCTGGGATTATAAGCGTGAGCCACCGCACCCAACCAGTAATTTTTTTTTTTTTTTTTGAGATGGAGTCTCACTCTGTTACCCAGGCTGGAGTGCAGTGGCACGATCTTGGCTCACCGCAACCTCTGCCTCCCAGGTTCAAGCGATTCTCCTGCCTCAGCCTTCCGAGTAGCTGGGAATACGGGCACGTGCCACCATGCCCGGCTAATTTTTGTATTTTTAGTAGAGACAGGGTTTCGCCATGTTGTCCAGGGTTGTCTCGAACTCCTCACCTCAGGTGATCTGCCTACCTCAGCCTCCCAAAGTGCTGGGATTATAGGCATGAGCCACCACATCTGGCCCAGTAATGTTTTTAGGGAGACCAGAGAATTCCCCACTAGGCTTCACTGTCAGCAGCCAGAGCAGGGAGGTCCCTGACACTCCTCCAAAATAGCTTGCGAGAAGGAAGAATCCTAGCTATAATGAATGAGGCTCTGTCCGCACTGCATGCCCCTCTGTCCCTCCTCTCTGCAAACACACAAACAGCCAGAGCCAGCCTTTCCTGCTCAGGCACTGAGGACCACAGAAGTCAACAGATGCTAGCCTCCACAAACACTGTCAAACAGAATCAGAGGGCAGTTCAAGGGAAAACGGTCGAAACTTTTCATGTGCGTTCAGGGACAGCCCTTCCAAAAAGATAAAGGCTATGGCACATCATAACTTCTAGATTTGCAGGGTAGAAATTACCAACAAAAGGTGATGGCATGTCAGATGAGGACTGAGCTGGCTGGCATATGTGTTCACTGCCCACCCTGCCTCTTTATGTAGGGAGTGTTAGTGGCACAAAGGCAATTATGAGGATGAAGTCCAGCATATCAGTAACCTGGGCTCTCCCTGTCCTTCCCTCTGTCCTCTTCCCACCCAAGACACTTCCCCAAGGTGACCCAGGAAAAAACAGCTTCCGAGTTGCCAGGGACTAGTTCTAGGTCTGTAACCAACTTAGTGACAAACAAACCAACAAACAAACAACAACAAACAGAATCTTGGGCCATTACTGTTAGTACTATTACCTAAGTCAATAGCTAAACAAACAAAAGGTGGGGAAAGTACATAAAATGCAGAAATGCCAGGATTAGAAGTAGATTAAAATCTCATCACCCAGGTCCACCAGAAATGCACAAGGAAGGGAGTAAAATCCTCACTATGCACTGACTAAGCAATGAAAATCAGCAGTCCAGCGGGGCGTGAGGGCTCATGCCTGTAGTCCCAGAACTTTAGGAGACCAAGATGGGTGGATCACTTGAGGTTAGGAATTCAAGACCAGCCTGGCCAACATGGTGAATCCCCGTCTCTACTAAAAACACAAAAATTAGCCGGGCATGGTGGTTGTGGGATATGATGAAGTTTCTCTTCAAATAGCCTGATCAATCCTTTATTCTTCAATTCATAGTAACCCCCCACCCCTTTTTTTCCTTTTTCTCTTTTTTCTTCCTTTCTGCCTTTATTACATGCCCAGACATGCCACAGTACCAGCGTTATCAGTACCAGCTCACATTCCTTTCCTTATTTAAAAAAAAACTAGCTCTCTAGCTCATTGCAGACACCCCTTCCCCCCTCTCCCTTATGTGCCCACCTTATCCAAAAAGGTTCAGATGTTTAGCCAACCAGGATTAGTTTAGAATGTACGACCCAACCCCAGCCAATGGGGAAGGAGAAAGGGTACAGGAGCAGGACTTGTGTCAGAAATAAAGGCTCTCATGCCCCTTTGTTCAGATGTGTTCTCATGGCAACTGGCCAAGGAGAAGCACCCCTCTGCACAAAAGTAAAATTGCTTTACTAAAAATCCTTTAAGTGTTCAATTTCCTTAAAATTTTAAGCATTATTCCCAACAGTGGTGCATGCCTGTAATCCCAGCTATGCAGGAGGCTTAGGCAGGAGAATCACTTGAGCCCAGGAGGTTGAGGTTGCAGTGAGCTAAGATCGCGCCACTGCACTCCAGCCTGGGTGACACAGCAAGACTCCGTCTCAAAAAAAAAAAAAAAAAAAAAAAATCAGCAATCCTATCTTCAGATGAGTTCATCATTCATCTCCATGTCTACGATTCAATCTAATAGTCATGTCCTTTAACCCTCTGCTGCGACCCTAAGCTCTACTACTTGATTTCTAGCTTCATCTATTCACTCTACATCCAATCCATATATCAGATCAGTTCTACTCAAATAGTGACCATTTTAATCAATCTGGTCTCTTCCTGACCTCCAACCTCTCTCTGTGCTTCTGACTAATGGGAGGATCTATACAGCCATTTGGTGTTTAGTTTTCTTGCTAAGGTAAAAGTTGCCAGCCACTTCTGCCTCAGGCACT